>NW_003315952.3:0-300000 GCF_000001405.40 Homo sapiens | reverse complement strand
CTCTTGGGTGTGTAACTAGGAGTAGAGTTTCTGGGTCATATGGTAAGTCTGTGTTCAACATTTTGAGGAAGTGTCAAACGGATTTCGAACCTGGATCTTTTTTAAGAGTGTAAAGGGGCCCTGGGTTTGAGAACCACTGGCCTAGCTGGGATTAGACCAGGAGAGTGTGGATGGCTCAGGAGAGCCCCTCCTCCTTGCTCTGGGATTCAGATACCCTCGGCCTCATCCCACACTCCCTTCAGAATGCACGCGTGGCATCCTCAGACCACCAAAGACAATCCTGTCCTGGGAGGCAGGGAGAAAGCCGGCACACTAGACAGTGCACAGGTGAAGCCCTCAGGGGGTCCTGGAGCAGGGCCACCTCCCTGGGGGATCCCCAGGTGCCATTTTCATGGCAGTGTCTATGGACGGCTCCCCTTGGCATGGTGCTGGGTGGCAATCCTGGCTGTAGCTGCCACCCCCTGCCCTCTTGCCTGCCCTCGAGGGCATTGTGATCATCGGTGTGAGTCTGTTGGGAAGGAGAGCCAGGTCCCCAGGTTTGGGAAAGGAGTAGGGTTTCCCAGCCTGTCTGGCCATCACCCCCCAGCCCAGCCCCTCCTGCTGGGTGACGTGCTCAGTTCGGCCCCTGCTGTACTGGGAGGGGGCAGGGAGCAGATGGCCTCCAGGGTTGAGTTGAAAACTGCTAAGGGTGAGCCTCCTCTCTCCTTTCTGACTCTAACCTTTTGATGCCCTGCCAGTCATGTTCACTCTTGTCACTCGGCCACATGATCCACCTGGTCACCCTCCTAGAATCATGAGCCTTCTGAAGAGGAGCCTTGAGGGAAGAGTGTTTTGCTGGAGAGATGGTTCCCACAGTGAGATTCCAGGCATCAGTGGGGATCGTGCATGGAGATGGTGTGGAGGGGCCTGAGGGCACAGAGAACCTGTCTGCCATCTGTACCCCAGCCAATGATGCACACTCTTTCGTCTTCCCTCCTTCATCTCAGATGTGACTCCCAACCCCCAGCCGGGTGCTCCGAGCCATGGCCGACACCATCTTCGGCAGCGGGAATGATCAGTGGGTTTGCCCCAATGACCGGCAGCTTGCCCTTCGAGCCAAGTGAGTACCTCTGGGGCCCCCCAGGCCGTCCCTTCCTTCTGCCTCCCTGCTCCTCTCCTGTCTTCAGCAAGATTCATTCCCAGGGGCCCAGAAAGAGATGTTTGGAGAGAGGTGCCTGTCGGATGCATGCCACACTCCAGGCCCTGGACACAGCCATTCACTCATTTAACTACCATGCAGAATTTATCCCCATTTCCCTGATGAGCAAAGTGAGGCTGAGCTCCTTGCCCACATCACTTAACTTGTGGGTGGCAGGGCTGCAACCCACACCTGGGTCCAGCTGACTCCTTAGCCTGTGTGTCCTTTCTATCAACAGGCTGTAAGGGACCCACACCACCTCGTGTGCCTTCTCTCCTGTCACTGAGCTGTAGGACTGCAAGTCCCTTAAGACAGGGAGATTTTGATCTCTGGATGCCCAGTCATAGCCCAGTGCTTGGCACTGTCAGACGGGGGAACAAAAGTCTGTTGCAGTGGACGAGGCGCTGCCCCTGAGGCTGAAGCACAACCAGCCCCAAGCTGCCCCAGGGCCTTCTCTGTGCTCTCCTGAGAATCTCGCTAGTTCCTTGCTTCCAGTTTCTTCCCTTGGGGGTCCTGGCTTTCTTTTTTCTTGTCGCCCAGGCTGGAGTGCAATGGCACGATCTTAGCTCACTGCAGCCTCTGCCTCCCTGGTTTAAGCAATTCTCCTGCCTCCCGAGTAGCTGGGATTACAGGTGCCCACTACCACAATGGGCTAATTTTTGTATTTTTAGTAGAGACGGGGGTTTTACCATGTTGGCCAGGCTGGTCTCGAACTCCTGACCTCAAGTGATCCACCCGCCTTGGTCTCCCAAAGTGCTGGGATTACAGGCGTGAGCCACCGCGCCTGGCCCTGGTTTTCCTGCTGTCCCTCAGCCTAGTGACCTCTCAGCTCTGGGTAGGTCAGGCCATCTCCACCGACTGTGCACTGTGGCTGGAGATGGGAGTTCTCAGATGCCTTGCCTGCCTTCCAGTCCCTCGCTGTCCCTCAGAGGGGCTGGGCGTCTCTGGCATGTGATAAGTCCAAAAGGGCCCCTTCATCCTTCAACCCATGCCAATTACGGGAGCAAGCATTTCCCAAGTGGGACCAAATTAAAAAAAATTGCAATTAGATGTTATGAGCCTGCAGGGGACAGAGCTGAAACATCAAAGGGGGATGGAAAGATTAATTCGAAACGCCCCAGGAGAGCGGAGTCATGCGTGATTTGCAGGAATCTGCACCACAGTTAACTGGTCCCCTTCGCCAGGAGGGCTCGGCTCCTTCATGCGGCCCCCGCAGTGGGTGAGGTCGGTCCGTCTCCCTCTCTGTCCTCTGACGCCAGGCAGATGAAGTGTCCTCCCGGGCAGGGTAGGAGTTTCCAAGGAGAGCTCCGCCACTGTGCTCTCGACAGGGCCCAGCAGGACTCCTGACCCTCCAGGGTTCCCTTCAGCTCTCCCTGACCTTCTCTCTCTCTCAGCAGCAGCCAAATGCTGTCGTAGCCCCTTTGGAAGAGAGAATGCTTTTATCCCCTCCCCTGGGGTGCACTGCCTTGTAGTACCTGGCACAGTCTCTGGAAAGGAGAGGCGTACTAAACTCCAGCCGCAGAGCTGGGAGCTGTGTCCCGTGGGACCCTCAGGGATATCTGGGCTGCAGCTCGGGGCTCCCCTCAGTCCTCCAGCTGCCACCAGATGTTTTCTAACCCCCTACTATGTGCCAGGCACTGACTGCACAGCAGTGAACAGGACCAACACAGTCCCTGGTCTTAAAGCACAGGTGGGCAGAGGTGAGCATTATTTGAATAGTTACCCAGGTAAGTTGCTTTGACGGTGATAACAGGCGGTGGGGACGTGGGTGAAGGTGTGACTTACTCTGGGGATCAGGAGGGGCTGAGAGTGTGCTGCCTACACTGGGACCCAGAAGATGGGCCAATGTTAGATGGGAGTAGGGGGGAAGCGCTTCCAGGCAGAAGGAACAGCATGTGCAAAGGCCCTGAGGTAGAAGGAACAGGGCATGTGGAGGCCCTGGCCGGAGGTCAGTGTGTTGTGAGTGCAAAATGTGAAGGGTGGACAGTGTGGAAGGAAGATGGAGAGGTAGGCAGGGGCCAGGGGCAGGGCCTGGTCCTCCAGAGACTCATGTTCCGGAGGGGAGATGGAGGGTTTCATGTTGTCTCGTAATAATGTGTCAGCCCAATGAAGGACGTATACCCAGGCCTTCCAGGAACTCTGAGAGTAGATTCTTTACCTGTTTTGGAGGGGATCAAGGAAAAGCCTCCAGGTGAAGGTCATGTGTAAAGAAGTCTTTAAAAAGAATAGGCCGGTCGCGGTGGCTCACGCCTGTAATCCCAGCACTTTGGGAGGCTGAGGCGGGCGGATCACCTGAGGCCAGGAGTTCTCAAGACCAGCCTGACCAACGCGGTGAAACCCTGTCTCTCCTAAAAATACAAAAATTAGCCGGTCGTGTTGGCACACACCTGTAATCCCAGCACTTTGGGAGGCTGAGGCAGGTGGATCATAGGTCAGGCATTTGAGACCAGCCTGGCCAACATAGTGAAACCCTGTCTCTACTAAAAATACAAAAAATTAGCCGGGTGTAGTGGCACATTCCTGTGATCCCAGCTGCTCAGGAGGCTGAGGCAGGAGAATCGCTTGCACCTGGGAGGCGGATGTTGCAGTGAGCTGAGATTGTGCCATTGCACTCCAGCCTGGGCGACAGACCGAGACTCTGTCTCAAAATAGACATAGATAGATAGATAGATAGATAGATAGATAGCTAGCTAGCTAGCTAGATAGAAAGATAGAAAGAAAGAATAGGAGTGAGAGGTGGACAGAAGGTTTAGGGAGAGAGACAGGGGCCCCAGGTGAAGGGTGCAGCATGAGCAAAGGCCTGGGGACTGCACGAAGCCTAGAACACAAGGGAGCCACTGGTGAGCTGAGAGACGAGGGCGCCGTGCGGGGAACGTGCAGGGGAAGGACAGGTGGGGCTCCCAGACGTGCAGGTTCTTCCTGGAGGTTGCAGCCCATCGATGTCAGGTGCCCTCAAGTCGGCCTCCGTCAGCTGCATGGAGGGGACATTGCAAGGGGGTGGGCAGCATGCTCAGTGGAGCTATGGCCGCAGGCGGGCATCAGGGCCTGGCCTGGCAGCGGGTGAGATGAGAGGACGTGGATGACTGGGGCCCGGAGGCGGAGCAGGTGGAGGCAGGAACGTGGGTGCGGAGGCGGCCCTGGGGGAGACTGAAATGCTCCCAAGCAGGGCTGTCAGCAGCTGCTGGATACGAACTCGGCAGGTCAGGGCTCAGGCCTTGAGTCAGCGGTGGAGGCCAACCCGAGATTCCTGCTAGCTAGCTACGTTCCGCACCTCGTTTCCTCTGAGAAATGGGGCGGGGTGCCTCAGGGTCCGGGCCTGCCTCGCCGTGTGGCTGAGGGTCTGGGCCTTACAGGGCGACTCTGAGGGTCTGGGCCTGCCTTGCAGGGTGACTGAGGGTCTAGGCCTGCCTTGTGGGATGACTGTGAGGGTCCAGGCCTGCCTCTCGGGGTGACTGAGGGTCTGGGCCCACCTCACCGGGTGACTGTAAGGGTCTGGGCCTGCCTTGGGGGGTGACTGAGGGTCCAGGCCTGCCTCGCAAGGTGACTGAGGGTCTGGACTGTCTCGCGGGGTGATGGAGGGTCCGGGCCTGCCTCGGGGTGACTGTGAGGGTCCGATGGAAGACATCTGTAGTGTCCTGTGCCATCACCAGCCCCAGAACAAGCTCGTGGGACCCGTGTCCATCAGGACAGGCAGTGGTGGCGGTGCTGATGCTTCTGTCCCTCCTTCTGTGTGTTCCTGGGACCCTTCCTTTCTCTACATTAGCTGGAGGGTGGAGGGAGTGGTGATTCCCTGAACCTGGGGGCCCTGGCTTCCAACTCCCTTCCCCTGGCCCGGGAACCACACGAAGTGTGTCCTGGCCCATCACTGACCCCTGGAGCCTCCGAAATGCTCAGATGGAACAAACCAGTAGGTAGGGGTTGTGGAGGGGATATTGCTTTTTGGGGCCTGAACCCCTGCATGTGTGCAGTTCATAGGAGCAAGGCAGGTAGTCCAGGCAGAGGCTGCCCACTCTACTGGCCTTGCCCCCCTTCCAGCCCTGCCCTGCTGCCCCGGTATTTTCCTTCCCCAGCACCGTGAGCACTGCTTGGAAAGCGTTGGTCTAGGGCATTGCAGTTTTTTTTTTTTTAAATTGGAAAAACCGGCAGTGTAGAAGTATGGATCCCTGAAACACCACACACCACCCATGCCCCCTGCCTTTCGTGTGTGATCTCCTCTGCCTGAACCCGCCTCCCTCCTTCCATGGGGAAGCACCTGTTCATCCTGCAAAAGCTCACACATGGTAAAGCCATGCCTGACAGCCCTCCCCATGATAATTACAGTTATCACCATTAACGACCATTTGCAGGCAATTGGGAATTTGCTATGTAAAAGCACCTTATCTACCCTGCCTCATTAATTCTCATGGCATCCCTTAAAGAGACAGATCAGAAAACCAAGGGTGAGAGCCTCATCCGAGGTCTCGCATCTGGGAAGGGACGGGACCAGAAGATAAGACCGTCCAGTGGACTCCAAACCCTAGATCTTCACATTCATCAGCCCCCAGCTCCCCCTGACAGAGAAAGGATATGCGTATTAGCTTTCCAAACTCCTATTGTGTCGGCCACAGAGAACCGTTAGCTGCAACAGCCGGGACCAGGCAGGACATGAGACCACCGGGGCCCATCTTGTGTCAGGGGGCCCCCAGGAAAGGGTCCGCCTCCCTCAGCCTGCTGCCCTAGGTCCTGCCTCCAGGACTCCTGCCTTCTGACACTTCCCTAAAGAAAGCGAGCCTTTCCAGAGCCTCATCCCCTCCCTGCTGGGTAATTCTCTTATTTATCCACTTCCTGACCCCACCTGCACGTCCCACCAAGCAGCCTGTCCCGGGCACCTAAGAGGCCAGGCGTCCCAGCGGGTACTTGGTAATGCGTAGAATGAAAACGCCTTAGACCTGTTAGTTAAATAGGTATCTGTGTCATTGATTGGCATCTGCCACCCCCACCATATTGTAGTTCTTCAGGGTGCAGTGGCTTTTCCCGTCTCGTTCATCTCTGCACACAGCAATGTCACAGGCACGGAATGTCTCAGGGAAGCTGGCACCCACCCAGGGCAGGGGCTCCGGGGTTTGATCTGCTGCTGCCACTCTCTCCCTGTCCAGAAAAATAGAAGGAGTTTGAGTCCTTCCCCCGCCCCATTTGCAGCCTCAGGAGGCGTCAGTCCCGCAGCCCAGTGGAGCAGAGACAGCTCAACCTCCGGACCCAGTCCCAGCCCTGCCTCGCCGTTGCCCGCCCTCACCTGCCCTCACCACGGCTCCTCTTCTGTAACTCGCTTCCCCCCCGCCTCGAACCTGCTAGTTTTCAAAGTGTTCATATCAACGCTGTGTCTTCACCCTAATTACATGGCTTTCCTGTCCCCTGGTGAACTCCGTCTCACTACCTTACGGAGCTCCGAGCTCCCTTTTTCTTCTCTTGATAATCTCTCATGCTCCTCCCTTGACACCTCTCGTGCTGTGACCTTGGCCTTCTCTGTGTACGTGAGCGTCACATTCTGTGTTTCTGCCTCCCGGGCTAAGGTGGTGCTGCCGTCTTTGCCAAGGCCCAGGAGCTGGCGGATGGCAGGGCTGGCGCTTGGAGCCTGTGTCTGCCCCGTCTCTGTTGCCCGCGTGCCTTGCCCCCTGCACACGGCACCTGGGCCGTCTCTGTTGCCCATGTGCCTTGTCCCCGGCACACAGCACCTGCCCCGTCTCTGTTGCCCGCAATCCCAACCCCGGCACACGGAACCTGGGCCGTCTCTGTTGCCACCTGGGCCGTCTCTGTTGCCACCTGGGCCGTCTCTGTTGCCACCTGGGCCATCTCTGTTGCCACCTGGGCCATCTCTGCTGCCCGCGCTCGTCGTCCCGGCACGCGGCACCTGGGCCGTCCACTGACTGTTCTCGGGGGGGCTTGGTGGATGTGGTAGGGGCTGCCGGAGTTTGCACCGGGGAGGCCTCCACGCCGTCTGTGCTGTTCCCTCTCGAGGCTGCAGACGGGCTGGTCCGTGCACACCTACCAGACGGAGAAGCAGAGGAGGAAGCAGCACCTCAGCCCGGCGGAGGTGGAGGCCATCCTGCAGGTCATCCAGAGGGCAGAGCGGCTCGACGTCCTGGAGCAGCAGAGAATCGGGTGAGGCGGGGCCGGGGCCAGCTCAGTGGGAGGACAGCAAGGGCTTTGGCGCAAGCGCAGGGGACTGGGAGGCCGGCACTCCGGGTCCTGGTTTTGCTATTTACCTCTGGGAGTGGGTGAGGAGGTCCCTGACTCCAGCCCTTGCTGAAGGGTGCTCTGTCTGAACTCTGGGAGTGTAACCCAGCCCGCTGAGGCCTCAGGACACCCCTCTGTGAGACGGGGCTGCTAGCTGAGCTGTGCGCCCCATGCTGAGGGCGTGAATGAGCCTGGTGAAGCCTCCCAGGAGCTGTTCGGCTGTGCACACCTGCAGGTCAGCTGTGGTTCAGCCAAGGGAGGGGTTCAGGTGGAGGCCAAGCCACAGGTCGCCCCTGAAAGGCTCCAGCAGGAGCCGCTCCCCGCCTGGCTCTACGTGCCTCTCCTGGCCTCCGCCTCCAGCGCCGACCACAGCTCAGTCTTCCAGCACTTCCATCGTGTCCAGTGTTTAATTACGAAAGCAATTCATATTTCCTAGAAAATCTGAAAAACACAGAAAAGCACAAGTAGGAAGACACAAATGCACTGGGCAGGAATTGATTTCATTCTGGCCTCCTATGTATCTTTGATCTTTCTTTTCCTTTTCTTTTTTTTTTGGGGGGGACAGGGTCTCACTCTGCAGTGTAGATTAGAATGCAGTGGTGCTATCACAGATCACTGCAGCCTCAACTTCCTGGGCTCAAGCGACCTCCCCACCTCAGCCTTAAGTAGCTAGGACCGTGCGTGGGCACCACCACACCCAGCTATTTTTTATTTTATTTTTTTTGTAGAGATGGGGTCTCACTATGTTACCCAGGCTGCTCTCGAACTTCTGGGCTCAAGCGATCCGCCTGCCTCAGCCTCACAAAGGGCTGGGATGTCAGGCATGAGCCACCCTGCCCGGCCTTATCTTTACAGTGGGAAAGACAGGCCAGATGGCATGGCTCATTCTTCAGCTGTGAGTCCACAGAGCCTTCGCTGGTCCCATGGAACATGCCCCTGTCCCTCAATGTCCCTCCCCCTCCCTCCCCTCAATGTCCCTCCCCCTCCCTCCCCTCAATGTCCCTCCCCCTCCCTCCCCTCAATGTCCCTCCCCCTCTCTCCCCTCAATGTCCCTCCCCCTCCCTCCCCTCAATGTCCCTCCCCCTCCCTCCCCTCAGTCTCCCTCCCCCTCCCTCCCCTCAGTCTCCCTCCCCCTCCCTCCCCTCAGTCTCCCTCCCCCTCCCTCCCCTCAGTCTCCCTCCCCCTCCCTCCCCTCAGTCTCCCTCCCCCTCCATCCCCTCAGTCTCCCTCCCCCTCCCTCTCCTCAGTCTCCCTCCCCCTCCCTCCCCTCAATCTCCCTCCCCCCCCTCCCCTCAGTCTCCCTCCCCCTCCCTCCCCTCAATCTCCCTCCCCCCCCTCCCCTCAGTCTCCCTCCCCCTCCCTCCCCTCAATCTCCCTCCCCCTCCCTCCCCCTCCCTCCCCCCACTATTTCCATTTCATAGCGCTGCTCTCTATCTGAAACCAGTTTGCTTGTTTTCTTGCTTATGAATTTTCTTCCTTATTGAAGGTAAGTTCCATGAGAACAGGGACCATGTCTGTCTCTGGCTTGTTTGCTACAGTATTCCCAGTGTCTGATGAATCATAGGTGCTCACTGAATAGTTGGTGAGTGAATGAAGGATTCGCTGTTATCCAGGGGAAGGGCGGGGCAAGGAACAATATCCCAGGTGAGGGGACAGCACATGTGGCATGGTACGGTTTCGGGCCTCGGTGCAACTGTGCCCAGGCAGGAAGCACAGTCCCTCTGACTCTGTGTCCTGTGCTGCAGGCGGCTGGTGGAGCGGCTGGAGACCATGAGGCGGAATGTGATGGGGAACGGCCTGTCCCAGTGTCTGCTCTGCGGGGAGGTGCTGGGCTTCCTGGGCAGCTCGTCGGTGTTCTGCAAAGACTGCAGGAAGGTAAGACCCTGCTCTGGCCCTGTCATTCTGGCTTCCCAGCCTGGACCAGCCCCGCTGCGCTGTGGCTTTGCATCCTGGCTCCCAGGAGTGTGTATGTCTGCGTTGGGCATGTGGTATCCTCTGCATCTTGGCAAGAAGCACTAAGACTTAAAAACCAAATGGACTGATGTCTAGGGCCAGCTCTGCGTCTCAGCTTGGAGGCATCTTCTAGCCCTTCTGGTAGATTCACACCCGAGCCACGAGACCCAGAGCTGGTGTTAGAAGTCAGGCTGTGAATCTAGCTCTTCTGCTATGACCTCAGAAAACTTGTTTAATATCTCACACCTGATGTTCCTTGTCTGTAATATGTGGTCGTGATACCATGTACCTCACCATGCTATGAGGATTAAATATTCTTCAACGCAAAACTCTTAAAACCTTGCCTGGTACATAGGCACTCAATAAATGTTATCATCTCCAGAATATATGAAGGCAACAAGGAAAAAATGTTTTTAGTTGTTATTAGTTAAATCCTATCTTCCTGAAGTCCAAGCAGTATGCTGGGATTACACTTTCTGTTCCATTGGTCCTGCTTCTCTTGATCCCTGGTTACTCAAAGAAGAATGATCTTTGCAGGGAGATCAAATTGATTTTCTTCTTATACTAAATTGTGCCACATATTAAATTGTTTCGCATTGAGTCTAGGACTTTTTAAATATAGCTTTTAGTTTTTCTGGAGTTTCGACTTGCCTTTCGTTTTCTTATTTCTGGGAGAATAATATGCCTTCTAATCCTCAAGATAGTTAGCATCTTAATTATACTATCATATGGAGGCTATTTTTTTTTTCCTGGCATAAACCCTTCTAGATTCTTACTCCTGCTCCTCCTAGGCTGGTAGCTGCACAGCTATTATAACGGGATTTCCCTTTGCTGCCCTCCTAGGTGAGAAACACTGATCTCAAGACACCATGTCTTCCTCTTTTTTGTTTTCACCTTAGTTTTGCTGGAACCCATCCTCAAGTAACTTCCATGTGCTAGTCATGCTTTTTTCTCCCCCCAGAGACGGAGTCTTGCTCTGTCACCCAGGCTGGAGTGCAAATGGTGCAGTCTTGGCTCACTGCAACCTCTGCCTCCAGGTTCAAGTGATTCTCCTGCCTCAGCCTCCTGAGTAGCTGGGATTACAGGTGCATGCCACCACTGCCGGCTAATTTTTGAACTTTAGTAGAGACAGGGTTTCACCATGTTGGCCAGGCTGGTCTTGAACTCCTGACCTCAGGTGATCCGCCCGCCTCGGCCTCCCAAACTGCTGGGATTACAGGCGTGAGCCACCGTGCCTGGCTGCTAGTCATGGTTTTAAGACTCGAGTTATTATACTGAAGAAGACAGAGAAGGAATTTTCTTGAGATGATATTGGGCAAGGGAACTAAAAAACAAGTAATGATCAAATAAACAAGATGATGTCAGGAAATAATAAACCCTGGGAAGAAACAACAGAGGGTGGAGGGTGGAGGATGGAGGATGGGGTGGGGTGGGGTGGGGTGTGAACTGTTGAGAGAACCGGGAAAGATGGAGAAGTCAAAAGAAATAAATGTGGACGTGGAACATGCAGGCCACTGGCAAACTTGAGGGCATTTTCAGGGGCATTCAAAAGCTGGATGAGAAAACCAAAGGTACAGTGAAGTTAACCTGCCCAATTAGTAAGCAGGAAAGCCAGGACTTCAGCTACCTCATTTCTTTTCCTGCTTTTGTCATATGTGGTAAGGGAAAACTGGGCTGAGGAAGGTGGATTAACTGGCCCAAAAATACTGGAGGGGAGATGGGGGCCTGGGTGTTAGACTGTGCGGGCTCCTCCTTCAGCCTTGCCAAGGCCCTGGACTACAGGTCAGTGGAGGTGGGGGCACAGGGACTTCAGGTCAATGGAGGTGGGGGCACAGGGACTACAGGTCAATGGAGGTGTGGAGCACAGAAACTACAGGTCAATGGAGGTGGGGGCACATGGAATACAGGTCAATGGAGGTGTGGAGCACAGAGACTACAAGTCAATGGAGGTGGGTCCACAGGGACTACAGGTCAATGGAGGTGGGGGCACAGGGACTTCAGGTCAATGGAGGTGGGGCACATGGACTACACGTCAATGGAGGTGGGGCAGAGAGACTACAGGTCAATGGAGGTGGGGCACAGGGACTGCAGGTCAATGGAGGTGGAGCACAGGCACTGCAGGTCAATGGAGGTGGAGTACAGGGACTACAGGTCAATGGAGGTGGAGCACAGGGACTACAGGTCAATGGAGGTGGGGCACAGGGACTACACGTCAGTGGAGATGGAGTCACAGGGACTACAGATCACTGGAGGTGGAGCACAGAGACTACAGGTCAGTGGAGGTGGGGCACAGAGACTACAGGTCAATGGAGGTGGAGCACAGAGACTACAGGTCAATGGAGGTGGGGTCACAGGGACTACAGGTCAATGGAGGTGGGTGCAGAGAGACTACAGGTCAATGGAGGTGGAGCACAGAGACTACAGGTCAGTGGAGGTGGAGCACAGGGACTACAGGTCAATGGAGGTGGAGCACAGGGACTACACATCACTGGAGGTGGAGTCACAGGGACTACAGGTCAATGGAGGTGGGGGCACAGGGACTTCAGGTCAATGGAGGTGGGGCACATGGACTACAGGTCAATGGAGGTGGGGCACAGAGACTACAGGTCAATGGAGGTGGGGCACAGGGACTGCAGGTCAATGGAGGTGGAGCACAGGCACTGCAGGTCAATGGAGGTGGAGTACAGGGACTACAAGTCAATGGAGGTGGAGCACAGGAACTACAGGTCAATGGAGGTGGGGCACAGGGACTACACGTCAGTGGAGGTGGAGTCACAGGGACTACAGGTCACTGGAGGTGGAGCACAGAGAATACAGGTCAGTGGAGGTGGGGCACAGAGACTACAGGTCAGTGGAGGTGGAGCACAGAGACTACAGGTCAATGGAGGTGGGGTCACAGGGACTACAGGACAATGGAGGTGGGTGTAGAGAGACTACAGGTCAATGGAGGTGGAGCACAGAGACTACAGGTCAGTGGAGGTGGAGCACAGGGACTACAGGTCAATGGAGGTGGAGCACAGGGACTACGCACCACTGGAGATGGACTCACAGGGACTACAGGTCAATGGAGGTGGGGGCACAGGGACTACAGGTCAATGGAGGTGGGGCACAGGGACTACAGGTCAGTGGAGGTGGAGCACAGGGACTACAGGTCAATGGAGGTGGAGCACAGGGACTGCAGGTCAATGGAGGTGGGTGCAGAGAGACTACAGGTCAATGGAGGTGGAGCACAGGGACTACACATCACTGGAGGTGGAGTCACAGGGACTACAGGTCAATGGAGGTGGGGGCACAGGGACTACACATCAGTGGAGGTGGAGTCACAGGGACTACAGGTCAATGGAGGTGGGGGCACAGGGACTACAGGTCAATGGAGGTGGGGTCACAGGAGACTATAGGTCAATGCAGGTGGGAGCACAGGGACTACAGGTCAATAGAGGTGGGGACACAGGGACTACAGGTGAATGTAGGTGGAATCACAGGGACTACAGGTCAATGGAGGTGGGGTCACAGAGACTACAGGTCAATGGAGGTGGGGGCACAGGGACTACAGGTCAATGGAGGTGTGGCACAGGGATTTCAGGTCAGTGGAGGTGGAGTCACAGGGACTACAGGTCAGTGGAGGTGGGGTCACAGGGACTACAGGTCAGTGGAGGTGGGGTCACAGGGACTACAGGTTAATGGAGGTGGGGGCACAGGGACTACAGGTGAATGAAGGTGGGGATACAGGGACTACAGGTCAATGGAGGTGGGGCACAGGGACTACACGTCAGTGGAGGTGGAGTCACAGGGACTACAGGTCAGTGGAGGTGGAGCACAGGGACTACAGGTCAGTGGAGGTGGAGCACAGGGACTACAGGTGAATGGAGGTGGAGTCACAGGGACTACAGGTCAATGGAGGTGGGGGCTCAGGGACTGCAGGTCAGTGGAGGTGGAGCACAGGGACTACAGGTCAATGGAGGTGGAGCACAGAGACTGCAGGTCAATGGAGGTGGGTGCACAGTGACTACAGGTCAGTGGAGGTGGAGCACAGGGACTACAGGTCAGTGGAGTTGGGGCACAGGGACTACAGGTCAGTGGAGGTGGAGCACAGAGACATCAGGTCAGTGGAGGTGGGGCACAGGGACTACAGGTCAATGGAGGTGGAGCACAGAGACTACAGGTCAATGGAGGTGGGGTCACAGGGACTACAGGTCAGTGGAGGTGGAGCACAGGGACTACAGTTCAATGGAGGTGGAGCACAGGGACTACAGTTCAGTGGAGGTGGAACACAGGGACTACTGGTCAGTGGAGGAGGAGCACAGGGGCTACAGGTCAATGGAGGTGGGGTCACAGAGACTACAGGTCAATGCAGGTGGAGCATAGGGATTACACGTCAGTGGAGGTGGAGCACAGGGACTACAGGTCAATGGAGGTGGGGCACAGGGACTACACGTCAGTGGAAGTGGAGTCAGAAGGACTACAGGTCAGTGGAGGTGGGGCACAGGGAATACAGGTCAATGGAGGTGGAGTCACAGGGACTACAGGTCAATGGAGGTGGAAGCACAGAGACTACAGGTCAATGGAGGTGGAGCACAGGGACTACAGGTCAATAGAGGTGGGGTCACAGAGACTACAGGTCAATGCAGGTGGGAGCACAGAGACTACAGGTCAATAGAGGTGGGGACACAGGGACTACAGGTCAATGTAGGTGGAGTCACAGGGACTACAGGTCAATGGAGGTGGGGTCACAGAGACTACAGGTCAATGGAGGTGGGAGCACAGAGACTACAGGTCAATAGAGGTGGGGACACAGGGACTACAGGTCAATGGAGGTGGAGCACAGAGACTACAGGTAAAAGGAGGTGGAGTCACAGGGACTAGAGGTCAATGGAGGTGGGAGCAAAGAGACTACAGGTCAATGGAGGTGGGAGCACAGAGACTACAGGTCAATGGAGGTGGGGACACAGGGATTAGAGGTCAATGGAGGTGGAGTCACAGGGAGTACAGGTCAATGGAGGTGGAGCACAGGGACTACAGGTCAATGGAGGTGGGGCACAGGGACTACAGGTCAATGGAGGTGGGGTCACAGGGACTACAGGTCAATGGAGGTGGAGTCACAGGGACTAAAGGTCAATGGAGGTGGAAGCACAGAGACTACAGGTCAATGGAGGTGGGGGCACAGGGACTACAGGTCAGTGGAGGTGGATCACAGGGACTACAGGTCAATGGAGGTGGGGCACAGAGACTACAGGTCAATGGAGGTGGGGGCACAGGGACTGCAGGTTAGTGGAGGTGGAGCACAGGGACTACAGGTCAATGGAGGTGGAGCACAGGGACTACAGGTCAATGGAGGTGGAGCACAGAGGCTACAGGTCAGTGGAGGTGGAGCACAGGGACTACAGGTCAATGGAGGTGGAGCACAGGGACTACAGGTCAATGGAGGTGGGTCACAGAGACTACAGGTCAATGGAGGTGGGAGCACAGAGACTACAGGTCAGTAGAGGTGGGGACACAGAGACTACAGGTCAGTGGAGGTGGGGGCACAGGGACTACAGGTCAATCAAGGTGGGGTCACAGAGACTACAGGTCAATGGAGGTGGAGTACAGAGACCACAGGTCAGTGGAGGTGGAGCACAGAGACTACAGGTCAATGGAGGTGGAGTCACAGGGACTACAGGTCAATGGAGGTGGGGCACAGGGACTACAGTTCAATGGAGGTGGAGCACAGAGACTACAGGTCAATGGAGGTGGGGCACAGGGACTACTGGTCAATGGAGGTGGAGCACAGAGACTACAGGTCAATGGAGGTGGGGCACAGGGACTACTGGTCAATGGAGGTGGAGCACAGAGACTACAGGTCAATGGAGGTGGGGCACAGGGACTACAGGTCAATGGAGGTGGAGCACAGGGACTACAGGTCAATGGAGGTGGGGTCACAGAGACTACAGGTCAATGGAGGTGGAGCACAGAGACTACAGGTCAATGGAGGTGGAGCACAGAGACTACAGGTCAATGGACGTGGAGTACAGGGACTACAGGTCAATGGAGGTGGGGTCACAGGGACTACAGGTCAATGGAGGTGGGGTCACAGGGACTACAGGTCAATGGAGGTGGGGTCACAGAGACTACAGGTCAATGGAGGTGGAGCACAGGGACTACAGGTCAATGGAGGTGAAGTCACAGGGACTACAGGTCAATGGACGTGGAGTACAGAGACTGCAGGTCAATGGAGGTGGGGCACAGGGACTACAGGTCAGTGGAGGTGGAGCACAGAGACTACAGGTCAATGGAGGTGGAGCACAGAGACTACAGGTCAATGGAGGTGGGGCACAGAGACTACAGGTCAATGGAGGTGGGGCACAGGGACTACAGGTCAGTGGAGGTGGAGTCACAGAGACTACAGGTCAATGGAGGTGGAGTTACAGGGACTACAGGTCAAGGGAGGTGGGGCACAGGGACTACAGGTCAGTGGAGGTGGAGCACAGAGACTGCCTGTCAGTGGAGGTGGGGCACAGAGACTGCCTGTCAGTGGAGGTGGGGCACAGGGACTACAGGTCAATGGACGTGGAGTATAGGGACTACAGGTCAATGGAGGTGGGGGCATAGAGACTACAGGTCAATGGAGGTGGGGTACAGAGACTTGGGAATGGCCAACTTGCAGGACTCGGGCAGTGACTCCTGCCTGGGAGAACGGGAGCTGGCAGTGTGCTTCCTCCTCCTGTCTCTCAACCCCACAGCTGCTGTGAATATTCCAGGTATAGGGGCCTGTGGAGAGGCACAGAGCCTGGCCTGTGGTAAATATTCCAGCTATAGGGGACCATGAAGAGGCACAGAGCCTGGCCCACTTCCCCTGGGACAGTCCAGGGCCTGTGCTGCAGAGGCCGCTGCTGGTGTGGCTGTGCAACGGTTAGTACAGGTGCTCCTTGGAGCCATGTCTTAGGCAACAGTGGCTGTCCTGGGGAAGGACCTCAGCTGGATGTGGGTCCCCACGCTACTCTGGAGCTGTGGGCTGGTCCGGGCGTTTCTGTTGCAGATGGTTCTTGGTGTTGAGCAGACTGAGGACTCAGTCCTGGCTTGGGTGATGAGGCCGGGGAATCTTTGAGCTTCTGAGGCTTCTGAGGGGCTTGTTCCAGGATTGAGGTGGGAGGGGAGTGTATTAGGGGAGCACAGCTGGATGGTGGGCATTTGGGGGCTTTGGAGGGTTCACTCTTCCTTCTTGGAGAAGGTGGTGTCATTCGTTCATTCATCTTCATTCATTCTGTAAATAATAGCCCATTGTGTGCAAGCCGTGTTCTGGGTCCTGCCGACGCCGTGAACGAGATGGACACAGTCCACCCTGTTGTGGAGATGACTTTCCAGGGTCAGGGCATAGAGAAGACAAATGAATAAACATGAAGCAAGACTAGGTACACCGAGGACTCTGTTGAATTAACGCAGAGCACCTAGGGAGAGGCTTAGGGGGCCTCTCTGAGCTCAGGCCCAAACACAAGCAACAGCTGGCCCTGGGAAGATCTGGGTGGAACAGTGTTCCCGGCAGAGGGAACGGCAAGCTTCCCCTGGAACAGTCCTGAAGGCCCTGAGGCAGGAACGAGCTGGGCATGTTCAAGGGGCACATGGTGGCATCTGGGGCAGAGAGTGAGCGGCCGGATGGCCCATCACACAGCCTCGCCAGTCAAGGTCAGGAGCTGAGATTTCACTTAAGTTTAATGAGATGCCAGTGGAGTGTTTTGAGCAGGGGTGTGATCTGATCTGTGTTTTTAAGAGACGACCCTAGTGCTGGAGACAGGTGGTGATGGCCGTCACTGGGAGATGATAGGGATGGAGACAGGCAACGTAGGGACTGAGGCCATTTGCTGAGACAGAGCGTCAGCCTCTTCAGTGTATTCTAAGCAGATGGAGAGGAATTAGAGGGGGTGAAGGAGGGTTCTAGGAAGGAAAGAGCTCTCGACTTCAGGGGGCTGGAATGAGAGGTCGCTTGGTCCACCCTGAGCAGCAAGAGGGCAGCCGGTTCTCCTGGACTTGCCAGTGAGGACTGTCCCCACGCAGATGCCACGCAGTGCTGGGGGCTCCTGCCCAGATGGGAGGGACTCATCTGTACTTTCAGGAGTGCCTCCGTGTTCCTGCAAGCACCTGGCACGGCTAGCTTCCCTCCTCCCTGGCTGCAGGATTGTGAGGTGGTTGTGCACGGAGCTGCAGGACCAGACAGACTTGGGTTGAGGTCCCAGCTTGGCCACGGTGGCGCGGTCTCGTACAAGTCACTTAACCTCTCTGGGCCTCTGTTCTTTCATCTGTAAAATGGGGTCATTAAGCTTCTGTCATCGTTGATGGATGCAATAGTGCAGGAGAAGCCCTTAGCAGACTGCCTGGCCCATTGGCAGCGTGCAGTAAAGGATGCCTGTGATTGTTATGAAACCTCTTCAGGGTCCTGCCTGCTGAGGCCACACACGTGTTACCAACGATGGAGCAGATCCCCAGACATTTCAGAAGAGGCTGAGTGACTCCCCGTGTCATAGTCAGCTCAGATCGCCCTAATAAAGTGCCACAGACTGGGCACCTTCAGCCGTAGATATTTATTTTTCAGTTTGGAGGCACGAAATTCTGAGATCAAGGTGCTGGCTGATTCTGTGTCTGGTGAGGGCCCTGTTCATGGCTTGCAGACAGCTGCCTTCTCCGTGTGTCCTCGTGTGGCAGGAGGAGAGGGCTCTAGTCTCTCCTCCTCCTCTTGCTTTTCTGTGTTTTGACAGGGTCTCACTCTGTCACCCAGGCTGGAGTGCAGTGGCATGATCATTGTTCACTGCAGCCTTCAACTGCTGGGGTCCTGCAATCTTCCCACCCCAGCTTCCCGGGCAGCTGAGACTACAGATGTGTGCCACCACGCCTGTCTAATTTTTAATTTTTTGTAGAGACAGGGTATCGCTTTGTTGCCCGGGCTGGTCTCTAACTAGCCCTCAAGCAATCCTCCCACCTCCGCTTCCCAAAGCACTGGGATTACAGACGTGAGCCACAGCACCCGGCCTCTCCCTTTTCTTATAAAGACACTAGTCCTATCGGATTAGGGCCTCACCCTTGCACCCTCATTTTACCTTAATTACCTCCTAAAGACCTTCTCTCCAAATACAGTCACTCTGGGGGTCAGGGCTTCAACATAGGAATTTTGAAGGGACACAGTTCAGTCCATAGCACCCACATTCTCCTCGTTGGAATTCTTGTTTTCTTAAAATTGGAGCTCCCACAGCTAGTCCCATATTTTCTGTAATTTACATAAAAGCCTCTGGAAGCCTTTGTAGCTCTCCAGCACTGGATGTCCTGAGCCGGCAGGGAAACGCCTCAGTCTTTGTGCTCGTATAAATGTCTCGTTATAATTGTCTCGTTACTCGTATAAATGTCTTTCTTGATCGCTTCGCCCATTGTGAGCCAATCCTGGGTTGGGGGGATCCAAAAAGAGAGGTTTTCAGAATAATCGCTTCCCTCACGTCCTGACCGTCAAGATGGGCAGACAGTATTCTCTAGTGTGAAGTGCACTGTGGTTGGGACTGGGGTTCCCAGGACTCAGAGCAGCCAGGAGGGCTGCCTGGAGGAGTGGGCCCCTGGAGGCTGGGCAGGTTTCTGAAAGGCTGAGGGCAGAGGGAAGGGCATCCGGGGAGGGGAAGACCACACAGGCTGAGGCCGGAAGCTGGAAACGGGCTGGGCAAGTGCTCAACTGTGAGGATGATGCCTGGGGAGCACAGAGGCGTGTGCTGAAGGAAAAAGGAACACAGGATGCAATGGCAGATTCGACTTAGGAACAGTGGACCGAGGAGGAGGGACGGGGCATGCTCCAGCTGCCTCCAAGGCTGAGATCCTGGGGACCTGAAAACAGAGGGCAGAGCTGAGATCTTTGGGACGCTGAGCTGTAGGGGACTTGTAAGAGGGTGGAGTCTTTCAGGGGACGAGCTGCATTTGAGCAGTGAATGGGCAGGTGTAGAGGAGTCTTTCAGGGGACGAGCTGCATTTGAGCAGTGAATGGGCAGGTGCAGGGGAGTCTTTCGGGAGATGAACTGCGTTTGAGCAGTGAATGGGCAGGTGTGGAGGGCCTGGGACTCCAGGGAGATGATCGCAGAGGCACTGCCCCCCTGGGGGCCCTGCTGTAGGGGGTGGTGGCCTAGAACCCGAGTCGCTGGAGAATCAGGGAGGCCCAGACATAGCCCCTGCGAAGCCCTTGCCCCTGCAGGGCTCTCTCGTGTCTGGGAGGAGAGACGATGCCATCCCTTCCTTATCCCACAAATATTTATCGCACACCGACTGGTGTCAGGAGCCATGCGGATCCCAGTGCTCCGGAGGGAGGCG
This sequence comes from Homo sapiens, assembly GCF_000001405.40. Classification (NCBI taxonomy): domain Eukaryota; kingdom Metazoa; phylum Chordata; class Mammalia; order Primates; family Hominidae; genus Homo; species Homo sapiens. The sequence continues at coordinate 280,349 of NW_003315952.3, read as the reverse complement.
TGAAACCATTAAGGGTAATTAATTACAGCTGGGAATGGGGTTAAGGCGGCAGCCCTGGGGGGCTGGAAGGGCTCTAACACGGTGTGAGGAATCGGGCCCTCCACTCTGGGACTGCCGGTTTCTGGGCCACCTCCCTGTTTATCTCCATCTCCACATTCCGCCTCCTCACCTTCTGCGGATGGCTGCAGCCTGGGGCCCTGGGAGGTGTGTGGGCTTGGGCAGGCTGGAGAAGGGATGCTGGGGAGATCCCTGCCGTGGGAAGCATCCAGGCCCAGGCATGGTTGGGGAGGACAGAGCCTCAGGTGCTCCTGGGCACACACACGCGCCCCCAGCAGGAGCCCTGGCAGCGTTCAGCAGCTACAAGCTAATGAGCTTGTGGGTGGAAGCCGAGATGCCGGTCCTCGGAGCTGCGTCCCCTCCGTAATTGGGCCTGCATGCCTCGACTGCCTGCCCTCATTATCTGAGGGCCTTGGTGGGAAGGGAGAGGGGCTGGCTGGTTAATTAGAGAGGACTGGTGCTCCTAATTGCTTGGGATCTGAGTCAGCCAGCTTTGAGTCTCACTGAGAGTCCAGCTAGCCATGGGGAGGCTGGGCAGGGCCACAGCAGAGCCCGCCTGAGCCTGGGATGCATTGTCACCATTTGAGGGAAGCAGTCGTTTTTTTTTTCTGGTCTCAGCCAAAGGTGTCCCACAGTGTGGGTGCAGGGGAGCCTGCCTATGAAACGATGACCTGAGTCTTCATGAAGGAAGACTGGGCAGTCTTATATTTTGCCCACGTCCCTTAGAGGAGGTCCAGCTCAGGCTGGGGGCAGGTATTACCCAGCCCAGCATGGAGGGAAGGGGCTGGGTCAGAACCTGACCTTTCCCCTAACCTGGCTTGAGCCCACTTTGCACCGAGGAGGGGATGTGTCCTGCTGAGAGTCATCCCGGACCCCTGGCAGGGGGGCTGGCAGGAGCCTGGGGCAGGGCAGGGGACATGCCGTATCCTGGACCCCCAGCAGGAGGCTGGCAGGAGCCTGGGGCAGGGCAGGGGACGTGCCATATCCCAGACCCCCAGCAGGGGGCTGGCAGGAGCCCTGGACGGGGGACGTGCCATATCCTGGACCCCCAGCAGGAGGCTGGCAGGAGCCTGGGGCAGGGCAGGGGACGTGCCATATCCCGGACCCCCAGCAGGGGGGCTGGCAGGAGCCCTGGGCAGGGCGGGGGACATGCCATATCCCGGACCCCCAGCAGGGGGGCTGGCAGGAGCCCTGGACAAGGGACGTGCCGTATCCCGGACCCCCAGCAGGGGGCTGGCAGGAGCCCTGGGCAGGGCGGGGTACATGCCATTTTCCTAAGGCTTCAGCTTCCCTCTCTGTTTGGTATCTGGGACTCGAGGCCAGGAAGCCATGGACAGAGCAGGAGGAGTGCTCCTTTTTTAAGAGACAAGGTCTAGCTCTGCCGCCCAGGCTGGAGTGCAGTGGCAAACAGGGCTCACTGCAGCCTCAAACTCCTGGGCTCAATCGATCCTCCCACCTCGGCCTCCCTAGGAGCTAGGACCACAGTCATGCACCACCTCGCCTGGAAAATTTTTTATTTTTTGTAGAGACAGGGTCTGCTATGTTGCCCAGGCTGGTCTCAAACTCCTGGCTCAAATGATCCTCCTGCCTCGGCCTCTCAAAGTGCTGGGATTACAGGCTTGAGCCACCACAGCCAGCCTCCATCACTGCTTTATTCCCAGCAGCCAGTCCTCCAGTCTTAGAGATGGTGGCGATTTGTGACCTGCCTGCAGCAGCTGCCTAGAGAGAGTCTGCTAACCTCTGAGAAGTATTCTCCTTCTGCCTTGGGAAGCTGTGGGGGTCCTGGCCCCATCCAGTTTACAGAGAGCTGCTCCTGGAGGTGGAGGCATTAGGGCTAGGAGAGAATTCAGGTGCTGATGGGGTCTCTGCTACTCAAAGTGTGGGCCGAGGACCTCACCTGGATGTTCATTAGAAATGCAGAATCTCAGGCCCCCACAGACCTCCCAAACTAGAAGCTGCAGTTTAACCAGGTGCCCTTTGCATAATGCTTTCAAGGTTCATCCATGATGTAGCATGTGTAGGAATTTCCATCCTTTTTAAGGCGAGGAAAATTTCACTGTATGTGCATACCCCACTTTGTGTATCCACTCACCTGTGATGGACATTTGGGTTGCTTCCATGTTGCAGCTATTGTGAACAATGCTGCAGTGGGCACGAGCGTGCAAACCTCTCTGCAACCCTGCCTTCGATTCTCTTGGGTCTATACCCAGCAGTGGAATTGCTGAATCATACGGCAGTTCTGTGTTTACCTGTTTGAGGAGCCTCCACCCTGCTTTCCGTGGCAGCTGCACCATTTCACATCCCCACAAGCATAAGGCTTAGGAGAAGTCAGTTTTTTGCAGAGCCTCCCTCCCAAATGGGTGTGCGGTGAAAGTCCTCCACGGCCCTGTCCCCTACTCCCTTTCCAAAGCTAATCCTCAGTGCCCGTCCATTGCTGGAGCTGTAGAAGCAGCAGCCTCCTTGAGCCATTTCATCTCAGTCGCCTGCAAATTGGCCTCACAATGTCCTTTCTCCTCTTGACCTAATTCAGACGTGGAAGACGAGTGTTTGCCCCTCATTACAAAGATGGATTTTTTCATTCAGCGACTGAAGCTTCCTAAATTCCCGGAAAAAGTCACTTAATTCTTCTGCCCCGAGGGGCCTGCTTCGGCTCTCTTGCATCTCCAAGGCTGTCTGGCAGGAATGGACTTGGCTGCAGTTGCTGGGATCGGAGGATTGGACCAGACACCGCACGGCATCTTGGAACATCTGCCTTGCTCAGAGTCTGGCAAGCGGAACATCTCCATTGAGGCCTCCTTTTCTCTTGCTGTCTTGAGGCCTGCGTGTGGCTTTTCTTCTTCCAAAGAAAGAAGGAGCAGCTATCTTGTGCGGTGCTGAGCCCCTTCCGTTCACCCCAGCACACTGCTGACCTTCAGCTCAGGGTCATCAGCACAAAGGCAGCCAATCGGCTGCAGAGACCCAGGGTGGGCTTGGGGAACCACACGGATCCCTGGCAAGGCCCAGAGCTTTCTGGACGGAGCTTTGCATGACCTGTCCCCTGGTCAGTTCCTGTGTGCACTCAGCTCACCTTCGTGCCAGGCCCCGGGGCTGAGGAGGTAGAGATGCCAGCCCCTGCCCTCCAGGAGCTCATAGTTGGTGTCAGCTATTGCAGTGCAGTGTGAGGAGTGCTGTAGAAGTAGAAGGCAGGGATGAGCGTGGGGCAGACCTGCTGTGGGGAGGACCTGCCGTGGGGAGGATCTGCCGTGGGGAGGACCTGCCGCGGGATGGACCTGCCGTGGGATGGACCTGCCGTAGGATGGACCTGCCGCGGGGAGGACCTGCCGTGGGGAGGACCTGCCGTGGGATGGACCTGCCGCGGGATGGACCTGCCGTGGGATGGACCTGCCGTGGGGAGGACCTGCCGCGGGGAGGATCTGCCGTGGGATGGGCCTGCCATGGGGAGGACCTGCCATGGGGAGGATCTGCTGTGGGACAGGCCTGCCATGGGATGGGCCTGCCGTGGGGAGGACCTGCCATGGGTGAGCTGCGGCACCTGGGGAGGTGGGGGAGGCCCCCGGGCTGCAGAGTGGAGCAGATGTGGCAGCCGGGCCTGGAGGGTGGGTGACCAGGTGCCAGGAGAGGGCACTTCAGGAGCAGGCACAGCTCGGCAGAGGCAGTGTGCCCAGGAAGTGTGGGGGCATCGGGCGCAGCTGGGAGTCTGGTTATGCTGGGGCATGAGAAGGAGAGGAAGAGAGGAAAAGGGAAGAAGAGGAGGTCAGAGGGGGGAGGAAAAGAGGCCCTGAGGGGTAAGAAGCAGGTGGGGAGGGAGGGAAGGAGAGAGACGTGAGGATCGGGAGGACTCTGTGTGCCGGGCGCAGGGGCTGGGCTTGTGTCCTGTAGGCAGCAGAGCCATCCAAGGGACTAAGCAGGGAAACGACAGTCTCATGGGCCCGTGGGGAGGTTAAGTCCAGATGCAGAGGATTCGTGGATACTAATTATCCAATTCGCCATAATGAAGGCCTGAATTAAGGCAGGAGCAGCCAAGATGGAGACTCTGAAGACAGGAGTTAGCCACGATAAAGCTGCCAGCGGTGGAGAGCTCACTCTAGGGGTACCAAGCACCCAGCTGATTAGCAAAACCACCTGGGAGGTCACGGTCTCCTCGTTGCAGGTGAAGAAACGGAGGCGAGGTGGAGGTTAGTCCCTTGCCAGGTCACACGGCGGGCCAGTGCTGGGTCTGATGGCCTTACCGGCTGGGTCTGATGGCCTTACCGGCCAGGCTGCGCACGTGCGTGGGGCCTGCGTGGAGGGCTGGTCTGGGGTGGGAGCAGATGTGGGGAAGGGGCTCGTGGGGCATGTTGGCGGTGGAGCTGGGGTTCCAGGGGGGCTGGGTATGTGTTCCAGGTAGTCCAGGCTGGATCCCAGGCTGTGGGTCAGAAAGGGGCTGGGGAAGTCGGGCGCAGTGGCTCACACCTGTAATCCTAGCACTTTGGGAGGCCAAGGTGAGAAGATTGCTTGAGACCAGGAGTCTGAGACCAGCCTGGGTAATGTAGTGAGACCTCATCTCTACTGAAAAAAAAAAAAAAAATAGCTGGGCATGGTGGTGCCCAGTTACGTTTCCAACTACTTGGGAGGCTGAGGCTGAGGATTGCTTGAGCCTGGAAGGCTTGAGCCCCAGAGGCGGAGGCTGCAGTGAGTCAAGATTGTGCCACTGAACTCCAGCCTGGGTGACCTGTTTCAAAAAAAAGAAAGGAGGGAGGGAGGGAGGGAAGGAAGAAAGGGGCTGGGGAGGGAGGCTGGCAGCTCAGAGGCGGATGTCATGGGGCGATGTGAGTGATGTGAGGGATGACTGAGTGATGTGAGTAACCTGGGAGAGAATGTGGGCCCAGGTTGAGGAGAGGAGCCCACCGGGTGTGGGCGTGGTGGGAGAGTGGCCGGGAAGCTGTCTTCTTCCCTCGAACCTGCCTGAATGTCTGTGTGGAGACATTCCTGTGACCTAGTATCTCCACTCGGGTGTCCTGCTCTTGAGATGTTGGGGCTGGGACCACCGCTGGGCACCTGCCGTGTGTGTGGTCAGGTCACCCGATGTGGGAGGAATCCAGTGGAGAAGGAACCGACCTGTAACCTTGTGAAGCTGCCTGGTGGGACGTCAGGGGCTAGGAGGTTGGTGTGAGCTGGGCCTCCAGGGTGGAGTAGCCCTTCCCTACCCAGCCCCCGCAGCTGCCAGGCAGGCACCACCCCACCCTCCCGGATTGTCCCTGTGGGGCCTCCGCAGTGTGGCAGGTGCAGGCTGAGGGCTGTTACGCTCCATCTCGACGTTGCCTCAGCTTGGCTTTGACCCTGAGTCCCAACTCGGCCGGTGCCTGGACACGAGGTTGTACCTCTGGCTGTTTCCAGAACGGATGACTCCTGCCACCTCCTGGGCTGTGCGCCTGGTGGTGCAGACGCCCCGGAGCCCACCCTAAGCACCCTGATGACCCTGTCCCCCTCTCGCCCTGTCCCCCTCTCGCCCTGTCCCCCTCCCGCCCTGTCCCCCTCCCGCCCTGTCCCCCTCCCGCCCTGTCCCCCTCCCGCCCTGTCCCCTCTCGCCCTGTCCCCCTCCCGCCCTGTCCCCCTCTCGCCCTGTCCCCCTCCCGCCCTGTCCCCCTCCCGCCCTGTCCCCTCTCGCCCTGTCCCCCTCTCGCCCTGTCCCCCTCCCGCCCTGTCCCCCTCCCGCCCTGTCCCCTCTCGCCCTGTCCCCCTCCCGCCCTGTCCCCTCCCGCCCTGTCCCCTCTCGCCCTGTCCCCCTCTCGCCCTGTCCCCCTCCCGCCCTGTCCCCCTCCCGCCCTGTCCCCTCTCGCCCTGTCCCCCTCTCGCCCTGTCCCCCTCCCGCCCTGTCCCCCTCCCGCCCTGTCCCCTCTCGCCCTGTCCCCCTCCCGCCCTGTCCCCCTCCCGCCCTGTCCCCCTCCCGCCCTGTCCCCTCTCGCCCTGTCCCCCTCTCGCCCTGTCCCCCTCCCGCCCTGTCCCCCTCCCGCCCTGTCCCCCTCTCGCCCTGTCCCCCTCCCGCCCTGTGCCTCTCTTACACTCTGGCCCTAGGAGCTCGTGGCACTGGACCGGGGGCTGGCCCCTATTTCTGTACCACTTGGTACAGAAACAGGTTTTAAATCATTTAAAAATGGTTTAAAAATGGTTTTATGTTTGTAAATGGCTCCGTGGGGCAGGGCGGGAGGGAACAAAAGAAGAAGAGTGTCACGTGGCATGAAAATTCAGTGAATGTGAATCTCGGCGTCCCTCAAGGTTTGCAGGAGTCCAGCCAGGCTCATTGGTTCTCCTGTGGCCTCCGGCCGGTTCGGGCCTGCCCTGGCCGGGTGGAATCGTCGTGACAGCCTAAAATCCCAGGCACCAGCTGCTCAGAGTGAGAAGGGGCCTGACTTCCTTCCCCTCTGGTTATGTTGTTGGTGGGGGTGGCCTGGGGTACCAGCCTCAGTGCCTCAGTTGTTTGAGCCTCAGCAGATTACAGACTTTAATGAGTTAGCTTCTCTTGGTCTTACTAGTTTCCTCTTGACGGAATTTTAAAAAGTAACTTACAGGACTGTGCAGAGGTTTAGAACGCTGGATTCTGCCTCCCTGCGTCCTCCCGGCCTGGGCTCATTCCCTCACCTCTGTCTGCTTCAGGTCTCTCACCTGGAAGTCGGGAATAATAATACCTATCTCGGGGGCGGTTGCAAGGATTGCAATGAGGAAAGTATGTGATAAACTCTTAAAACGGTGCCTGAGACACGGTCACTGCTCAATAATTATTAAAACCTCAGTACAGCCTCCCTCCCTCCCCATCTCTTTCCTGAGACACGGTCACTGCTCAATAATTATTAAAACCTCAGTACAGCCTCCCTCCCTCCCCATCTCTTTCCTGAGACACGGTCACTGCCCAATAATTATTAAAACCTCAGTACAGCCTCCCTCCCTCCCCATCTCTTTCCTGAGACACGGTCACTGCTCAATAATTATTAAAACCTCAGTACAGCCTCCCTCCCTCCCCATCTCTTTCCTGAGACACGGTCACTGCTCAATAATTATTAAAACCTCAGTACAGCCTCCCTCCCTCCCCATCTCTTTCCTGAGACACGGTCACTGCTCAATAATTATTAAAACCTCAGTACAGCCTCCCTCCCTCCCCATCTCTTTCCTGAGACACGGTCACTGCTCAATAATTATTAAAACCTCAGTACAGCCTCCCTCCCTCCCCATCTCTTTCCTGAGACACGGTCACTGCTCAATAATTATTAAAACCTCAGTACAGCCTCCCTCCCTGCCCCACTCTTTCCTGAGACACGGTCACTGCTCAATAATTATTAAAACCTCAGTACAGCCTCCCTCCCTCCCCACCTCTTTCCTGAGACACGGTCACTGCTCAATAATTATTAAAACCTCAGTACAGCCTCCCTCCCTCCCCATCTCTTTCCTGAAACACGGTCACTGCTCAATAATTATTAAAACCTCAGTACAGCCTCCCTCCCTCCCCATCTCTTTCCTGAGACACGGTCACTGCTCAATAATTATTAAAACCTCAGTACAGCCTTCCTCCCTGCCCCCCAACCTCTTTCTTATAACTGCTGGGTGATCTAATTCATTGCAAAGTTGTTAAATCTTTTTTTTTTTCGTGATTGTTTTTTTGAGACAGGGTCTCGCTGTGCTGCCCCGGCTGGAGTGCAGCGGTGTGATCTTAGCTCACGGCAGCCTCACCCCTCTGGGCTCCAGTGATCCTCCCACCTCAGCCTCCCGGGCAGCTGGGACTACAGGTGTGCGCCACCACTCCTGGCTAATTTCTCATTTTTTGTGGAGACTGGGCCTTGTTATGTTGCCCAGGCTGCCTCAGACTCCTCAGGCGATCCACCTGCTCAGCCTCTGAAACTGCTGGGATGCAGGCATGAGCCGCCAACCTTAACGATACAGTTACGTTGTTAGTTCTTAACTTTGTAAACCTCAGACTTTATCTCCACCTCGAACCTTATAGAGAACTGCCAAGTTTATTGTCTGACTTGGATGCCTCATAGACATGACATATCAAGGATATTCCAACCCTAAAAAATAAGTCAAACACCAGAGGTGTGTGTGAAATGCGAAGCTCCCGCCCCTGACCTTCGGGGTCTGGGTGTTTGTCCTTCTCCCACCTTCTCTGTCTCTTCGCACTCACACAAATGTTCGCAGGGTGGATGCCTATGTACACTCCTTTTTTCATCTTCTTTTTCCACTTAATAAGATATCAAAAACATCGTCCCATGACTATACATGTAAATCGAATTCCAGTTTTAGGAGCTGTGTTGTATTCGGGGCTTTTTCACCCTTCCCTGTAGCTCCCCTTTTCCAGGCGGCTCACACACCTGCTGGGCAGGCCTGGGGTGAGTGTGGGTGGCAGCCGGGAGGGCCGGGCCTGGATCCACCCTCCCTCGACGGCGGGCGCCTCCCATCCTGTTTCCCGTTGAGCTTAGCCTCGTCCTGGGGTCCGAATCTCTCCTGGGGACACGGCCCTCTCTGCAGTGTGGCTCCGATGGCTTCCTCTCTCCTCCCCCCACCGCACACAGACACACCTGCCCACGTCTGAAATCCAGCTGAAGGCGTGGCTCAAGTTCATTCCCTGCAACGGCTCCTTGGACCTTGTGTAAATCGAAGGACGGACGTAGTGGGTGGGGCGGGGTGACTCCGTGGACCTGCCTGGCCTGCTACACCTGCGAGAGTCGGGAGACAGCTGTGCTCAGAACCTCCTGCGTGACCTCAGATGAAAATCTGTTTCCCTCTCTGGCCTTCCAGTGACAGGCAAAGGCTGGACGAGAGACTCTCTCGGGCCTGCCTGCGGTTTCCTCCCAGGCAGCTCGGGCTCAGTCCAGGCCTTGCAGCCTCGCAGTCCGCAGATGCCGCAGTGGCAGCAGCTGGGCTGGGAGCCGAAGCTCTCGCCTCTGTGCCTCTGGGACACAGCTCGATTGTGGTTATTTTAAAGCTGTGGCAGGTTTGCCGCCCAGTTCGCTTTGGCTCAGGCCGTAGTGAGTCTGTGCCCTCTGAGCGGGAGGAAGTCAGGGTGGGGGTGCTTCTGAGAGCCGCTGTGCCTGACATTTCCATGATGTCATGTGTCCCTCATGGCCCCCAGGAGATGGGCAGGCAAAAGGCAAGGCAGTGTTCATACTCGTTTTCCAGATGGAGACACTGACGCTCAGAGGGATGACTCCCTCTCGATGACACAGCCAGTGCCTTGCAATGACTCCTACGGCTCGGGTCAGAACTTTGCCTACAGGCCAGGCGTGGTCACAGCTCGGCTCAGGACTTTGCCTACAGGCCGGGCGCGGTGGGTCACACCTGTAATTCCAGGACTTTGGGAGGCCGAGGTAGGAGGATCACTGGAAGCCAGGAGTTTGAGACCAGCCCAGGCAATAAAGCGAGACCCTGTTTTAATAAAAAATGAAAAAAATTAGGTGGGCCTGGTGGTGCCCCTGCAGTCCCAGCTACTTGGGAGGCAAAGGCAGGAGGATCCCTTGAGCCCAGGAGTTTGAGACCAGCCCGGGCAACAAGGCAAAACCCCCTCTCTACAAAAAAATACAAAAATTAGCCAGGCACGGTGGTGCGCACCCATAATCTCAACTACTGGGGAGGCTGAGGTGGGGAGGATTGCTTAAGCCTGGGAGGTTAAAGCTACAGTGAGCCGTGCTCCCGCCACTGCACTCTAGCCTGGGTGACAGCGTGAGACCCTGTCTCAAGAAAAAAAAGCCCAGAGAACTTTGCCTATGTACCTTTTAAGATGTAAAGAGATCTAAAGATGAGCAGGAGACCCCAAAGGAAGGTGATGTCTCGTCCCACTTTCGAATAAGGTGGCCGATGAAATGAGGTGGCCGACGGCTACGTGCCCACGATGCTGGGGAAGGGATTGCAGCCCCTATGGCGGAGCATCCAGAGTGAGAGGTAGCACCCAGCCCTGGGCCCCCCTGAGGCAGCGCCCCTACAGAGTGGGCCTGAGGCCTTGCCCTGGTCTGTCCCACCTTTGCATTGGCTAGACAATAGTTGGATACGTGGAGGGGTCACGGCCCAGCCTCACTGTGAGGCCAGCCCCTGCTAGAGTGGGTGAGAAATTCTGCAGGCCTAGGCTGTGGCAGCCCCTGCTAGAGTGGGTGAGAGCTTCTGCAGGTCTAGGCTGGGCCAGCCCCTGCTAGAGCGGGTGAGAGATTCTGCAGGCCTAGGCTGGGCCAGCCCCTGCTAGAGCGGGTGAGAGATTCTGCAGGCCTATGGGCCAGCCCCTGCTAGAGTGGGTGAGAGATTCTGCAGGTCTAGGCTGGGCCAGCCCCTGCTAGAGCGGGTGAGAGATTCTGCAGGTCTAGGCTGGGCCAGCCCCTTCTAGAGTGGGTGAGAGATTCTGCAGGTCTAGGCTGGGCCAGCCCCTGCTAGAGCGGGTGAGAGATTCTGCAGGCCTATGGGCCAGCCCCTGCTAGACCGGGTGAGAGATTCTGCAGGTCTAGGCTGGGCCAGCCCCTGCTAGAGCGGGTAAGAGATTCTGCAGGCCTAGGCTGGGCCAGCCCCTTCTAGAGTGGGTGAGAGATTCTGCAGGTCTAGGCTGGGCCAGCCCCTTCTAGAGTGGGTGAGAGATTCTGCAGGTCTAGGCTGGGCCAGCCCCTGCTAGAGCGGGTAAGAGATTCTGCAGGCCTAGGCTGGGCCAGCCCCTGCTAGAGTGGGTGAGAGATTCTGCAGGCCTAGGCTGGGCCAGCCCCTTCTAGAGTGGGTGAGAGATTCTGCAGGCCTAGGCTGGGCCAGCCCCTGCTAGAGCGGGTGAGAGATTCTGCAGGCCTATGGGCCAGCCCCTGCTAGAGTGGGTGAGAGATTCTGCAGGCCTAGGCTGGGCCAGCCCCTGCTAGAGCGGGTGAGAGATTCTGCGGGCCTAGGCTGGGGTACCTGGGACACTGGTCAGGGCTGTCCTGCAGGGACTCCTTCTCCCCCGGGACACCTGCCCCCTAGGCTCAGTGGCTGTCTTCCCTGGGTCTGGTCAGTGTAGCCTCTGGCAGCAGGAAGAAGCATCGTTGGCAAATCCACTCAGCGGCCGTTGCCAAGCGCGGTAATTTTGTGCAGCCTCTCGTCCTCTGTTGTGGTAAATAACAGATAATGACATTTGCAGTCTGGCGCGGCCCCGTGCCGCACACCTCGTCGGCCGTGCCCTGCAAGCTGGCACACTTCGGGAGGCCTGCGATTCTTCACCGGCCTCCAGTCGCCCCTGTGCTTCCCGCTGGGACATTTCCCTGCAGCTGTTTGCTGTTCACGGACCTTAACTGGGGATGGACTTGGCCCGTCTTGTTCCCTGTGGGAGGACACGGGGGGCAGCTCTTCTGCTGATGGGGAAGCTGAGTGGAAAAGAGGGAGCGGGTTCATTTCCCCCAGGGTCCTTTTAGCCTGGGCCTCAACACTGAGAATCAGGCCCTCACCGGAGGCCCCTTTAGCCCTCTCCTTCCAGACTCTCCTCTTACCCTTGTCCTGCCTTCCGTGGGAGGGAGGGAGGGAGGGGTCTGCCCCAGGTTACAGATGGATAAACTGAGGCTGAGAAGGGTGAGACCCTTCTGCCCAGGAACCACATACAGGCTCAGACAGCAGCGGCATTCGGGCCCTGCAGGGAGTGAGGCCTGAGTACCTGGGTTGCCAACCCAGGGGAGGGGCTGCTGGGCCATTGCAGGGCCCCCACTGGGTTCCAGACTGTGGACGAGTCTCATTCGCTTTCCAGTGCATCCTCTACTCCTCTGCTTGTTCAAGTGCAGCTCCGATTAGGTCACTGTCCCCCTCCCTCCCCCCGAAGCCTTCAGTGGCTCCCTACTGCCAGCAGCATAAAGTCGAAAACACCCCCACGTGGTATCCGAGGCCCTCAGTTCATTCCCCAGCTGCAGCCTGCTGACTTGAGCAGCGTGAGTGAAATCCCCAGCTGGGATTTCTAAGGCCCAGGGCCAGGCCTGGCTCCCCCGGCCCCGACCTGCCGTCCCCCTCCTTGGAGCTCCGTTCTGTGCATAACCAGGGTCCCTAAGGGATCGCTAGTGTGCTGTTGCTGTTAGAATATTAAGAAATCCTACAATGTTTGTCTAGTCTGCTGTATTTTTCAGATAAAAGATAAGTTCCAATAACATGTATTTGCTGGCTGGGAATTTTTTTGTTTTTTTTTGAGATAACGTCTCCCTTTGTCACCCAGGCTGGAGCGCAGTGGCCTGATCTCGGCTCACTGCAACCTCCGCCTCCCGGGTTCAAGTGATTCTCCTGCCTCAGCCTCCCGAGTAGCTAGGGCTACAGGAGTGTGCCTCCATGCCTGGCTAATTTTTTTTTTTTTTGTATTTTTAGTAGAGATGGGGTTTCGCTGTATTGACCAGGCTGGTCTCAAACTCCTGACCTCAAGTGATCTGCCCACTTCAGCCTCCCAAAATGCCAGGATTACAGGCGTGAGCCACCGTGCCCAGCCTGGCTTGGAGACTGTTGACTGTATCCCAGGCATGGGAACGAACACAGGGAAGGGAGAGGGTATTTTTACGGACTGACCTTTTAAGAGTTATGATAATCCTGGAACATCAGAGAGGCCGGTGCTCTACCCCTGAGATTGGGGTCGGGGGAGGGCTACTGAGGGGCCCCAGCACCCCACACTGAGCTGGTGGGGGCAGAGCTGGAGGACGTGGACGGTCTCCTGACTTTGGCTGGGTGGTCTGTGCTGACTCAGTTTCTGGTGGACCCTGGCACTGGGTCATGGAGGAGGAAATGTCAGGGTTCCTGAAGGATGTGTAGAAGTTTGCCAGGTGTGAGCCACAGGGCACGGAGGCAGAGAGGTGGCTAGAGGGTTGGGAGAGGACAGCAAAGTGTGGGGCTGGCGTGGTGGGCTTGGCAAGGCCGGTGGGGACAGGACTAGAGAGAGGTGGGGGCCAGGGAGGGAAGTTTGCATGTTCGTCCGTGTGTCATTTTCTTGCCTCTCTCCCCATCAGCTCGTGAAGCCTCCCTGTCCGCTGGCTAGTCCAGGGCCCGGGAGTAACGGGGACTTACAAGTGTTTGCGGAATGCCCTTGGCAACATCAGCCCTGACCTGTGACCAACCTTGCTCTTCACCAGATTCTAGGGAAGGGGATGGTGGAGAGAGGACCGAGGCTGCTGCCTCACCCTCCTGGGAGGTTTTAAGCCTTCCGGAAGCACAGGACTTCAGTGTCTTGGGCATCAGGCTCTGAAAATAGAGGAAAACACCAAGCAAAGTGGTTTTTCCTATTCTCTTACAGTTACTCAACACAGCACACTCCTGGGACCTCTGGTCACCAAGATGTGTGTGGATTTCTCCCACCCACGCCCGATCCGCAGCACATTCTCCAGTGGGCTGTGCTCAGTTCAGACGCTGTCTACCCGGAGGTAGCATCAGATCCCGCAGGACGAGGGCTCGGTCCCAGGACTGTCCCCCGCCTCAGATGCCAGTCACACGTCCAGACCTCTGGAACTTCTGAGCAGCTGGCTGTGAATCGGGGTTCCCACAACCCATACTTTGGGTTCGATAATTTGCTAGAGTGGCTCACAGAACTCGCAGAGAAACACTTTGCTTATGTTGACTGGTTTATGACGAAGGATATTACAAAGTGCACAGATGAACAAGGCAGCCGCCAGATGGGAGAGGTGCCCTGGGTGGGGCATGTGGGGATAGGCGAGGGGCTGTTGGATCCCCTCTGGGGCCTCCCCTCAAGAACCTCCACGTGTTCAGCTATATCTGGAATCGCCCCAAGCCCCGACGTCTTGGGTTTTTGTGGAGTCTTCATCATGTTGGCTTGGAGAGGGTTGTGTTCCAGAGCTCCTGATGGAACTCTCCGCAGAGGGGTGGCTATGGATGCATGTTGATTTCCAGTCCTCACTCACCCCCTGGGGAAAATCGGTGTTACGGTTTGTCCTCACACAATGCCCCACGAGACCCAGCCTTGTCCCCTTGGATGCTTGAAGGGGATGATTCTGGAGACCCCCAAGAGGCCTCCTGAGCGGAGCTGGTGGGTTCCTTTTCCTTCTCCGGCAGGACGTTAGAGCAGCATTGATCCACGTTTCAAAACCCAGGCTCCCTTTTGATACACGTAGAACCCTTCCACACCCTTTTTTTCATATGTGACTTGAAGTTTCAAAACAATATTGTGTGTTTGAAAAAAGCGGGCGTGACGTTGAACAGCCCGTCTTTGGGCCCTGCGGGTTCTGACTGCCCCCACAGCCCCTCAGAGGTGAAGGTGCAACCGGTGGTGGCCATGGCGAGCCATCGGCGGAAACGAGCTCGTGAGGGACTCGCCTGGCCTCTGGGCTTGACATCCTGAATCTCATTACCAAGGTGGAGCTGGTCCAGGAGCTGCTCCTGGCTGTGTCCTCCAGCCCCGTGAGGACAGTTCCTCTGTCCCTCCCACACCGATGTGCATTCCCTCTGCCCGTTCATGTCTGCAGCTCCTCTGTCCCTCCCACACTGATGTGCATTCCCTCTGTCCATCCATTTCTGCAGCTCCTCTGTCCCTCCCACACTGATGTGCATTCCCTCTGTCCATCCATTTCTGCAGCTCCTCTGTCCCTCCCACACTGATGTGCATTCCCTCTGTCCATCCATTTCTGCAGCTCCTCTGTCCCTCCCACACTGATGTGCATTCCCTCTGTCCATCCATTTCTGCAGCTCCTCTGTCCCTCCCACACCGATGTGCATTCCCTCTGCCCGTTCATGTCTGCAGCTCCTCTGTCCCTCCCACACTGATGTGCATTCCCTCTGTCCATCCATTTCTGCAGCTCCTCTGTCCCTCCCACACTGATGTGTATTCCCTCTGCCCGTCCATTTCTGCAGCTCCTCTGTCCCTCCCACACTGAAGTGCATTCCCTCTGCCCGTCCATTTCTGCAGCTCCTCTGTCCCTCCCACACTGATGTGCATTCCCTCTGCTTTCCATTTCTGCAGCATCTGTGTCCCTCCCACACTGATGTGCATTCCCTCTGTCCATCCATTTCTGCAGCATCTCTGTCCCTCCCACACTGATGTGCATTCCCTCTGCTGTCCATTTCTGCAGCTCCTCTGTCCCTCCCACACTGATGTGCATTCCCTCTGCCCGTCCATTTCTGCAGCTCCTCTGTCCCTCCCACACTGATGTGCATTCCCTCTGCTTTCCATTTCTGCAGCATCTGTGTCCCTCCCACACTGATGTGCATTCCCTCTGTCCATCCATTTCTGCAGCATCTGTGTCCCTCCCACACTGATGTGCATTCCCTCTGCTGTCCATTTCTGCAGCTCCTCTGTCCCTCCCACACTGATGTGCATTCCCTCTGCCCATCCATTTCTGCAGCTCCTCTGTCCCTCCCACACTGATGTGCATTCCCTCTGCTTTCCATTTCTGCAGCATCTGTGTCCCTCCCACACTGATGTGCATTCCCTCTGTCCATCCATTTCTGCAGCTCCTCTGTCCCTCCCACACTGATGTGCATTCCCTCTGTCCATCCATTTCTGCAGCTCCTCTGTCCCTCCCACACTGATGTGCATTCCCTCTGCCCGTCCATTTCTGCAGCTCCTCTGTCCCTCCCACACTGATGTGCATTCCCTCTGCCCGTCCATT
Organism: Homo sapiens; assembly: GCF_000001405.40. NCBI lineage: Eukaryota > Metazoa > Chordata > Mammalia > Primates > Hominidae > Homo > Homo sapiens. The sequence goes on along the minus strand of NW_003315952.3, from coordinate 264,747 downwards.
TCTGCAGCATCTCTGTCCCTCCCACACTGATGTGCATTCCCTCTGCTGTCCATTTCTGCAGCATCTGTGTCCCTCCCACACTGATGTGCATTCCCTCTGTCCATCCATTTCTGCAGCTCCTCTGTCCCTCCCACACTGATGTGCATTCCCTCTGTCCCTCCCACACTGATGTGCATTCCCTCTGCCCGTCCATTTCTGCAGCTCCTCTGTCCTTCCCACACTGATGTGCATTCCCTCTGCCCGTCCATTTCTGCAGCATCTCTGTCCCTCCCACACTGATGTGCATTCCCTCTGCTTTCCATTTCTACAGCATCTGTGTCCCTCCCACACTGATGTGCATTCCCTCTGTCCATCCATTTCTGCAGCATCTCTGTCCCTCCCACACTGATGTGCATTCCCTCTGCTGTCCATTTCTGCAGCATCTCTGTCCCTCCCACACTGATGTGCATTCCCTCTGTCCATCCATTTCTGCAGCTCCTCTGTCCCTCCCACACTGATGTGCATTCCCTCTGTCCCTCCCACACTGATGTGCATTCCCTCTGCCCGTCCATTTCTGCAGCTCTTCTGTCCTTCCCACACTGATGTGCATTCCCTCTGCCCGTCCATTTCTGCAGCATCTCTGTCCCTCCCACACTGTGTGCATTCCCTCTGCTGTCCATTTCTGCAGCATCTGTGTCCCTCCCACACTGATGTGCATTCCCTCTGTCCATCCATTTCTGCAGCTCCTCTGTCCCTCCCACACTGATGTGCATTCCCTCTGCCGTCCATTTCTGCACAGGTGTTCTTCAGTCCTGGTCAGACTTAATGCTGTGTCCACTCAGGTTGGCCTTTTTAAAATTCGAGTCTGGGTCTCACTCTGTCACCCAGGCTGCAGTGCTGTGGTGCAATCACAACTCACTGCAGCCTCGACCTTCTGAGCTCAAACGATTCTTCCAAGTAGCTGTGACTGCAGGTGTGCACCAGCATGCTCGGCTAATTTTTGTATTTTTTTTTTTGTAGAGACGGGGTCTTGCTATGTTGCCCAGGCTGGTCTTGATCACCTGGGCTCAAGTGGTCCATCCCATGCTGGCGTTTGTACGTCTCTTCATCCCATCAGCACTCCTCACACCTCACACCTCACACTGGGCTCGTACCTGGCACCACTGTGTCCTCCACAGATGCTGAATGAACTCAGGAACCCCTGGAGACCAAGCCCCACGTCCTGTGCTTTCCCCTTTGATTGAACATTATTAGATTTGCTGGGTTTTATTTTTATTTTATTTTTTTGAGACCGAGTCTTGCTCTGTCACCCAGGCTGTAATGCAGTGGTGCAATCTCAGCTCACTGCAACTTCCGACTTCTGGTTTCAAGCAGTTCTCCTACCTCAGCCACCAAGTAGCTGGGATTCCGGGTGAGTACCACCGCGCCCGGCTAATTTTTGTATTTTTAGTAGAGACGGGGTTTCGCCTTGTTGGCCAGGTTGGTGTTGAACTCCTGACCTCAGGCGATCCGCCCACCTCAGCCTCCCAAATTGCTGGGATTACAGGCGTGAGCCACCGCGCCCGACCAGATTTGCTGGTTTTTAAAAACCCTCCTCCCACCTTCTGATTTAGCCATCCCATCCACCCCTTGGCCGAAGCTCCTGTTGAGTGCACCGTGCTCCCATCACCGGTGCTGCACGGCCCTCAGCCCAGTTCTCGATGGCTCAAACCTCCTGTTTCCCGTGTCCTGCCGGAAAAGATGCAGAAACCTCTCTGGGACTGAGGGGATGCAGAGGTTAACCAGGACCGGGAAGGGGTTAACTGAGGCCCCTGGACCCCGCTGCCCCACCCCCGGAGCCCCGGCCCCCAGCCATCCTGGCGGCTTCATCTCGTCTGAATACCCCGATTTCCCTGAGACTGACACTCGCAGAGGCACGAGTGCAGAAATGATCCGAAGCCCCGTCCAAGTCATGATTTCTTATTATGTGCTCTGTGAATGTTAATAGTCAACAGCTGATGCTGTTGCCTTTTTTAACCCTCCTCTCCACTCGGGACGCAGTGGTAACTGCATGAGTGGCAGGCGGAGGGAGGAGGTGTTTGGTGTTTTGGAAGCCGAGCTTGAAAGCCACAGGAAATGATGGTGCTTGCTTTCAACTGGGAGAGGTGGCTGGGGGCTGGCACAGGCCTGAGGCTCGCAGGTGGTCCCCAGGCCATGTCAGAGGCTCTTCCGATGGAGGGGAAGGGCCTGCCGGAAGCCTTGGTAAAGAGAGGCGGCTCGGCCCTGAGTGGCTGGTTCCCCTGGGAGCCGCCAGCAGCCAGGATGGAGGACGTGGGGTGGGAAGTCCAGGGAGACTTGCCTTCCTCCTGAAATGTTTCTCCACTTGCCTCTGGCTTCTGTCTCAGACCCGGCAGCAGGTGGCTGGCATTAAGGCTGTGCCTCCTTGGGGCCTTCTGTGACTTGGTATTTGTGGGTAGTCGGGGTAAGGTCCAGGGCTCGGCGTGCTCCCAGCGCTGCTGGCCCCCGGGCTGTGTCCTAACGAATGGGAAGAGGGGCCTGGCTGTGCCCCTCCCACTTGAAGCTTGACCTCATCTGTCGTTCTGGAAGAGGAGAGGGCCCAGGGATCCAGCCTTGCCTTACCTCGGGGTGGGGAGGGTGAAGTTGGGTCCAGGCGGGAGGATGAGGGCCTGCAAGAGTGTGCTAGCCAGGCAGCCAGGCCCGGCTGGGGCAGCAGGAGCCCGGGACCGAGGCTCAGACTGAACAGGGTTCGCATCCCAGGTCCCCACGTCGAGCTGCTTAACCTCAAGTCTCAGATCCCTTGTGTAAAACAGGAACAGTCATACCCACCCCATAGGGCTGTTTTGAAAATTAAATGAGATTCTGCATAAAACAGCTAGCTTGGTGCCTAGTGTAAGCATAAGTACCCGAGAAAGTATATAAATATTTGTAATTATATACATCAATATCTGAACTGTCTATACGTTTAAAGTCATTTGGCAGCAGGGCCTGGGTTCCAGACAGCGTCTATAGCAACAGAGCTGTATCCAGCCTTTCCGCTGCTGGCCCACTGGGGCAGGTGATGCTTCTCCAAGCCTGGCGGATGGCACTTCAGGGGCTGAGCAGGGCTGAGCTTATGATCGGAGGGGCCGGTGACCCGGGGACACCATCTGGGACCCGCTGTGGGGGTGCACAGGCCTGATTACAATTGAGCCACAGTCAGCCACTGTGGCTGTCTCCTGCCTGTCTGCGTGGACACTTTCAGCTGCTTTAATCCATCCTGACCTGCAAAAATCCAGACCTGGTCAAAAAATGAAGTTGGGGCAAGTGACTTTCCAAAGCATTTAGCATAAGCTTCCTTTAAATAGGAATTCTGCTTATCCATTTAAAATAGATTTTGACTTTGCACAGTTTGATTTCCATTTGGGCTGATATCTTTCTAGATTGTCCTCTGTGTATATATAGACTCCTCCATAGATGTAGGCACATCTACATATTTACGTGGTGGAGCGCCCTGCTATGCAGACTGTTTCCAACGTGCTTTTTTTAACTTAACAGCTTATGGTGAATATTGCCCCACACAGCTTCGTTGTCATTTCGTCACTTTTCTATTTACATCATCATCGTCTTTGTTGCTGCAAAGCTCTCCCCTAAACCTAGTAAGATTTTCCCTTTTGAAGATTTGGTTTCTGGCATCAGGAGCACATTGTGTGGCATGAAACACACACGTGGAGGCTCTCATTATGCTGCTTTGTGCATGCACCGAGGCCATTCAGACGTAGCTATTTCTTATCCTATTTTATCGGGGCAGGGGGATGACCCCTCTGTAAGCACCGTCTGCAGCGCGGTTCCCAATGAGAAACCAGCTCACCTGCCGATTTCAACTCACTGGAACTCTCAGGAAAGTAATTTTCCAGATAAAAGATTGCTATTTTATTTTATTATTTTTTAAAATGAGATGGGGGGTGGGGGAGTCTCATTGTGTTGCCCAGGCTGGTCTTGAACTTCTGGCCTCAAGAAATCCCCCCACCTCGGCCTCCCAAAGCACTGGGATTGCAGGCAGGATCCACCGCACCTGGCCCTGAGTTTTGCTAATGGATAAACTACTCCGTTCAATGGGACACTCTTTGAGGACAAAGGGCCGTGTCTTGTTTGTTTTCGGCATTCTTAGAATAATGCCTTCCCTACAGTATAGAAAACATGTTTGTGAATTGAAGCTCCACACGTTTAAACCAGCCATCTTCAGTGTTCATCTCCACAGCACAGCGTACGTTTTCCAGGCCTCCTTGTACGCAACGTTTGAGGGCAGTTTCACCCGTTTCGGTCGAGTGAGGCTCATGAACAGCCCTCTCTGTGCCATGGATGGTCCAGGCCTCCTTGTACAGGACGTTTGAGCGCAGTTTCACCCTTTTCGGTCGAGTGAGGCTCATGAACAGCCCTCTCTGTGCCATGGATGGTGACGCTGTGAAGCTGTCCCGGCCCGTCCAGGAGTGTGAGGCTGCCAGTGACTGACTCCAGACCGCGGGTGCTGTGAGATGGCGGCGTCTGCTTTCAGAGCAGTTTCCTTCCCTCCCCCTACATTGGCACTAAGCCCCTTCCCGTCTTCTGATCTGCGGGAGCGTGGTGGAATTCCTCATCATGAAATGGATCGGTGAGGACTCAAAGGCCAGCCTGGGCATGAAGTACCTGAACTTTGGAGTGGCCCAGCAGAACCTTCTGTCGCATTGTGACTCTTGGGTGCCATCTGGGAAGGAGAAGGGGTGGGACGGGGAGTCGCAGGAAGCAGAAATGTCACTGAAGTGGCCCTGGATAAGAAGGACATTGAGGAAGGTGCCTGATCAGGCCTTGGGACGGGTCTGCACACATAGGCGGCCGCGGCACGCACCCCGGGGGAGGCAGGCAGGAGCCGTCATGGGAATGGTCTGGTAAACATCCCCGCTTCCCACCCTCAGTGAAGGATTCCCGGAGTCATTTCCCCTGTGGCCGGGCCAGCCTGGGTTTATGCTCCATACCCTGAGACTGAGGCCCACCTGGCCACCACCCCACCTCCTCGGACACTTGCCCGCTGTGTGGCTCTCCCTGGTTTGGCCTCCCACAATCCTGCTGGTCAGCATCACTCAATGTGGACGTGATTGGACCCTGCCTCGTGTCGCTGAGCGAGTGCCTTCACGCCTCCGTGCAGCTTGTCTTCCCGGCAGGTCGGCATGTTCCGGGAGGGAGCCTGTCTTGCTTTTTCAACTGTAATATCTTAAGTAGCTTCCATTTGTTCAATCCGTTCTTCTGCAAATAGTCACTGTGCCGGGCACAGGGAGCAGGAGGGTGAACAGAAATAGACGTGGCCTCTGCCCTTGGGAAGATGACGGCCCAGCAGGGGAAGTCACAGGAGCCCTGCAGCCACACAGCGGAGGGTAAAATCACAACCTTGACAGCGGAGAAGAGGCAGGAGCCCATTCTGGAGGCTCTCATTGTGGAAGGAGTGTTGCGGAAGTCTTCCTTGAAGATGTGGTGCTTTTGCTGAGGTCCGAGGGGTGTGTAGGTTAATGAAGAGACAGCGTGGCCACACAGAGGGGGCAACACGTGCAAAGGTCCTGTGGCAGAAGGACCAGGGGCTGACAAACGGCCCACACGGCTGGAGCTCAGAGGGTCGGGGCTGAGGAAGTAGAGCAGGAGGCAGGGCCGGCCCGAATGCCGTATGAAGTGAGGCGGTGGTCACCCCAGAGCAGCGGGAAGCCTCTGATGGCTTTTAAGTTGGGAGGGATGGGAGAGGTGACATGATTAGATTTGCCTCTTGAGAAAATCGGCCTGGCTGCCATGTCGGGAACCAGCTGGAGGACAGCGCGGTGGGGTAGAGAGATCTGCTGGGCGGCCTTGGTGTGGGCGTGGGCGGTGGCAGCAGAGATCAGGGACGGGGCTGAAGGGGAATTGAGAGGTTGGAGAGAGATTTGAGTTCTTGGAGATGGATTATCTGGGCAGGAAGGAGGGACGATGGGGGCCCAGGATGAGTGCTGGGTTGTGGCTTGTGTGACTGATGGATGCTGGCTGCCTTCACTGAGACAGGCATGGCTATAAAGGTCTGAGGTTGCCGCCTACCTAACCTTTTATGGTGCTGAGCACTTTCATGACCGTCTCCCTTGATCCCCTCATCTGCAACCTGGGGTGTGGGGGGGCCTGTTACCACCAACTTACAGATGAGGAAGTGAGGCTCAGAAGGCGAGTACCGAGTCCAAGTTCACCTCTAAACGGCACACCCTGCTCTCTCCTGCCCCAAAGCCTGTGTCCCGTGGGCAGGTCCCTGGGGAACCCCCTCCCCTGTGTTCTTGGGGGTAGAGAGAATATACATTTCTTTGCAAAAGAAGCACATGGAGGGACTGAGACAGGAGTGGGGAGAGAGGGTGCGAGGTCTGACGGCCGGGAGAGAGGGAGTGAGGTCTGACGGTGGAGAGAGAGGGAGTGAGGTCTGACGGTGGAGAGAGAGGGTGCGAGGTCTGACGGTGGAGAGAGGGTGCGAGGTCTGACGGTGGAGAGAGGGTGCGAGGTCTGACGGTGGAGAGAGGGTGCGAGGTCTGACGGTGGAGAGAGGGTGCGAGGTCTGACGGTGGAGAGAGAGGGTGCGAGGTCTGACGGTGGAGAGAGAGGGTGCGAGGTCTGACGGTGGAGAGAGAGGGTGCGAGGTCTGACGGTGGAGAGAGAGGGTGCGAGGTCTGACGGTGGAGAGAGAGGGTGCGAGGTCTGACGGTGGAGAGAGGGTGTGAGGTCTGACGGTGGAGAGAGAGGGTGCGAGGTCTGACGGTGGAGAGAGAGGGTGCGAGGTCTGACGGTGGAGAGAGAGGGTGCGAGGTCTGACGGTGGAGAGAGGGTGTGAGGTCTGACGGTGGAGAGAGGGTGCGAGGTCTGACGGTGGAGAGAGAGGGTGCGAGGTCTGACGGTGGAGAGAGGGTGTGAGGTCTGACGGTGGAGAGAGGGTGCGAGGTCTGACGGTGGAGAGAGGGAGTGAGGTCTGACGGTGGAGAGAGAGGGAGTGAGGTCTGACGGTGGAGAGAGGGTGTGAGGTCTGACGGTGGAGAGAGGGTGTGAGGTCTGACGGTGGAGAGAGGGTGTGAGGCCTGACGGTGGAGAGAGAGGGTGCGAGGTCTGACGGTGGAGAGAGGGTGCGAGGTCTGACGGTGGAGAGAGGGAGTGAGGTCTGACGGTGGAGAGAGGGAGTGAGGTCTGACGGTGGAGAGAGGGTGTGAGGTCTGACGGTGGAGAGAGAGGGTGCGAGGTCTGACGGTGGAGAGACGGAGTGAGGTCTGACGGTGGAGAGAGGGAGTGAGGTCTGACGGTGGAGAGAGGGTGTGAGGTCTGACGGTGGAGAGAGAGGGTGCGAGGTCTGACGGTGGAGAGAGGGTGGGAGGTCTGACGGTGGAGAGAGAGAGTGAGGTCTGACGGTGGAGAGAGAGTGTGAGCTCTGTCGGTGGAGAGAGAGTGTGAGGTCTGTCGGTGGAGAGAGGGAGTGAGGTCTGACGGTGGAGAGAGAGTGTGAGGTCTGACGGTGGAGAGAGAGCGTGCGAGGTCTGTCGGTGGAGAGAGAGTGCGAGGTCTGTCGGTGGAGAGAGAGGGTGCGAGGTCTGTCGGTGGAGAGAGAGGGTGCGAGGTCTGACGGTGGAGAGAGAGGGTGCGAGCTCTGACGGTGGAGAGAGAGGGTGCGAGGTCTGACGGTGGAGAGAGGGTGTGAGGTCTGACGGTGGAGAGAGGGTGTGAGGTCTGACGGTGGAGAGAGGGTGCGAGGTCTGACGGTGGAGAGAGGGTGCGAGGTCTGACGGTGGAGAGAGGGAGTGAGGTCTGACGGTGGAGAGAGAGGGAGTGAGGTCTGACGGTGGAGAGAGGGTGTGAGGTCTGACGGTGGAGAGAGGGTGTGAGGTCTGACGGTGGAGAGAGGGTGCGAGGTCTGACGGTGGAGAGAGGGAGTGAGGTCTGACGGTGGAGAGAGAGGGAGTGAGGTCTGACGGTGGAGAGAGGGTGTGAGGTCTGACGGTGGAGAGAGGGTGTGAGGTCTGACGGTGGAGAGAGGGTGTGAGGTCTGACGGTGGAGAGAGAGGGTGCGAGGTCTGTCGGTGGAGAGAGAGGGTGCGAGGTCTGACGGTGGAGAGAGAGGGTGCGAGGTCTGACGGTGGAGAGAGAGGGTGCGAGGTCTGACGGTGGAGAGAGGGTGTGAGGTCTGACGGTGGAGAGAGGGTGTGAGGTCTGACGGTGGAGAGAGGGTGCGAGGTCTGACGGTGGAGAGAGGGAGTGAGGTCTGACGGTGGAGAGAGAGGGAGTGAGGTCTGACGGTGGAGAGAGGGTGTGAGGTCTGACGGTGGAGAGAGGGTGTGAGGTCTGACGGTGGAGAGAGGGTGCGAGGTCTGACGGTGGAGAGAGAGGGTGCGAGGTCTGACGGTGGAGAGAGAGGGTGCGAGGTCTGAAAGCCTGGAGTTGTGTGGCTTCTGCCCTGGGTTAGGCCCAGAAGCTTCATCGTTTAACACCCGGACGCAGTTCCAGGCTGCAGGGTGCATGAGGCAGCCAAGCCCGGGAAGCCAGGACTCGCTTGCCCTGGGCAAATCCACTCCGAGGAAGCCCATCTCAGGCAGGGAAGTGAGTGGCCACCCCTGGGCCCCGGGACTGTCCTAGACACAGATCGTGAAGGGCTGTGTTTGCACCAAGGTGATGTAGAGGCTGGCTTGCTCGCTGTCGCATGGGTTTTCAAAAATACCACCTGTTTCGTTTTCTTTATTGGAACCTGGGAACAAAGACCGAGCCCATTGGAAGAGGCCCATGACTGCCTTATTGATCTGAGATTTACGAAAGCAGCAATTATGTGTTATTTGAGTGGGAGCGTGTCGTCTTTCCGTAGCCCTCGCCTCTTAGGAACGCCCCCTGCCCCCTGCCAGCCAGAGACACTGAAGCAGCAGGGGGATGGCTGAGGTGGAGAACTGACCCCAGGTGCCGCCAGCGTTGGTTGGTAGCGGGAAAACAGGCTGCCCGAGGCGCGATCTGGGGAGCAGGAAGCACCAGACCCTAAGGGGAAGGCAGAGGTTCGTGGGCCCAGCAGGGACAGCCCTTCACCCAACCTCTGGAGGGCGACTGGTCCACGCTGCTCCTGTCCCCAGATCCGTTGGCTCCGCGTCCTCGTGGTCTGTGAGTAGAGGACAGGACTCAGTTCCGTGGACACTCTCCTGGCTTCTCTCCCTGCCCCCACGGCACTGTTTCATCAGTGAGACACGTGCACATTTGTCCCTCAAACCCCCCCACAGGGCAGCCGAGCACCCCCCCAGCAGTGGCGGGGGGACATCGGAGCAAGTGTTGAGGGCATCCCGGGGTGCACAGTGGGGCCTGGGCCCCACCCTGTTCATCCGTGTCCTGTCACGCCAGGCCTGTGCCCCTCACGGGTGCTCAGCGGGTGATGGTAACGTGGATTAGTGAATCGCAGGGGAGGTGAGCGCTAGACGGGATGGGGGTGGAGATAGAGCCGCGCTGAGGGGCAGGCACATGAGTGCATCAGTCGGGTTGATTGGAAGCTGTAGGGGAGCAGGGGAGCAGGCTGTTGGCAGGTTGAGTGGGGAGACTGAGGGCAGGGTCCTCTGGCCGAGCGCCGTCCTGCAGAACCTCACGGTGAGGATGAAAATGTATTTCTCTGCTGTCCCTTGCGGTAGCCACCGGCCACGTGAGGCCACGGAGTACCTGAAATGGGGTCAGTGTGACCTCAGAGCTGTTTTTCATTTTATTCCATCACAATCAGTTTGCACTTAAATAGCCACCTGCAGCTGGTGGCTACCGTATTAGATCGTGTGGGACTAGAGGAAAACCACGCCGGGCTGCAGAACACGGTACGAGGGGCTGCACTAACCGCAGCTGGCATTTATCGAGTCGCTATTACGTGCTGGTTGCTTTTCCTGTGTCTCAGTTGATCCTCAAAACAACCCAAGGGTGTAAGTATTATCCCACTTTACAGCTGAGAACGTCTGAGGTTTAGAGAGGCTTTGGGTGACTTGCCCGGGAGCCCACCCAGGTCTGCCATCCCCAAACCTGTGCGCCGTGCCGTGCGGCCTCTGAAGGAGCCGAGAGTCACGTCTCAGGAACAGGATCTGGTGATAGCGCAGGATGGCGTGAGGTGCAGGCTCAGGGGGACCGAGGGCTCTAGACGACTCCAGGGCTGAGAGACACGACGATGCTCCCATTTCTAGGGCTCCCGAGTACAAAAGCAGAGAGAGGATCCCAGTCCTGGTCGGGCGCTGCTGTGGACTGAATGTTTATATCACCCCAAAATACCTACGTTGAAGCCGTCACGCAGATGTGATATTTGGAGATGGGGGCTTTGGGAGGGATCAGATGAGGTCCTGAGGGTGGGACCCTGGGGATGGGATTGGCGTCCTTATCAGAGGAGGAGGCCAGACCTCACTCTACTGTGGGAGGGTACAGCAAGAAGCTGCCGTCTGTACGCCAGGAAGAGCCCTCCCCAGAACCTGACCGTGTGGGCACCCCGACCGGGGCCGTCAGGCCTCTGCAGCTGTGATAAACATGCTTCTGTTGTTTCAGCCACTCAGTCTATGGTATTTTTGTTACAGCAGCCTAAGCTGACTACGATGGGGCAGAGGCTGTCCTCTCCCCCTTGGCTGTGTGCATAGGGGAAGGCGGCCCCCGGGGGAGAGGCCAGGCTGCGAGGGCACCTGTGGGGTGCAATGGAGAGGCTGCCGGGCCTCCTGCTGACAGCTGGAAACCTCTCCCCTCCCCACTGGGAGAGCATGGAGGGCAGGGCCAGACTGTCCAGCCTGGGCCGTTGCTCCTAGAGTCAGCATCAGGCCACACTCACGACCCCAGCAAAGCTTTGTCCCAGGGTCGGCCCCTGGCACCTTCTCTGCCCATTGTTTTGAGAGCCATCAGCCACGTCCCCAGGGACCCGCCTGAGCAGAAGCAGCTCTCTAGAGAGCCGTGCGCACCAGCCTGGCACCAGGGCAGGGGAGGGTGTGACCGACCCTCCTGAGGTCTGAACAAAAATTCTGCTTTACCGTGAACGAGCTGTGTGACCTCGGGCAGCCCGAGTCATCTCTGAGCCTTTGTTCCTTCATCTATATAGTGGGGATCATAACACCTGCCTCCTTCATACTCTGGCCCGGTCCGATAACTGCTCACTAACTGCGCTGTGGGTGTTTGATTCCCTCCTGTTCCCGCAGCATCGCCTCGTTCAGCAGCCTATGCAGGGCAGGGCACTCTGCATGTTTATAAGGTGAGCTGCCCTCAACCGATGCGTGTGTAGAGTGCAGAAGGGAGAGCTCACGTCTCTGAGGGCCACACTTGTTTCCACCTGTTACAGTGTACACAGGGATGGTGGGAATTCGCAAGGAAAACAGAGCTAAGTAGCATCAGTGCTTCCTCTCCCCTTTACCCAGAGAGGAGAGGCCCACGTTGTGGTTCTGGAGCCCACCTCATAGGCTGATGGGGGACCCTGTTGTAGAGGTGGGAACATTAGGAGCGAAGGGTGGAAGAGGTGGAGAGAGGCTGCTCTCTTGGGGAAGGGGAGAGTCACCAGTCTCTGTGAGGGATGGTGGCCTAGGGTTCCAGGGAGACAGGCTACTGGTCCTTGGAAGGGCTGAAGCCCAGCCTAGCAATGATCCCAAACCCAGGACTGGCACAGATATGACCACATGCTCCCACTCCCTCTCATGGGGTCATGAGAGCTTGGGAAGCAAGAAGGCCAGCAGTGAGGAGTGTGGACGGCGCTCAGGGGACCCTCTGCAGATCTGGGCCATCAAACACCCCAAGCCTAGGACCTTCATGAGAGCTGGAAAGGGGCCCCAAGTGTGGCTGAGGCTTGGGCAGATTTTCCTGCCAATCCAGAGGGACAGGAGCTTGGAGCAGATTGCATTTTCTTTGGATAAATAAAAGGTGACATTTCTCGTACCTGAGCATTGGATGGTAGCAAATCCGTCCCCCGCAGGAATGTATCATAGCTTCCGTCCCCCGTGAGTTTGCTCCCCCACCCCAGGGGCACTGAGCTCGGCCACCCGATCAGGCCAGTGACCTCCACACGCTCGACACGCTCGACGTGGAAGCCAAGTTGGTGACATTTTCCCTCTCCATGGAGAGACGTGCTCCTTGCTGAGTTGGCAGCCTGCAGAAAAGGCCAAGCAACAGATGCAACCTTCCCTCGGCGGGGGGCTGCAGAGAGCCCCCACCCACGCAGGGACCGGGTGGCTTCCGTGTGGCAGAAAGATGGATGAGCTGGGGCAACAGTCCTGAGGAGTCGCCAGCGATCGCTGAATCAGACTCTGCCTGGGTTAGCCTGGAGCCGGTCTCAGCCCCAACACATCCACCTCTGCCTCCCAGCTTGCTTCTTCTGGCCTTGTTGCTGTGCCTTCAGGGGAAGCAACGTAAGAACTGTCCTGCATCACATAATGACGTTTCGGCCAGCAAATGTCCCACACCATTATAATACCACATTCTTACTGTACCATTTCTATGATATATTTAGATACAGGAATACTTTCCGCTGTGTCACAGTTGCCTGCAGCCTTCGGTACAGTAACATGTCGTTCAGGTTTGTGGCCTAGCAGCCACAGAATACAGCAGCTAGCCTGGGTGTGCAGCCGGCTATACCATCTTGGTTTGCGTAAGTGTGCTCTATGTGCTGTTTGCACAATGATGCAATCACCTCACTGTGCCTTTTCTCAGGACATATTCTTGTTTTTAAGCAACAGTAATTGTATTTATAAGTTATGAGCTTAATCAACCTTGCTTAAAGCAAAGCCCCTTTCCAGTTCTCATGAAGCTCCCAGGCGTGGGGTCTTCGATGGCCCAGCACATCAGCAGACTGTAGGTTCTAGATTCTGGTTATTTCTGCGTCCAGAGAACATGATAAACTGTCTCTGGAGTCCGACCGGAATCCGTGGCTGCCATGTGAACCTGAGCATATCCTCAGACTCTGCCAAGCCCCGGGTTCCTCACCTATAACGTGGGCCCAAAGTTTACGTAACTGTCACGTTGTTACCAGCATTTCTCACGATTGTGTCTTCTGACCTGTCGGACACGCAGGCCAGTTTCGGGTTATACGCAAACGTATGTTTCTTTGTTGAATCGCATTATTTCCAGGCAGCACCGCCGTCGGCTGTGTGAAGGCCAGATCACGTGCTGTCGTGTTTGCCTGGACCCTCCCCTGGCATTGGGCGTCTGTGTTGTTTCCAGTTCTTTGCTATCAAACGTGACGCAGCTGTGAATGTCAGCAAGCTTTGCTGTGGTTCCAACAGAACCTAACTCTGGGGTGGGGGTTCCGTGGATGGGGCCATCCATTACGTCCAAAGCCAACTAAGGATTTTTAGATGAGCTGTGCCTCTGGGGTGATTGATTCCTTCTATCCTGAAGCAAGAGACGCTCCTTGGAAGATGCTAAGTGTCCCTTCGTTACAGTTGTCTGAGCCCCTCGGCGGAGGAGGAAGCGGCTGCAATCTTTACAACCCCATGTCCTCTCTCTTGTAGAAAGTCTGCACCAAATGTGGGATCGAGGCCTCCCCTGGCCAGAAGCGGCCCCTGTGGCTGTGTAAGATCTGCAGTGAGCAAAGAGAGGTAGGGCGTCCAGGGTGACGGTGGGGAGGGCTGAGTGGGCTGGATATGCCCTCAGATGGGGATGGGTGGACGGTCAGGGTGACGGTGGGGAGGGCTGGGCGGGCTGGATACGCTCTCAGATGGGGATGGGTGGACAGTCACTGGGAGGGGTTTCTCCAGAAGTCAAGGAAGAACTGACCACTCGGCGGAGAAAAGCACGGAGGGACAGCCTGTGGCCACTTCCCCTATGCAGGGGTGGCAGGTTCTACACGTGGGAGAGTCCGAGGTTTCGGTGGGAAGCCCCTCGCACTGTGAGTGTGAGAGCATGTGGTGTTTGTGGGGGCTGTTATTATGGTAACAGTAGTAGCTACCCAGGGTGAACGCTGACTGTGTGCCTGGCACTGCCATAAGTTCCTTGCATGTATGAATTCATTTCATCCCTGCACAACCCCAGTGGTGCTATTCTTATCCCCTTTTCCTGATGGGGAAATAAAGACACAAGAGGTTAAATAACCTGCAAGCACAGAGCCAGTTAGTGGGGGAGCTGGAAACCAAACTCAGCCGTTGTCTGCTGTCACGATGCCACCCAACGCCCCTTCTGCTGCTACAGTTCTATGGTTCTAGTTCCAACCCCATTTGAGGGAAGGAAGTCGAGGCTCAGCAAGGACTCTGGGGAGTAGCAGATGGGCAGGGACAGTCAGAACCTCCCTGTGCCAGGTCGGATTGGAGCCAAAACAGCAGGACGTGGCAGGTAGCTTCTGGGAAGTGCCCTGGGGAGGCAGGGCTGGGACAGAATGTGAGGGGCGAGGAGGCGTGCAGCTGGTCTTCCAGATCAGGATTTATTACTTTTTAAATCTTGCTTGTCACATCCGAGGATCCACAAAACACCTTCAATTCTGGAAAATTCTCAGCCATGATGTCTTTGAATATTGCTCCTCTGCCATTCCTTCTCTCCTCTCTGGAAATCCCGCTGGATACATTTCAGAGCTCCTCAACCATCCCCCACAGCTCCCAACTGCTCTTTCTTGTTTATTTCTTTATCTTTCTGTGGTCCTTTCTGGGTGAATTCTTCAGTACTGCCTTCCAAGTCACTAAGTCTTTCCTTGAGATCAATTCCCCATTGGTTTCGTGGGTTGTCTTTCTTAGGGTTAGTTTTCCTTGGAAGTTTTGGAATTTTGGTTTGTGCGCTCATCCTGTGTGATAATAGTCCGTTTCTCTCTGTTTCCCACCCGGCTCTTCTAGCTGAATAGTTTTGCAGCTGCCTCCCGCTGGGTCTGGGGTTGCCCAGTGCTGAGCCAGGCATCCTGGGTTTGTGGCGAGCTGCTCATCCATGGTGATACTGGGATTATTCCCAGACCCTCATCCCAGCCGTGACAGCTTGGCCAGGCCCTGCTGCTGCTGGGCTTGCTTTCCTCTGAGCTCATTTCCTTATGTATGTTATAGTCCCGGGGCAGGTCCCTGCTGTTTTCAGCCTCCTTTCCCAGGTGGAAAATCCCCTCAACAGCCTGATTTTAGTGACTCTGCTCTGGTCCCCCACCTCCCAAGGGTCACTTTTAGTCCCTGAACCCTGGAAGACCAATCTCCCAGCTGCCTCTGTCTGCTTCGGAGCCCAGAGCTCAGCAAGCGGCTGTGCCTTCACCCCTCAAAATGGCAAATACTTTGAATTTATGATCCATGGAGATATAGATCTTGTTTTTGCGCACATTTCCTTGCTGCTGTTGTTGTGAAAGTATTTTCCTCTATCACTTCCGTGTCTTTGGAACAGGAAAAGCTGCAGGCAGGGCCTCACAGTGTGTGCTAGCATTCTGTCTTGCTGGAAGTCCCTGACTCCTCATCCCCAGATGGAGTTAATAATGTCTGCTCCACAGTTGCTGCGAGAATTCAGTAAGACTGTTGAAGTGGGCAAAACCTCCAGCATAGATATTCCATAACTATCAGAGGCCTCCCTTCCTCTTCAGCCAGAAATCTCCCCTTTGAACCTGAGGTCCTTCTAATCTTCAGGGGACCCCTTTGACAATGCACATGTCCATGGAAGAGGAAATTCCTTAAAACATCGTCTGTGGGGAGACACTTTGTGGGATGAAAAGATGGTCACAGCTGAGCTGTGGGAGGGCAGAAGTGAGGGATCTTTGAAGGAAAAGAAAGTGAATGGAAGGAAAGACAAATTTAGCAAGTTTAATAATTTAGTTGAGGGTTTCCCCATCCCCCTCATGAGTCACCCTCACACTCCGTAACAGTCTTGAGCTACCACCAGCCTGTCTTAATCTCCAGAGGGCTCCAGTGCCCAGAAAAGTCCGAAATAGCTTAGGATGAATTTTCTTATCTTTCCTAAGGCAGAGAATATGAGGCTGTGCATTACGCTATTACTTTGCCCTTGAATTTTTAGAGGCTGATAAAACTTAGCCTCTAAAAGATCAAGGATATTCCCTCTCTGCAGCACCAGGCATATGGTGCACGGTTAGCAGGAATGGATGGGGCTGGGAACATGTTCATGGTATATGAGCCTGGGTACCTGTGGGTACCAGAACCATGTGCTGGATTTTTCTGCCTGCTTGTGGGGTGTGGGAAGGCTGGCGTAATTGGTTTCCTAATGCCCTTTCTTCTTAGAAAAATGTCTAATCATAATGAAGAGATAACTAACTAGAAAGGCCGTTTAAAATGTCAGATTTTAAGCTGGTTCTGAGTCTGTGATGAAAATTTGGAGTTATGTCTCCCCGCAAAAGCCAAATCCTAATGGAAGAACTTGGGTTTTCTGATGAAAACTCTTGGAGCATTCTGCCCAAGGCCTCTTATCTTCCTTTCCTTTCGTGCTTCACTTCCATCATCTCTGGCTGTAATTGTAAGTATTTTTTCTGGAGCGAGTTGAGTGCTGGTGAGATGTTCCTGGGGCTGTCAGGGTGGTGTTGCTGCCTGTGTTATGCCCTTTCACCAGGCGGCAGTGTGAGCCTCAGCCCATCTGCTTTGGGAGCCTGCAGTCAAATGCGTTTATTCATGTAGGCAGCTGACACATTTATTGAGCACCTCCTATGTGCCAGGCAAAATAGCTCTTCCAATGGGAGAGGGAGACCACAAACCCAGTAAATTCTGCAGTGTCACAGACGGTGATCAAGTCCTTAGGGCAAAGGGAGAAGGGGTGCTGGGGACACTGGGGCAGTTGCTGGTTTATATGGGGATAAGAGAGGGGCCCACCGACAAAATGACTTTTGAATGGAGATCTGAAGCATCTTCTGTGGCTATGTGGAGGGAAAGCATTCCAAGTAGGGGTGCAAAGCAGCAGGTGCAAAGGCCCCGAGGCAGATGTGTGTGCTTGGTAGATCTGAGGCACAGCGAGGAGACCAGTGTGACTTGAGTTAAGTTGGGGCTGGGGAGAGGTTGTCAGATGTATTAGTCTGTTCTCATGCTGCTAATAAACACATACCTGAGACTGGGTACTAAAGGGAAGAGGCTTGATGGACTCACGGTTCCACATGGCTGGGGAGGCCTCACAATCACGGCGGAAGGCGAAAGGCACGTCTTACATGGCGGCAGGCAAAGAAAGAATGAGACCAAGTGAAAGGAGTTTCTTCTTATAAAACCATCAGATCTCGTGAGACTCATTCACTATCACGAGAACAGTATGGAGGGAACCGCCCCCATGATTCAATTACCTCCCACTGGGTCCCTCCCACAACACTTGGGAATTATGGGAGCTGCAGTTCAAGATGAGATTTGGGTGGGGACACAGCCAAACTGTATCATCAGAGTTACGATAGAGTGGGTCAGACCATGTTGGTGCTTAGAGACCTTTGTAAGGACTTAGGGTTTCGGGGTTTTTTTTATTTGTTTTGTTTTTTTGAGACAGGATCTCACTGTGTCACCCAGGCTGTAGGGCAGTGCCACGATCTCAGCTCACTGCAACCTCTGCCTTCAGGGCTCAAACAACCCTCCCCCCTCAGCCTCCCGAATAGCTGGGACTACAGGCTGTACCACCACGCCCAGCTAATTTTTTGCATTTTTGTAGAGACGGGGTTTTGCCATGTTGCCCAGGCTGGTCTCAAACTCCTGAGCTCAAGCAAATCCACCTGCCCCAGTCTCCCAACGTGCTGAGATTACAGGCGTGAGCCACTACACCTGGCCAAGACTTTGGTTTTATATTCAGTAAAATGAGGCGCCCTTGGAGGGTCTTGAGTAAAGCGGAGACAGAATCCGATCTCCCCCTCTTTTAAAGGGTACTCTGTCTGCTGTGCTGAGGATAAACTGTAGACTATCTCAAAGCCAGTAGCATAGTATTTTATTTTTCTTATTTAATATTGCCCAGATATTTAAGTTCTTATCTGTTGTTACCTTTGGAAGTTTTCATTTTTTAACATCTACTCTCTACATTTTACTCTTTTCTGATTATAAAATTAATATGGATCATTGAGGAACATTTACAATTATAGACAAGCATAAATAAATAAACACCTTCCAAAAATCCAGAATCAGAGACAACCACTGTTAATATTTAGTATATTCCAACCATTTTTCTGTGTCTTTTTTCTTTATATTATTGAACCTGTGTTTTAAAATGAATATCTTAAGTCTTTTCCGGTGTAATCAAGAACTCTTTGTAAACATTCTGTCATATAGATATTCTCCTAATTGAGGACATTTAAATTGTTTTCATTTCTTTCTCTTATTACTGTGTGCATAGCTCTCTGTCTACATTTTAGATTCTATCCTTAGAATGGATTTCTAGGAGGAAAATCAATGATTATTTTCTTGTAGACTCTTGAGTTATTTTATTTTTCTAATAATTAGCTGGTCTGTAATTTTATGTAATTAAAAAAATAAGGGTGCATGGATGATACATTTTCTGAGTCCTTGGCTCTCTGAGAATTTTTGCCTTTATACAAAAAAGACCACTTTACAGATAATGCAATTAATCCTGATCTTTCCCACTCAAAATTCTGTGGATTCTACCCCTGTTGTCCACCAGCCACATTAAGAAAAGAGGGAGAAATGGAAAATATAACAGCTTGGAGAATTGGTACCCAGAAAATGAGAGCGAATAGTGAAATGGTGAAAGAGATGATAATGTGTTTTTTAAAAATTAATTAATTAAAAGATATAAGAGAGGCCAGGTACAGTGGCTCACACCTGTAATCCCGACATTTTGGGAAGCTGAGGCAGGAGGATTGCTTGAGCCTAGGAGTTTGAGACCAGCCTGGGAGATATGGCAAGACTTTTTCTCTGCAAAAAAATACAAAAATTAGCTGGGCATCGTGGTGAGCGCCTGCAGTCCCAGCTTCCTGGGAGGTTGAGGCGGGAGGATCACTTCTGCCCGGGGGGTGGAGGTGGCAGTGGGCTGAGATCGTGCCACTGCACTCCAGCCTTAGTGAGAAAGGCTCACTGAGGTCTTTAGAGCAAGGCCCTGTCTCTAAAATAAAACAAAAGATCTAAGAGAAGGAATAGAAACCAGGTTGAACAAACCAGACCTTTGAGAAAAGTACAAGCAAATTTGGAAAAGAACCCCAGGAACCATTTTCATCCCTAAAAATGAGAGATCTCACGAATGAATTTTAAAACTCGGTTGAACTATATTTTAGTCATTTCTTAGCACGGTGAACCTTGTCATTCCTATTAACAGCCACAGATGTTTCCTTATCATTTGCTTCTCATTGGTTATTTTAAATGTTTGATTCCTGATTGGTGCTCCCAACTGTCTCGTCCCCGATTTCCTCTGTACCAACTGTCCTGGAGACGAGGTTCTTGAGACCACACAGAACCGTGACATCCTCCTAATGAGCTGCTTGCCTTTGTAAACTGGCTGCTTAGCTCAGAGCTCCATTTCCCAGCTCTGGACTTTCCATTCCATTCCCGCTGTGGACTGGCACACTCTAGTCCCTCGCCTGGTTTTCTTGCTGGTGGATTAATAAACTGTGATGTGTGTTCAAGATTTAAATAAACAAAAAAGGGAATAAGCCTGGGCATGGTGGCTCACACCTGTAATCCCAGCACTTTGGGAGGCCAAGGTGGGCAGATTGCTTGAGCCCAGGAGCTTGAGACCAGCCTGGGCAACATGGTGAAACACCCTCTCTACAAAAAATCCCCACATTAGCCAGGTATAGTGGCACACGCCTGTAGCCTCAGCTATCAGGAGGCTGAGGTGGGAGGACTGCTTAAGCCCCAGAGGTCGAGGCTGCGGTGAACCGTAATTGCACCAATGTACTCCAGCCTGGGAGCTTATGGTTCCAAACTGTACTCAGAAACACTTGTGTGCAGTTTGAAGAATCATAATAAAAGAGGTACCCACTAATTACCACTGGAGTCGTTACCCCACTGCAGACGTCCCCATGCTTAGTTCTGCTTGTGTTTGAATGTGACATAAACAAGGTGGATCTGTGTGTATTTTTCTGTGCATTTCTTCTTTATTCGACATTGTGATCTTGAAATTCACCCATGTTGATGTGTGTAGCTGTATTCATTCCCATCACTGTGGTCTATATCCCATTGTAAAAAATACGTACCTATTTATCCATTCTACCATTGGTGATCATTTTGGTTACTCTCCTTTTTTTGTTTTTTGTTTTTTTTGCTGTTATGAATAATTGTGCTGTAAACATTCATGTCTCCTGGAGTACATGTTCATGTACAAGAGTTTCTGCAGATTTTAGGCCTGAGGGTTTCTCTTGGATTATGGGGTGTGTCCACATTCAACTCTATTGGGTAATTCCTGATCATTTTCCAGAGTGCCTGTATTAATACCAGCTCATGCTCCTATGAGCCTAGAACAGCATTCCAGCTACTCTGTTTTCTCCGTGACCACGTCTGCTCTTTCCCCTCCGGTGTAAGTTTCGATTCTGTTCTCCACTCTGGTTTCCCGGCAGTCCTCCATTATTTCCTTTATTTTGCTCCTTTTCTTCTTTTGGTTTTCTATTTTATTAGTAAGGCCCGTCTTTATGTTTCCTAGACACCAAACAATTGTCTAATTATGTTCCTGAGCCCTAGCATGCCACATTCACCTGCACTAAACACTTTGGAGGTTTTCCCCTCCCCGCTTCTGCAGCAGCCTAAGCCCCGCAGACCCAGGATTGACTCCAAGGCGTCTCCTCATAGCCCCTCCCTTGGTCTGGGATTGTGCCTGTGACCCTGCCCCATGCAGGAGGCACCTTTGACTCTCCTGCGACCTGGCCCGTCGGAACCAGGGAGGACGAGGGACCGCAGCCCCTGGCTTATGCTGTCTCCTCCGCTCTTCCTGCTCTCCCTGCTCTCCCAGATGCAGCCTTGCTTCAGGAAATACTCCTTCCCCAATGCAACTCACATTGCCGGACTGGCTAGATTCTGGAAGCTGTATCTCCCAGGGATGACAGGAGGGTTGGCGGAGGGAGGACAGCCCCTGTGGCCCCAGGAACTGGCAGCCCTGAAGTGCCAGGAAGGCTGCCCAGGCGGCTTCAGCTGCTGCCCCTACTCCAGCCAGGCAGGCGAGGCCCAGGTGGGCAGGCGAGGCCCAGGTGGTCCATGGCACGCCTCCCGTCTCCCGCCTCATCCCCTCACCTGATGTGGAGCCTGGTGCTGAGCTGTCAGAGGCCCCGGGCTGGGGTTTCGCGGTGCCTTTTCCACGTGCTTTCATGGGTGCGTTAGTTGGGGCTGGGAGGAACGGCCCTGGCGGCTTCTAAGCACAGGATGTTGCAAACCAGAAATTCATTTCATTTACTGTTTAGCCTCGAATCCCTATCCACTAAACGAAAACGAAGAATGACTCACTCAAAGTGATGCTGTAATCAGTAGAAAAGTTCACTGGAATCTAGATTCCCCAGGATTCTGCAAACCATTCCTGCAGCGTCTCAAACGTACCTGGGCCATAAGAAAGCTTCTTGGAGGACACAGATGTTATCTGAGGGGGGGTGGCCTAGAAAGGGGTGAAGAAGACCAATTTTTAAGGAGCTGAAAGCTGGTTAAGACAATTAGCGTGTTCTTCTCTGTTCAGCATTGGCTTTGCCTCCTCAATTTCCCGCCACATCCTGATTATAACCCGGCAGCCACGGGCCACAGCCAGCACTCAGTGTCTCCTGCAGTGTGTTGTATATAAAGGTGCTCGGGAAAAGTTTGTGGATTGAAAGAGAAATTTGCAAAGAAATTTCGTGTTCCGATCTCTTCAGAATCTTTTCCCTGTGGGGCACTTTGGATATCCCCGACGTCGCCCTCGCAGGGGTCTCTCCCCGACGTCGCCCTCGCTGGGGTCTCACCCTGAAGTCACCCTTGCTGGGGTCTCTCCCTGACGTCGCCCTCGCTGGGGTCTCTCCCTGACGTCACCCTTGCTGGGGTCTCTCCCTGACGTCACCCTCGCAGGGGTCTCTCCCTGACGTCGCCCTCGCTGGGGTCTCTCCCTGACATCACCCTTGCTGGGGTCTCTCCCTGACGTCACCCTCGCTGGGGTCTCTCCCTGACGTCACCCTCGCTGGGGTCTCTCCCTGACGTCGCCCTCGCTGGGGTCTCTTCCTGATGTTGCCCTCGCTGGGGTCTCTTCCTGACGTCGCCCTCGCTGGGGTCTCTCCCTGACGTCACCCTCGCTGGGGTCTCTCCCTGACGTCACCCTCGCTGGGGTCTCTCCCTGACGTCGCCCTCGCTGGGGTCTCTTCCTGACGTCACCCTCGCTGGGGTCTCTCCCTGACGTCACCCTCGCTGGGGTCTCTCCCTGACGTCACCCTCGCTGGGGTCTCTCCCTGACGTCACTCTCGCTGGGGTCTCTCCCTGACGTCACTCTCGCTGGGGTCTCTCCCTGACGTCACCCTCGCTGGGGTCTCTCCCTGACGTCGCCCTCGCTGGGGTCTCACCCTGACGTAGCCCTTGCTGGGGTCTCTCCCTGACGTCACTCTCGCTGGGGTCTCTCCCTGACGTCGCCCTCGCTGGGGTCTCTTCCTGAAGTCACCCTCGCTGGGGTCTCTCCCTGACGTCACCCTCGCTGGGGTCTCTCCCTGACGTCGCCCTCGCTGGGGTCTCTCCCTGACGTCGCCCTCGCTGGGGTCTCTCCCTGACGTCACTCTCGCTGGGGTCTCTCCCTGACGTCACTCTCGCTGGGGTCTCTCCCTGACGTCACCCTCGCTGGGGTCTCTCCCTGACGTCGCCCTCGCTGGGGTCTCACCCTGACGTAGCCCTTGCTGGGGTCTCTCCCTGACGTCACCCTCGCTGGGGTCTCTCCCTGACGTCGCCCTCGCTGGGGTCTCTCCCTGACGTAGCCCTCGCTGGGGTCTCTTCCTGAAGTCACCCTCGCTGGGGTCTCTCCCTGACGTCACCCTCGCTGGGGTCTCTCCCTGACGTCGCCCTCGCTGGGGTCTCTCCCTGACGTCACTCTCGCTGGGGTCTCTCCCTGACGTCACTCTCGCTGGGGTCTCTCCCTGACGTCACCCTCGCTGGGGTCTCTCCCTGACGTCGCCCTCGCTGGGGTCTCACCCTGACGTAGCCCTCGCTGGGGTCTCTCCCTGACGTCACTCTCGCTGGGGTCTCTCCCTGACGTCGCCCTCGCTGGGGTCTCTCCCTGACGTCACCCTCGCTGGGGTCTCTCCCTGACGTCGCCCTCGCTGGGGTCTCTTCCTGATGTCACCCTCGCTGGGGTCTCTCCCTGACGTCACCCTCGCTGGGGTCTCTCCCTGACGTCACCCTCGCTGGGGTCTCTCCCTGACGTCACCCTCGCTGGGGTCTCTCCCTGACGTCACCCTCGCTGGGGTCTCTCCCTGAAGTCACCCTCGCTGGGGTCTCTCCCTGACGTCACCCTCGCTGGGGTCTCACCCTGACGTAGCCCTTGCTGGGGTCTCTCCCTGATGTCGCCCTTGCTGGGATCTCACGTCGCCACTGGCCCACTGAGGCTGGGTCTTTATTTCTTCCTTCTGGCCCCTCTCTCCTGCTTGTTGATTGACTAAAAAAAGAAAAGTGGCTTCACAGGGTTGGTCTTACATGGTTTTTTGGTGTGTGTGTGTGTGTGTGTGTGACTTAAATAATACTTTAAGTTCTAGGGTACATGTGCTCAATGTGCAGGTTCGTTACATCTGTATACCTGTGCCATGTTGGTGTGCTGCACCCATTAACTGGTCATTTTAGCATTAGGTATATCTCCTAATGCTATCCCTCCCCCCTCCCCCCACCCCACAACAGTCCCTGGAGTGTGATGTTCCCTTTCCTGTGTCCATGTGTTCTCATTGTTCAATTCCCACCTATGAGTGAGAACATGCGGTGTTTGGTTTTCTGTCCTTGCGATAGTTTGCTGAGAATGATGGTTTCCAGCTTCATCCATGTCCCTACAAAGGACATGAACTCATCCTTTTTTATGGCTGCATAGTACTCCATGGTGTATATGTGCCACATTTTCTTAATCCAGTCTATCACTGATGGACATTTGGGTTGGTTCCAAGTCTTTGCTATTGTGAATAGTGCTGCAATAAACATACGTGTGCATGTGTCTTTATAGCAGCATGATTTATAGTCCTTTGGGTATATACCCAGTAATGGGATGGCTGGGTCAAATGGTATTTCTAGTTCTAGATCCCTGAGGAATCACCACACTGTCCTCCACAATGGTTGAACTAGTTTACATTCCCCCAACAGTGTAAAATTGTTCCTATTTCTCCACATCCTCTCCAGCACCTGTTGTTTTCTGACTTTTTAATCATCGCCATTCTAACTGGTGTGAGATGGTATCTCATTGTGGTTTTGACTTGCATTTCTCTGATGGCCAGTGATGGTGAGCATTTTTTCATGTGTTTTTTGGCTGCATAAATGTCTTCTTTTGAGAAGTGTCTGTTCTTATCCTTTGCCCACTTTTTGATGGGGTTGTTTGATTTTTTCTTGTAAATTTGTTTTAAGTTCTTTGTAGATTCTGGATACTGGAAACATTCCCTTTGAAAACTGGCACAAGACAGGGATGCCCTCTCTCGCCACTCCTATTCAACATACTGTTGGAAGCTCTGGCCAGGGCAATCAGGCAGGAGAAAGAAATAAAGGGTATTCAATTAGGAAAAGAGGAAGTCAAATTGTCCCTATTTGCAGATGACATGATTGTATATCTAGAAAACCCTGTTGTCTCAGCCCAAAATCTCCTTAAGCTGATAAGCAACTTCAGCAAAGTCTCAGGGTACAAAATCAATGTGCAATAATCACAAGCATTCCTATACATCAATAACAGAGTACCAAATCATGAGTGAACTCCCATTCACAATTGCTTCAAAGAGAATAAAATACCTAGGAATCCAACTTACAAAGGATGTGAAGGACCTCTTCAAGGAGAACTACAAACCACTGCTCAACAAAATAAGAGAGGGCACAAACAAATGGAAGAACATTCCATGCTCATGGATAGGAAGAATCAATATTGTGAAAATGGCCATACTGCCCAAGGTAATTTGTAGATTCATTGCCATCCCCATCAGGCTACCAATGACTTTCTTCACAGAATTGGAAAAAACTACTTTAAAGTTCATATGGAACCAAAAAAGAGCCCGCATTGCCAAGTCAATTCTAAGCCAAAAGAACAAAGCTGGAGGCATCACGCTACCTGATTTCAGACTATACTACAAGGCTATAGTAACCAAAACAGCATGGTACTGGTACCAAAACAGAGATATAGACCAATGGAACACAACAGAGGCCTCAGAAATAATACCACACATCTACAACCATCTGATCTTTGACAAACCTGACAAAAACAAGAAATGGGGAAAGGATTCCCTATTTAATAAATGGTGCTGGGAAAACTGGCTAGCCATACGTGGAAAGCTGAAACTGGATCCCTTCCTTACACCTTATACAAAAATTAATTCAAGATGGATTAAAGACTTAAATGTTAGACCTAAAACCATAAAAACCCTAGAAGAAAACCTAGGCTTTACCATTCAGGACATAGGCATGGGCAAGGACTTCATGTCTAAAACACCAAAAGCAATGGCAACAAAAGCCAAAATAGACAAATGGGATCTAATTAAACTAAAGAGCTTCCACACAGCAAAGGAAACTATGATCAAAGTGAACAGGCAACCTACAGAATGGGAGAAATTTTTTTTTTTTTTCTTTTGTGGAGTTGGCATCTCACGATGTTGCCAAGGCTGGCCTCAAACTCCTGAGCTCAACCAATCCTCCTGCCTCTGCTGCCCTAAGTGCTGGGATTACAGGCATGAGCCGCCATGCCTGGCAGGGTTGGTTTTTAAATCCTCTCCAACTCACTTATCCTGGAGGTGACCAGCAGCCCACTGGGGTCTTCCAGCTGGGAGACTCTTCCTCAGTCTGGGCCTCACAGGCCTACGGAAGGTCAGGATCATCGGGGGCTCCCAAACTCCGCAGCCAGCCCAGCCGCTGGTGGGAACTGGCCGTGCTAGCCAAGCCCCAGCCCAGCATCCTTGCGGCACCTGCTTCCCGGGCAGGCGGCCTGTGCTCACCGCAAGCTGCCATCTGTTTCTCCATGCTGTTTCTCTCCTGGTTCTGCTGTTACTTGCAGTTTGGATTTTTGCTGCAAACAGCTTTGCCAGAGGGCCCCCTCTGGAGGTCTGTGAGTGCATTCGGGAGTGGGTGGCTGGTGCTGGGGCGGGCGGCTGCCTGAGCACCCCACCGTCTGTGCCTGCCTCACTCTGGGCTGCTGTCACGGCATCCCTGGGGGACCCGGATGGTCATACTTCCTCAGTGTGTTGGTCGCCTCCCACGCCTCTGTGGCTCTGCCAGAGAGACCCGCTATCAGTGCAGCCTCCTGGCCTCCCACACATGGGTGGTGGCAGGAGGAGGGGGCTCCTGGTGCTCACCAGCCCCCAGGGCAGT
Organism: Homo sapiens; assembly: GCF_000001405.40. Taxonomy (NCBI): domain Eukaryota; kingdom Metazoa; phylum Chordata; class Mammalia; order Primates; family Hominidae; genus Homo; species Homo sapiens. Next base: position 238,486 of record NW_003315952.3, on the reverse strand, counting down.
CTGCCTCATGGGGACTCCTGCACTGCACCCCTGCAGATGGACTGAGCCATCCCATCTTCCCCTGCCCCTTGCCTGGGGCGTCTACCTGAGCCCACGTCTGTGCACTGGAGAAGTTTGCCTCTGAGGCACTGAGAGATCCAAGAGGCTGCTGACTCTTTCAGCACAGTGCTCCAGTCCGTGAGTTCATCGTTCACACACAGGCACACCGAAGGACTCCCATCGTTCATAGCAGATGTGAGCTGAGTGCCCACTAAGGGCCAGGCCATGATCATCTCGCTTCATCCCCACGGGAGCCCATTGTCCTCTGTGACAGGTGGAGAAACTGAAGCTTAGAGAGAAGAGGTCACTTGCCCAAAGACGTTGGGTAGTAATTGATGGTGCCAGGGATGAAGCCGGATGCGTCTTCCTCCAGAACACCTTCTAACAGCTCTATTCTTGAATCACTTATTCCTCTAATGTTCACTGAGGATTTGCTATGTGCCGGGCACTGTTCGAGGCCCTTGGAAAACAGCAACGGTGAAATAGCTTTGCCTGGAGCTTGCGTTCCAGCAAGGGGGCCAGGGCTGAGGGTGGGGAACAGACGATGAAACATAAACAAATAAGCAAATCGTATCATACACTAGATGCTGAACAGGAAAAAGAATAAGTAGGTCAGGCACGGTGGCTCACACCCAGCACTCTGGGAGGCTGAGGCAAGAGGACTGCTTGAGGCCACAGAAGTTCAAGACCAGCCTGGGCAACATGGCGATCCCTCGTCTCTAAAAAATAAAAAATCGGCCAGGCACGGTGGCTCACGCCTGTGATCCCAGCACTTTAGGAAGCCAAGGCGGGCGGATTATGAGGTCAGGAGATCGAGACCATCCTGGCTAACACGGTGAAACCCCGTCTCTACTAAAAATACAAAAAATTAGCCAGGCGTGGTGGCGGGCGCCTGTAGTCCCAGCTACTCGGGAGGCTGAGGCAGGAGAATGGCGTGAACCCGGGAGGCAGAGCTTGCGGTGAGCCGAGATCGCGGCACTGCACTCCAGCCTGGGTGACGGAGCGAGACTCCGTCTCAAAAAAATAATAATAAATAAAAAATAAAAAATCATCCAGGCCTGGTAGCATGAACCTATAGTCCCAGCTACTCAGGAGGCTGAGGCGGGAGGATTGCTTGAGCCCCAGAGTTTGAGACCAGTCTGGGTAACATGGCGAAACCTGTCACTACAAAAAGTTTTTAAAAATTAGCCTGGTGTAGTGGGGGCATGTCTAGTGGCCCCAGCTACTTGGGAGGCTGAGGTCGGAGGATTGCTTGAACCTGGGAGGCGGAGGCTGCAGTGAGCCGAGATGGTGCCACAGTACTTCAGCCTGGGCAACAGCGTGAGATCCTGCCTCAAAAAAAAAAAAAAAAAAAAAAAAACCCAAAAACATACTTAAAATCTTAATATAACTATTAACTCTCCAAAACTTAACTAATAGTCTACTGTTGACTGGAAGACTTACCAATAAAAAACATTCAGTTAACACATATTTTGTATATTATATGCATTATATACTATATTCTTACAATAAAATAAGCTAGAGAAAAGAAAATGTTATTAAGAAAATCATGAGGAAGAGAGAATATATTTACTCTTCATGAAGGGGAAGTGGGTCATCGTGAAGGTCTTCATCCTCATCGTCTTCGTGTTGGGTAGGCTGAGGAGGAAGGGGAGTTGGTTTTATTGTCACAGGGGTGACGGGGAGATGAGGAGGAGGAAGAGGAGGGGTTGCTTTCGTTGTCACAAGGGTGATGGAGGGAGAGGAAAATCCAGCTAGGAGTGGGCCTGTGCAGTTCCAGCCCATGTGGTTCATGGGTCAACTGTATTTATTTAGAAATGCATACATACATACAAGGTTTTTTTAAACTAGAAAAGCAAGAGATTGCTTAATACAAAATTCCAGATGGTGGTTACCTCTGAGAGGGAGGGTGGGTTTACGGGAGCTTCTCACATCCAGCACCATTTTATTTCTTGATGAGCTCACAGGTATTTACTGGAATATGATTCTTTGAAATGTCTGTATGAAATACACTTTTGTAGATTTGCTAGCTTTCACGGGCATACACCCAAAAGATGAGAGGAGGTCGCTAAAATCAGGCAAAAAATAAGAAGCTTGAATCAGTGATTTGGAGAGACCTGTAGGATCTCCCAGAATGCAGGGAAAAACCAAAGAGCTAAACGTGGTCAGGGAGACAGTGATGACTGTGGAAGACAGAGGAAGCAATGGGACTTCAGAACTAGAGGCTTTCCCCAGCAGGGAACAAGACCCGTCGGAAATGAGCCACTAATCAAATACGTAATCAAAAAAAGTGTCCCCAGATGCAGGCCGCCCGCTCTGCACCACCCTCGAGCCCTGCCGATTGGGGTCAGCCCAGACAGGGTTTCACTTTGGCTTGGGAGAACATATTTCTGAGACTGTGTTTAAACACAGGCACATTTGTTGTCCTGGGAATTGAATCAAAATCATGACGCTCGTCTGAAAAGACCTGGCTCGGTCTAATTGGCCTGTCCAATTTTCCGCCTCCAGCCCCTATTCATTTCCTGCATGCAGCCCACTCCGTCTGGGAACAGAGGCGGCTTCGCAGCCAATCACCATTGTAACAGGCCTGCCCTCTCTCAAACCGGTGTCAGAGCAGCCTCAGTACTGGGGCTCCAAAGGATTTCATGCCGCGTGCCAGTTGAAAGTGAGGGGAGTCTGTCAAATGTTGACAACACAAGTCATTAAGAGCAGCAGATGAAAGTGTCATTAGCCTCCATGCATTTGCTGAGCTTACAAGAGCATCTGGACAAAGGGAGAGGATGGCGCGCAGGACCAGAGGGAAGACAGGGGCCCCTGTTCTCAGCAGCTTGTAGGGACCTTTCCTCATCACAGGTGACGTGAGAGATGATGCAAAGGCCATGGGGTGCCCACGGGGCACAGACCCCGAGGCTGGGCTACAAGGCAGGGTGAGGCCAGAGATGAAGCTTGGCGACCTGTCCCAGGGTTCTCCCTGATCCAGGGGCACGCAGCCCTACAGGCATCGGGAGCCAGCGTTGGGCAACACCTCCCTCTGCGACTGGCAAATGCTCCTTACCGGTAATTGTGTAGAAGCCTCACAGGAGCCAGTCCCCGGCCAGGGGTTAATGGAAGCCAAAGCATTTCCTCTAGTTCTGAAATAATCTAGCCGAGGTGTTTAAATCATCTGTCAAGAAAACAGCACCCTCAGAATTCTGTTTCTCACTGCCGTTTTTCCTTTCTACTGTGCTGGCAGTTGCCTGCCTCCCAGACTGACCTGGTTGCTCAAAAACCCACTTGGAATGAAGAGGAAACTCACTCAGGCTCTGGAGAAAGCTGTGCTCTCCTGGGCTGAGTGGGGAGCTTTGCTGCCCCAGGGGGGATTTGGAAGAAAGGACAGGGGCAGGTGCTCTATCTTTCCTGGGGTGTGATTTCCAGCGCATCTTCTGATGAGGGCGGGGCCCTCCAACTGGGTACAGGGGAGCCAGCCGGCCACCTGCAGCATGGGGAGGCAGCAGACTTTCCAGGCAGGATGAATTTTATGAATCTGTGCACTCCCACTGGAGTTGAGGGGAGCACAGGGATGACGGGGGCTTTCTCCCTGGCTCACCAGCATGCACGCAGGTGCACACACACACACCCCACTGGGGAGCACAGGGATGATGGGGGCTTTCTCCCTGGCTCACCAGCATGCATGCAGGTGCACGCACACACACACACACACACACACACACCACTGGGGCCTTAAAGTGTCATCTTTTAAAACACAAATACATGAATCCTCCTGGAAGGGGTCTCACTTCGCTTTGAGCTCACACCTCAATTAGGAATGAGTTAGCACTTCAGAAGGGATTGGACCAGATGGATGCCTGGGTGGGGAGAGGGGCAGGAGGAAGAGGCTGCCCACAGCTCTGCCCAGCTGCCCTGGTGTGGCTCAGACCCTCTTGGGGGCTTGGATCGCTTGCTTGTGCTTTGCCCCCTCACGCTGAACATCCGCCGTGAGCGGAGACTCACCCTGTGGGGTGGAAGTCAGCAGAACCCTCCCAGAACAGAAGGGCCCAAAGGCGAGGCGTGAACACTCACAAGGAGAGAAGACAGCCCACTGTGGATCTGTGCCACCGGCCTCCCGTCTGCAAGAACATTGGCTTTTGTTTCCTTAGCTCAATCTTAGAACTGTACACGAGATGCTTAGTAAATGTGATTTGAATGAATTAATATCCACTGACTCCCTTTTCAGATGTTGTTTGTGTCATTTTCCAGAGGTCAGGGAAGGAAATAATGAGGAAAGAGTTATTCTAAACTTAATTCCTACTGAAAGGAAAAGGACAACAACAAGGAGAAATTATAAACAGAGCACAAGGGAGGGAAGAGGGAAGAGGGAATAAAAGAAAAAGCCATCAGCAGATCAAGTATTTCAGGATGACGAACGTTTTTCCTAGTTTTAATTCTGCTGGTTGTCTTAGGTGGATATGTGTATGCATATATATATAACTTTTGAATATTCAAAGCTATACTTATCTAATTACTTATATTACAATACAAAAAATATCTCTTGGCCAGGCACCTGTAATCCCAGCACTTTGAGAGGCCGAGGTGGGAGGATCGCTTGAGTATAGGAGTCTGAGACCAACCTGGGCAAAATGGCGAAATCTCATCTCTCTTAAAAAGAAATTACAAAAATAAATTAGCTGGGCATGGTGGCATGCGCCTGCAGTCCCAGCTACTCGGGAAGCCTAGGTGGGAGGATCGATTGAGCCTCGGAGGTGGAGGTTGCAGTGAGCTGAGACTGCACCACTACATTCCAGCCTGGGTAACAGAGCAAGGCCCTGTCTCAAAGAAGAAAAAATGTCTCTTAATTCCCTCTTCTCATAAAGTATGAGGCACCCAGTGTGTTTTATTTCCAGCTACTTTTTGGGTTTTATTGAGACAATCTGGAATTTTGGGTCAGATTTGTTTTGTTAACTGATTCTTTTATATCTACTTTCAAAGCATAATTTCTTATACATTTTCATGTTTTGCAGTTATGTGTACATTAGTAATTTAGACTGAGTTTTGTCTTGCATTGACCACTGTGAATTTTCAGGTACCACGAGTTCCCCATTCTTGAGATGTTTATTTCACTTCAACCATTGGTCACCTGAGCTGTGATATACCTGTAAACAGGTGTTTGGGGAAGAATGGCTGCATTCTGTGTTCCATTTTTGCTGATACCGGTCACAGGTGGAAGGGTCATCCTCCACGCTTAGAAGAGCAAATGCTGACCTCTTCCTGCGTTGGTCCTGTGTGGTCACAAATGTGTCCAATAGGCCTTGTGACATGCTTCATGCCCTCCTCACACCGATCAGCGGAAAACCACCATGCAGTGGTCACACACACGGTGCGGATTCTGAGTCCCCATCCAGCGCGCACGGCTCCGAAGGGTAATCCTGCTGTCAACATGCTGCGGATTCTGAGTCCCCATCCAGCGCTCGCGGCTCCGAAGGGTAATCCTGCTGTCAACATGCTGCAGATTCTGAGTCCCCATCCAGCGCGCACGGCTCCGAAGGGTAATCCTGCTGTCAACGTGCTGCGGATTCTGAGTCCCCATCCAGCGCGCACGGCTCCGAAGGGTAATCCTGCTGTCAACGTGCTGCGGATTCTGAGTCCCCATCCAGCGCTCGCGGCTCCGAAGGGTAATCCTGCTGTCAGCCAGAACTTTGAGGTAGGGTGGTTCTATTCGGGTTTGAGTGACAGATGGCATTTCCGGCAGAAAACAATGCTAGAAACAAGTGTGTATGTTACCTCAGTACACCTCACGTTTGCTGAGCTTGTTCAGTATCGGTGTGGGTCCAAGGCTCTTGGAGAGTCCGGCTTGTCGCACGCGGCCAAAATCGTGGCTTTGAAATCTGATCAGAGATCCCCGCCCAGCCATCTTGGAAAGCAGCATCGCGTCCGCTAACAGCACGATACCCTCAGGCCCTTGTTTCCTGCTGGACCCAGCTCTGCCTGCCCGTCTGCAGTGAAACTTTGGTTCCCCCTTGAAAACCCGTCGAGGTGCCCACGGCCACAATTCCGACTCCGGGCGGTTAGGTGGGTGCAGTGATGTGTGGGAAGGAACTTGGCCTTCTTCAGGGACGGGAGTGTCGGTGTGTTACCAACTCATACCGACGTTCTCAAACTAACCGTAACTTCACAAAGTCTCTTCCATGGCAGGAAATTTTACTTACTGCATTCCTTTCCTTTCCTGAGCTACCAGCTTTCCTCCCTTAAGCCACATCCAGATTCAGTGTGCCAGCCACAGACTGTGCCAGCTCCCCACGAGTCGACCTACCGTGCAGACCGAGGATTTAATAATATCAGCATCCAATTACCAATCTGTTACATTTTAATTTTAATCAAAGTAACACATCATATGGTTTTAAAAAATCAAATTGTTCGGAAGAGCTAACGTTGGGGAACGGCAGTCGCCCGGCGGCTCCTTGCCAGCGCGTCACCCGCTGCTGCCTGTTCGTCCACGTGCTGGATCCTGCCGTGCCTTTCTTGATGTACCAACTTGGGAGACTCTCTATTGACTCCTGGCCATGCAAGATGAGGAGCTGGCCAGCTTGGACTCCTCTGCTTCCCCTCTGTCCCCTGATGTTGATCGTTGTGTTATTACTTTCGGCTCTTTGATTAAGTTTGTGACTTTGTATAATATTTTCCTCTGTCTTCTTCCGTCAGCTTTGGTACCCTTGACTCCCTGTGTGTGAGCTGTGGATATGGAGGCCGCCTCTTCCTCCCCCATGCCCACCTCCCTCCTTGTCTAGATGGTATCTTTAGTTGTAGATTGCCAGAATTTACATGTAGATTCTGTTCTTTAGCTATAATGAATTCTTCCATGCTTTATGATTTGTGCCCAGGTCTTCATGCACGTGGCAGAGTGATGACACAAAGAGGCTAATGTCATTGGAAGAATTTCTTGCTCACAGTTCCTGAGAGGAGGGGACCACCATGTCGGGCAGGGCCACGTGGGGAAGCACCAGAGCCAGTCGTGGGCAGAGGAGAGGGGAAAACACATCCACAGCCTTTACTGGGGCTTCTGCGGGGAAAGCAAAGTGGGGTCGGACTGAATAACCCTGCAGGCTTTGTGGCATAGGGGCTGTCCCTAGTTGTGTGCTCCCTGACTCTCCACTGATTTAGGGCAGGGGGAATATTGGCTTGGTGTGTGGGCGTTAGATAAAGGAGATGGCTCGGGGCATGGGCTTAGGATTCGTTTGATGGTTTGTCGCTTGACTTTTGCACGCCTGCAAGAGCTGGGTCACAGGGGAGATGTAAACAGCTTGGCCAGGCTGGCCTTGAATTCCTGGCCTCAAGCGATCCTCCCACCTCGGCCTCCCAAAGGGTTGGGATTATGAGCGTGAGCCGCTGCACCTGGCTGGGATTTACATTGTAAAAATTATTTTGTTGGCCGGGTGCGGTGGCTCACGCCTGTAATCCCAGCACTTTGGGAGGCCGAGGCGGGTGGATCACGAGGTCAGCAGTTCAAGACCAGCCCGGCGAACATGGTGAAACCCCGTCTCTACTAAAAATACAAAAATTAGCCGGGCCTGGTGGCGGGTGCCTGTAATCCCAGCTACTCAGGAGGCTGAGGCAGAATTGCTTGAACCCGGGAGGCGGAGGTTGCAGTGAGCCGAGATTGTGCCGCTGCACTCCAGCCTGGGTGACAGAGCGAGACACCATCTAAAAAAAAAACTGTAAACATGAAACGTCTTAGGCTCAAACGTATGTGAGGATCACATTTTTATAACGACCTTGACCCCTAGACCACCCCAAGGAGAATGTTCCCACCATTCTGAGCAAACATTCCTTTTTAACTCTGAATTTCTTCATCCCTGTCATATTTTAATTTACCCAATATTTGGACCATGATGTTCTTGTGTAACTTTTCGTTTTTCCTGGAGTTTTTATTGACTGTGTTTCTTATTGACAACAGAATAATGAAACTTTACATCCTCTTTTATGCAGCTTTTTTATTTTACCATCTATCGTGTGGAGCCTTCTGTTTTCCTGTGAGACGCCCTCCAGACCCCAGAGTAGTTCCTGAGCGCTGCCTTCCGGGAACTTCCCCTCAGCTCACCTTTTGAGTTGGAGACTGTTTCCAGGATCCTGTGTTTTCCCTTTCTTGTTTTTCACTTGTGTTTTTCTGGAACCCGTCCTAAGTTCTTAAAAAGAGTGTGTGTAAGGGAAACTCAGCGTCCTTATGAGTTTAAAAACATCTGTGTTCTGCCCTCCCATTGTGTTGATAGTTTGGCTGATAGAATTCTAGATCCAGAGTCTTTGGGCGGCCACTGTTACCAGTGATAAGTCTAATGCGATTCTGGGTCTGGTTTCCTTATAGCTGGCCTATCTTTTCCATGGTAGTCAACTTGAGCCACCATAACAACATACCATAGACTGAGTGGTGTAAACAGTGGGAATTTGTTTCTCAGAGCTCTGGGGACAGGGAAGTCCAAGATCAAGGGGCTGGCTGATCCAGATCCCTGGTGAATTCGGATCCCTGGTGAAGGCTCTCTTTCTGGCTTGCAGCTGGCTGTGTTCCCGCTGTGCCCTCACATGGCAGAGAGAGAGAGGAAGCACATTCTCCTGGTGTCTCTCTCTTCATAAGGGCAGCAATCACCCTCATGGCCTCATCTAAACCTAATTCCCTTCCCAAGGTCCATTGTCACTCACAAGTACATGAAGGTTAGAGCTTCAACATGTGGATTTGGAGGACACAGTTCAGCCCCCAGCACCCTCGAGGAGCCTGTGCTTCTCCTAAGTAACTTGAGTTACTTAAGCCTTGCAATTTGGATGGGTGTTCAGCTGACTATTTGTTGGGTATCTGCTGTGTGCTGGCACCTGCCGGGCACTCTGCCTGGCTCCCGCCATCATGGGGTCTTCCATCCTCAGGAAACAGACACAGAAACAGGTGATCATAACCCAGGGAGTGTGCATAGCTGTGGAAACATGCAAGATTATGTCTGGAAGCTTCTGGATAAAAGTGATTTCCCAAAGGCTGGAGACGAGCTAGTCCAGGGAAGGGAGAAGGAACAACGTGTCCAAAAGGAGAGCTTAGTGTGGTCAAGGCAGTGAGAGCAGCTGTGCCTGGTGATGGGGGTGGGGGAGGTGAGAGGTGAGGCTGAGAGGGAGGCCGGGTCCTGGGGTGTTGTTGGCCTGCTGCGGACTTGTTTAACTTGCCTCTTAGGGTTCCTGGGAGACCAGCATTGTGAGTGTGTGTCAGGTAATGGAGGAGGGAGAGGTACTGCCTCTCCTCTGCCAGAGAGGGTTGACCCTTGAAGAGACCTTTAAAGTAGCTGCAGTGTAATTGAGAAGACCGCTCAGTCACAGGTCTTTTCCCGTGGTTCTCCAAGACTGATTCAGTCTGGAGCTTGTTAGGCAGACAGAACGCAGTCTCCCTTGAAGGCGAGGTCTCCCCTCTGTCCCCTGGAGACAGTGCCTCTGCTTTCCCTTCTTTGTTCATGTGGTCGGTCAGTAACATAGCAGGCTCCTCACTGGGTCCCGGGAATCCAGAGATGGCTCAGGCACAGCCCTGCCCTTGAAGAGCTCACAGCCTCCTGCTCAGGAAGGTGGGCGAGTCTGAGCTCCAGCCCAGGTGTGGCGTGCTGTACCAGTGGGACCACATGGCCTCTGGGAGCACGACAGAGGGGCCCTGATTCTGCATGAAGGGGCACCCACTGAAGCCCTCCGGGGAAGCGTGACTGCCTGTTAGAGATGCTGATGAAAGGCACTCCAGGGGGAAGGAACAGCAGGTGCACAGGCCACAGACCGTCCCCTGCTGTGACTCGTGGGGTTGGGGCAGAGAGGATGGATGCCTGGGCCAGTGAAGAGCTCAAGCCAGGTGCACTCTCAGGGTGGCACGGGAGAGGGAGTGACACATGGAAGGGGTGGACAATGGACAGAGAGAGGGGTCTTCAGGCTCCCCTGTCCCACCCCCTCCAGTGGCAGGTCTGTGAGACTCCCCTTCTTTCCAGCACCAGCCTGACAATTACCACCTTCTCCAGCCACAACCACTTAGGAAATGCCAGTGATTAGCAATTGTTATCATGGTAATTAAAATTCCCTGGGAACAGCTTGGCGAATATCCATGAGAATCTGCAGTCAGATTGGCCGTGAGCTGAAACCGTAATGCAAACCTGGAAGCGGAGCACAGAGCAGGGCGAGCAGCGGTACCAGGAGCGTTTACTGCTGCCGGACACCCCGGCCACCGCCACGGCGGCTGTGGGTCTTTTCTCATTAAATGGCATTTTCAAGGCTGGCTGCTTTGCCGGCCTTATCACAGCAAACCACGCGTGGGGAGCCGAGTAGGGTTTTGCAGAGTTGCTCGGCTTCTCCAGAAAGTAACTGATTTTCAATCTGCGGGGTGGCCTGGGGTTAATTCCCACGAGGGCTTTTCCTGCCACTATTCCTGGGGGGGGAGGGGTAGATGTGGATGCCAGGCAGCGGGTGACAGGCCCAGATGCACAGAGCAGAAGTTACGTGATTAAGGCTGCCGTGGTGTGTTTTGCAGAGTGGGGCGGGCAGCCAGGAGAGAGAAGGCCTGTGGGTGTGGGGTCCTTTGCACCTCACCTCAACAGATCTGCTCTCCCCTGCGGAAGGCATTTTCAGAAATACTGACAGTGTGTTTTATGCACATCTGCATGGGTGCACCTCCTGTACTGGATGATACACCTGTGTGCTGTGGTCCCCTGATGCTGGGACTTAGGAACTGCTGCTCCTCACGCTGGTCCAGATCACCAGCCATGCTGGATGGTCAGGGTGAGCTCTTAGACCTTCCACCTGGACTACAGTGACAGCAGGAGAGAATCGGAGCGAGGCCCCGTTACAATGAACTCACAGGGAATGATCCATCGGGTGCTCATGGACCTGCCCACAGAGCCCCGGGGAGGCACGTGGCCTGCCTGGCCTGTGGGATTATTGCCCCTTCTGGGCATAAATATTGGGGTGAATCGTATGAAGTTGACGGGCTTTTTTGATAGTTCAAAAGTGGTTGACTTCGCCGGGCATGGTGGCGTGTTGCTGTGGTCCTGGCTACTCGGGAGGTTGAGGTGGGAGGATCACTTGAGCCCAGGGTGTCAAGGCTGCAGTGAGCCATGATCGTGCCATTGCACTCCAGCCTGGGCAACAGAGTGAGACCCTGTCTCAAAAAAAAAAAAAAAAAAACAGGTTGACTATCCCAAAATGGCTGAGTACCAATGGCAATCCAACCTGATGCTTTGGGTCCTGTGCTCTTCATCTGTCTTCCAAAAGAACGTCACTGAGCAGGAATTGAGTGGAGTGGGGGTGGGAGACGGATTTTTGCAGCAGGAGGCAAGGCTGAGGCACGGGCCGGGGGCTGGGATATGCCAGGGGAGGCAGGGCAGCTGGGGAGGAGAGGCTGGGAGCACCCTGGGCAGTCAGGGAGGCTCACTGCGCTTTCCTCCCCACCAGCACACCCCATCAAGCCCTTCCTCTTTATCCCTCTTTTAATCTGAAATAGGAAGTCCGTTTGATTAATTACAGGAACTTGAGTGAAACACCCAGGCTTCTTCCCCGGGAAGGTGGCAGACTGTAGGTTGAGACACGTTGCAGCAAACGACCCGCAGCTGCCAGCACAGTCATTCAACCAGCGTTTACTGAACACCTACGATGTGTGAGGCGTGTGCTAGGAGCTTGAAGAAACAGTGGTGAGCAAGACGGCTGTGATGCTTCCTCCTGTTTGGTGGAGCCTGGTGGGGGAGACAGATGAAAACAGAAGGACCAGCGAAAAGGGGGAAGCACCCCACGTACCTATGAACAGACGACAAAACGTGATCCATCCGTACAGGGGAACATTGCTCAGCCTCAGAAAGGAAGGACGTGCTGACACGGGTTGCTGCGTGCGTGAGCTCTGAAGAAGTGATGCTGAGGGAAATAAGCAGCCAAAAAAGGACAGATGCCGTGCGGCTCCCCTCATAGGAAGTACGTAGGGTAGTCACGTTCCTAGGGATGGAAAAGGACAGACGCCGTGCGGCTCCCCTCATAGGAAGTACGTAGGGTAGTCACATTCCTAGGGATGGAAAAGGACAGACGCCGTGCGGCTCCCCTCATAGGAAGTAGGTAGGGTAGTCACGTTCCTAGGGATGGAAAAGGACAGACGCCGTGCGGCTCCCCTCATAGGAAGTACGTAGGGTAGTCACGTTCCTAGGGATGGAAAAGGACAGACGCCGTGCGGCTCCCCTCATAGGAAGTACGTAGGGTAGTCACGTTCCTAGGGATGGAAAAGGACAGACGCCGTGCGACTCCCCTCATAGGAAGTACGTAGGGTAGTCACATTCCCAGGGATGGAAAAGGACAGACGCCGTGCGGCTCCCCTCATAGGAAGTACGTAGGGTAGTCACATTCCTAGGGATGGAAAAGGACAGACGCCGTGCGGCTCCCCTCATAGGAAGTACGTAGGGTAGTCACATTCCTAGGGACGGAAAAGGACAGACGCCGTGCGGCTCCCCTCATAGGAAGTACGTAGGGTAGTCACGTTCCCAGGGACGGAAAAGGACAGACGCCGTGCGGCTGCCCTCATAGGAAGTACGTAGGGTAGTCACATTCCTAGGGACGGAAAAGGACAGACGCCGTGCGGCTCCCCTCATAGGAAGTACGTAGGGTAGTCACATTCCTAGGGACGGAAAAGGACAGACGCCGTGCGGCTCCCCTCATAGGAAGTACGTAGGGTAGTCACATTCCTAGGGATGGAAAAGGACAGACGCCGTGCGGCTCCCCTCATAGGAAGTACGTAGGGTAGTCACGTTCCTAGGGATGGAAAAGGACAGACACCGTGCAGCTCCCCTCATAGGAAGCACGTAGGGTAGTCACATTCCTAGGGATGGAAAAGGGCAGACGCCGTGCGGCTCCCCTCATAGGAAGTACGTAGGGTAGTCACATTCCTAGGGATGGAAAAGGACAGACACCGTGCAGCTCCCCTTATAGGAAGTACGTAGGGTAGTCACGTTCCTAGGGATGGAAAAGGACAGACGCCGTGCGGCTCCCCTCATAGGAAGTACGTAGGGTAGTCACATTCCTAGGGACGGAAAAGGACAGACGCCGTGCGGCTCCCCTCATAGGAAGTACGTAGGGTAGTCACGTTCCTAGGGATGGAAAAGGACAGACGCCGTGCGACTCCCCTCATAGGAAGTACGTAGGGTAGTCACATTCCTAGGGATGGAAAAGGACAGACGCCGTGCGGCTCCCCTCATAGGAAGTACGTAGGGTAGTCACATTCCTAGGGATGGAAAAGGACAGACACCGTGCGGCTCCCCTCATAGGAAGTACGTAGGGTAGTCACGTTCCTAGGGATGGAAAAGGACAGACGCCGTGCGGCTCCCCTCATAGGAAGTACGTAGGGTAGTCACGTTCCTAGGGATGGAAAAGGACAGACACCGTGCAGCTCCCCTCATAGGAAGTACGTAGGGTAGTCACGTTCCTAGGGATGGAAAAGGACAGACGCCGTGCGGCTCCCCTCGTAGGAAGTACGTAGGGTAGTCACGTTCCTAGGGATGGAAAAGGACAGACGCCGTGCGGCTCCCCTCATAGGAAGTACGTAGGGTAGTCACATTCCTAGGGATGGAAAAGGACAGACGCCGTGCGGCTCCCCTCATAGGAAGTACGTAGGGTAGTCACGTTCCTAGGGATGGAAAAGGACAGACGCCGTGCGGCTCCCCTCATAGGAAGTACGTAGGGTAGTCACGTTCCTAGGGATGGAAAAGGACAGACGCCGTGCAGCTCCCCTCATAGGAAGTACGTAGGGTAGTCACGTTCCTAGGGACGGAAAAGGACAGACGCCGTGCGGCTCCCCTCATAGGAAGTACGTAGGGTAGTCACGTTCCTAGGGATGGAAAAGGACAGACGCCGTGCGGCTCCCCTCATAGGAAGTACGTAGGGTAGTCACGTTCCTAGGGATGGAAAAGGACAGACGCCGTGCGGCTCCCCTTATAGGAAGTACGTAGGGTAGTCACGTTCCTAGGGATGGAAAAGGACAGACGCCGTGCGGCTCCCCTCATAGGAAGTACGTAGGGTAGTCATATTCCTAGGGATGGAAAAGGACAGACGCCGTGCGGCTCCCCTTATAGGAAGTACGTAGGGTAGTCACGTTCCTAGGGATGGAAAAGGACAGACGCCGTGCGGCTCCCCTCATAGGAAGTACGTAGGGTAGTCACGTTCCTAGGGATGGAAAAGGACAGACGCCGTGCGGCTCCCCTCATAGGAAGTACGTAGGGTAGTCACGTTCCTAGGGACGGAAAAGGACAGACGCCGTGCGGCTCCCCTCATAGGAAGTACGTAGGGTAGTCACGTTCCTAGGGACGGAAAAGGACAGACGCCGTGCGGCTCCCCTCATAGGAAGTACGTAGGGTAGTCACATTCCTAGGGATGGAAAAGGACAGACGCCGTGCGGCTCCCCTCATAGGAAGTACGTAGGGTAGTCACATTCCTAGGGATGGAAAAGGACAGACGCCGTGCGGCTCCCCTCATAGGAAGTACGTAGGGTAGTCACATTCCTAGGGATGGAAAAGGACAGACGCCGTGCGGCTCCCCTCATAGGAAGTACGTAGGGTAGTCACATTCCTAGGGATGGAAAAGGACAGACGCCGTGCGGCTCCCCTCATAGGAAGTACGTAGGGTAGTCACGTTCCTAGGGATGGAAAAGGACAGACGCCGTGCGACTCCCCTCATAGGAAGTACGTAGGGTAGTCACATTCCCAGGGATGGAAAAGGACAGACGCCGTGCGACTCCCCTCATAGGAAGTACGTAGGGTAGTCACATTCCCAGGGATGGAAAAGGACAGACGCCGTGCAGCTCCCCTCATAGGAAGTACGTAGGGTAGTCACATTCCTAGGGATGGAAAAGGACAGACGCCGTGCGGCTCCCCTCATAGGAAGTACGTAGGGTAGTCACGTTCCTAGGGATGGAAAAGGACAGACGCCGTGCGACTCCCCTCATAGGAAGTACGTAGGGTAGTCACATTCCCAGGGATGGAAAAGGACAGACGCCGTGCGGCTCCCCTCATAGGAAGTACGTAGGGTAGTCACATTCCTAGGGATGGAAAAGGACAGACGCCGTGCGGCTCCCCTCATAGGAAGTACGTAGGGTAGTCACATTCCTAGGGACGGAAAAGGACAGACGCCGTGCGGCTCCCCTCATAGGAAGTACGTAGGGTAGTCACGTTCCTAGGGATGGAAAAGGACAGACGCCGTGCGGCTCCCCTCATAGGAAGTACGTAGGGTAGTCACGTTCCTAGGGATGGAAAAGGACAGACGCCGTGCGGCTCCCCTCATAGGAAGTACGTAGGGTAGTCACGTTCCTAGGGATGGAAAAGGACAGACGCCGTGCGGCTCCCCTCATAGGAAGTACGTAGGGTAGTCACATTCCTAGGGACGGAAAAGGACAGACGCCGTGCGGCTCCCCTCATAGGAAGTACGTAGGGTAGTCACGTTCCTAGGGATGGAAAAGGACAGACGCCGTGCGGCTCCCCTCATAGGAAGTACGTAGGGTAGTCACGTTCCTAGGGATGGAAAAGGACAGACGCCGTGCGGCTCCCCTCATAGGAAGTACGTAGGGTAGTCACGTTCCTAGGGACGGAAAAGGACAGACGCCGTGCGGCTCCCCTCATTGGAAGTACGTAGGGTAGTCACGTTCCTAGGGACGGAAAAGGACAGACGCCGTGCGGCTCCCCTCATAGGAAGTACGTAGGGTAGTCACGTTCCTAGGGACGGAAAAGGACAGACGCCGTGCGGCTCCCCTCATAGGAAGTACGTAGGGTAGTCACGTTCCTAGGGACGGAAAAGGACAGACGCCGTGCGGCTCCCCTCATAGGAAGTACGTAGGGTAGTCACATTCCTAGGGATGGAAAAGGACAGACGCCGTGCGGCTCCCCTCATAGGAAGTACGTAGGGTAGTCACATTCCTAGGGATGGAAAAGGACAGACGCCGTGCGGCTCCCCTCATAGGAAGTACGTAGGGTAGTCACGTTCCTAGGGATGGAAAAGGACAGACGCCGTGCGACTCCCCTCATAGGAAGTACGTAGGGTAGTCACATTCCCAGGGACGGAAAAGGACAGACGCCGTGCGGCTCCCCTCATAGGAAGTACGTAGGGTAGTCACGTTCCTAGGGACGGAAAAGGACAGACGCCGTGCGGCTCCCCTCATAGGAAGTACGTAGGGTAGTCACATTCCTAGGGATGGAAAAGGACAGACGCCGTGCGGCTCCCCTCATAGGAAGTACGTAGGGTAGTCACGTTCCTAGGGATGGAAAAGGACAGACGCCGTGCGACTCCCCTCATAGGAAGTACGTAGGGTAGTCACATTCCCAGGGATGGAAAAAGGACAGACGCCGTGCGGACTCCCCTCATAGGAAGTACGTAGGGTAGTCACATTCCTAGGGGATGGAAAAGGACAGACGCCGTGCAGCTCCCCTCATAGGAAGTACGTAGGGTAGTCACGTTCCTAGGGATGGAAAAGGACAGACGCCGTGCGGCTCCCCTCATAGGAAGTACGTAGGGTAGTCACGTTCCTAGGGATGGAAAAGGACAGACGCCGTGCGGCTCCCCTCATAGGAAGTACGTAGGGTAGTCACATTCCTAGGGATGGAAAAGGACAGACGCCGTGCGGCTCCCCTCATAGGAAGTACGTAGGGTAGTCACATTCCTAGGGATGGAAAAGGACAGACGCCGTGCGGCTCCCCTCATAGGAAGTACGTAGGGTAGTCACGTTCCTAGGGACGGAAAAGGACAGACGCCGTGCGGCTCCCCTCATAGGAAGTACGTAGGGTAGTCACGTTCCTAGGGATGGAAAAGGACAGACGCCGTGCGGCTCCCCTCATAGGAAGTACGTAGGGTAGTCACGTTCCTAGGGATGGAAAAGGACAGACGCCGTGCGGCTCCCCTTATAGGAAGTACGTAGGGTAGTCACGTTCCTAGGGATGGAAAAGGACAGACGCCGTGCGGCTCCCCTCATAGGAAGTACGTAGGGTAGTCATATTCCTAGGGATGGAAAAGGACAGACGCCGTGCGGCTCCCCTCATAGGAAGTACGTAGGGTAGTCACGTTCCTAGGGATGGAAAAGGACAGACACCGTGCAGCTCCCCTCATAGGAAGTACGTAGGGTAGTCACGTTCCTAGGGATGGAAAAGGACAGACGCCGTGCGGCTCCCCTCATAGGAAGTACGTAGGGTAGTCACGTTCCTAGGGACGGAAAAGGACAGACGCCGTGCGGCTCCCCTCATAGGAAGTACGTAGGGTAGTCACGTTCCTAGGGACGTTTTAGGACAGACGCCGTGCGGCTCCCCTCATAGGAAGTACGTAGGGTAGTCACATTTCCTAGGGGATGGAAAAGGACAGACGCCGTGCAGCTCCCCTCATAGGAAGTACGTAGGGTAGTCACATTCCTAGGGATGGAAAAGGACAGACGCCGTGCGGCTCCCCTCATAGGAAGTACGTAGGGTAGTCACGTTCCTAGGGATGGAAAAGGACAGACGCCGTGCGACTCCCCTCATAGGAAGTACGTAGGGTAGTCACATTCCCAGGGATGGAAAAGGACAGACGCCGTGCGGCTCCCCTCATAGGAAGTACGTAGGGTAGTCACATTCCTAGGGATGGAAAAGGGCAGACGCCGTGCGGCTCCCCTCATAGGAAGTACGTAGGGTAGTCACGTTCCTAGGGATGGAAAAGGACAGACACCGTGCAGCTCCCCTCATAGGAAGTACGTAGGGTAGTCACATTCCTAGGGATGGAAAAGGACAGACACCGTGCAGCTCCCCTTATAGGAAGTACGTAGGGTAGTCACGTTCCTAGGGATGGAAAAGGACAGACGCCGTGCGGCTCCCCTCATAGGAAGTACGTAGGGTAGTCACGTTCCTAGGGATGGAAAAGGACAGACACCGTGCAGCTCCCCTTATAGGAAGTACGTAGGGTAGTCACGTTCCTAGGGATGGAAAAGGACAGACGCCGTGCGGCTCCCCTCATAGGAAGTACGTAGGGTAGTCACGTTCCTAGGGATGGAAAAGGACAGACGCCGTGCGGCTCCCCTCATAGGAAGTACGTAGGGTAGTCACATTCCTAGGGACGGAAAAGGACAGACACCGTGCAGCTCCCCTTATAGGAAGTACGTAGGGTAGTCACGTTCCTAGGGACGGAAAAGGACAGAAGCCGTGCAGCTCCCCTCATAGGAAGTACGTAGGGTAGTCACATTCCTAGGGACGGAAAAGGACAGACACCGTGCAGCTCCCCTCATAGGAAGTACGTAGGGTAGTCACGTTCCTAGGGATGGAAAAGGACAGACGCCGTGCGGCTCCCCTCATAGGAAGTACGTAGGGTAGTCACATTCCTAGGGACGGAAAAGGACAGACGCCGTGCGACTCCCCTCATAGGAAGTACGTAGGGTAGTCACGTTCCTAGGGATGGAAAAGGACAGACGCCGTGCGGCTCCCCTCATAGGAAGTACGTAGGGTAGTCACGTTCCTAGGGATGGAAAAGGACAGACACCGTGCAGCTCCCCTCATAGGAAGTACGTAGGGTAGTCACGTTCCTAGGGATGGAAAAGGACAGACGCCGTGCGGCTCCCCTCATAGGAAGTACGTAGGGTAGTCACGTTCCTAGGGATGGAAAAGGACAGACGCCGTGCGGCTCCCCTCATAGGAAGTACGTAGGGTAGTCACGTTCCTAGGGACGGAAAAGGACAGACACCGTGCAGCTCCCCTTATAGGAAGTACGTAGGGTAGTCACGTTCCTAGGGATGGAAAAGGACAGACACCGTGCAGCTCCCCTTATAGGAAGTACGTAGGGTAGTCACGTTCCTAGGGATGGAAAAGGACAGACGCCGTGCAGCTCCCCTCATAGGAAGTACGTAGGGTAGTCACGTTCCTAGGGATGGAAAAGGACAGACGCCGTGCGGCTCCCCTCATAGGAAGTACGTAGGGTAGTCACATTCCTAGGGACGGAAAAGGACAGACGCCGTGCGGCTCCCCTCATAGGAAGTACGTAGGGTAGTCACATTCCTAGGGATGGAAAAGGACAGACGCCGTGCGGCTCCCCTCATAGGAAGTACGTAGGGTAGTCACATTCCTAGGGATGAAAAGGACAGACGCCGTGCGGCTCCCCTCATAGGAAGTACGTAGGGTAGTCACGTTCCCAGGGACGGAAAAGGACAGACGCCGTGCGGCTGCCCTCATAGGAAGTACGTAGGGTAGTCACATTCCTAGGGACGGAAAAGGACAGACGCCGTGCGGCTCCCCTCATAGGAAGTACGTAGGGTAGTCACGTTCCTAGGGATGGAAAAGGACAGACGCCGTGCGGCTCCCCTCATAGGAAGTACGTAGGGTAGTCACATTCCTAGGGATGGAAAAGGACAGACGCCGTGCGGCTCCCCTCATAGGAAGTAGGTAGGGTAGTCACGTTCCTAGGGATGGAAAAGGACAGACGCCGTGCGGCTCCCCTCATAGGAAGTACGTAGGGTAGTCACGTTCCTAGGGATGGAAAAGGACAGATGCCGTGCGGCTCCCCTCATAGGAAGTACGTAGGGTAGTCACGTTCCTAGGGAGGGAAAAGGACAGACGCCGTGCGGCTCCCCTCATAGGAAGTACGTAGGGTAGTCACATTCCTAGGGACGGAAAAGGACAGACGCCGTGCGGCTCCCCTCATAGGAAGTACGTAGGGTAGTCACGTTCCTAGGGATGGAAAAGGACAGACGCCGTGCGGCTCCCCTCATAGGAAGTACGTAGGGTAGTCCCATTCCTAGGGATGGAAAAGGACAGACGCCGTGCGGCTCCCCTCATAGGAAGTACGTAGGGTAGTCACGTTCCTAGGGATGGAAAAGGACAGACGCCGTGCGGCTCCCCTCATAGGAAGTACGTAGGGTAGTCACGTTCCTAGGGATGGAAAAGGACAGACGCCGTGCGGCTCCCCTCATAGGAAGTACGTAGGGTAGTCACATTCCTAGGGACGGAAAAGGACAGACGCCGTGCGGCTCCCCTCATAGGAAGTACGTAGGGTAGTCACATTCCTAGGGACGGAAAAGGACAGACGCCGTGCGGCTCCCCTCATAGGAAGTACGTAGGGTAGTCACGTTCCTAGGGATGGAAAAGGACAGACGCCGTGCGGCTCCCCTCATAGGAAGTACGTAGGGTAGTCACATTCCTAGGGATGGAAAAGGACAGACGCCGTGCGGCTCCCCTCATAGGAAGTACGTAGGGTAGTCACGTTCCTAGGGATGGAACAGGACAGACGCCGTGCGGCTCCCCTCATAGGAAGTACGTAGGGTAGTCCCATTCCTAGGGATGGAAAAGGACAGACGCCGTGCGGCTCCCCTCATAGGAAGTACGTAGGGTAGTCACGTTCCTAGGGATGGAAAAGGACAGACGCCGTGCGGCTCCCCTCATAGGAAGTACGTAGGGTAGTCACGTTCCTAGGGATGGAAAAGGACAGACGCCGTGCGGCTCCCCTCATAGGAAGTACGTAGGGTAGTCACATTCCTAGGGACGGAAAAGGACAGACGCCGTGCGGCTCCCCTCATAGGAAGTACGTAGGGTAGTCACATTCCTAGGGACGGAAAAGGACAGACGCCGTGCGGCTCCCCTCATAGGAAGTACGTAGGGTAGTCACGTTCCTAGGGATGGAAAAGGACAGACGCCGTGCGGCTCCCCTCATAGGAAGTACGTAGGGTAGTCACGTTCCTAGGGATGGAAAAGGACAGACACCGTGCGGCTCCCCTCATAGGAAGTACGTAGGGTAGTCACGTTCCTAGGGACGGAAAAGGACAGACGCCGTGCGGCTCCCCTCATAGGAAGTACGTAGGGTAGTCACGTTCCTAGGGACGGAAAAGGACAGACGCCGTGCGGCTCCCCTCATAGGAAGTACGTAGGGTAGTCACGTTCCTAGGGACGGAAAAGGACAGACGCCGTGCGGCTCCCCTCATAGGAAGTACGTAGGGTAGTCACGTTCCTAGGGACGGAAAAGGACAGACGCCGTGCGGCTCCCCTCATAGGAAGTACGTAGGGTAGTCACGTTCCTAGGGATGGAAAAGGACAGACACCGTGCGGCTCCCCTCATAGGAAGTACGTAGGGTAGTCACGTTCCTAGGGACGGAAAAGGACAGACGCCGTGCGGCTCCCCTCATAGGAAGTACGTAGGGTAGTCACGTTCCTAGGGATGGAAAAGGACAGACGCCGTGCGGCTCCCCTCATAGGAAGTACGTAGGGTAGTCACATTCCTAGGGACGGAAAAGGACAGACACCGTGCAGCTCCCCTCATAGGAAGTACGTAGGGTAGTCACATTCCTAGGGACGGAAAAGGACAGACGCCGTGCGGCTCCCCTCATAGGAAGTACGTAGGGTAGTCACATTCCTAGGGACGGAAAAGGACAGACGCCGTGCGGCTCCCCTCATAGGAAGTACGTAGGGTAGTCACATTCCTAGGGATGGAAAAGGACAGACGCCGTGCGGCTCCCCTCATAGGAAGTACGTAGGGTAGTCACGTTCCTAGGGATGGAAAAGGACAGACGCCGTGCGGCTCTCCCTCATAGGAAGTACGTAGGGGTAGTCACGTTCCTAGGGATGGAAAGGACAGACACCGTGCAGCTCCCCTCATAGGAAAGTACGTAGGGTAGTCACGTTCCTAGGGATGGAAAAGGACAGACGCCGTGCGGCTCCCCTCATAGGAAGTACGTAGGGTAGTCACGTTCCTAGGGATGGAAAAGGACAGACGCCGTGCGGCTCCCCTCATAGGAAGTACGTAGGGTAGTCACGTTCCTAGGGACGGAAAAGGACAGACACCGTGCAGCTCCCCTTATAGGAAGTACGTAGGGTAGTCACGTTCCTAGGGATGGAAAAGGACAGACACCGTGCAGCTCCCCTTATAGGAAGTACGTAGGGTAGTCACGTTCCTAGGGATGGAAAAGGACAGACGCCGTGCAGCTCCCCTCATAGGAAGTACGTAGGGTAGTCACGTTCCTAGGGATGGAAAAGGACAGACGCCGTGCGGCTCCCCTCATAGGAAGTACGTAGGGTAGTCACATTCCTAGGGACGGAAAAGGACAGACGCCGTGCGGCTCCCCTCATAGGAAGTACGTAGGGTAGTCACGTTCCTAGGGACGGAAAAGGACAGACGCCGTGCGGCTCCCCTCATAGGAAGTACGTAGGGTAGTCACGTTCCTAGGGACGGAAAAGGACAGACACCGTGCGGCTCCCCTCATAGGAAGTACGTAGGGTAGTCACATTCCTAGGGACGGAAAAGGACAGACGCCGTGCGGCTCCCCTCATAGGAAGTACGTAGGGTAGTCACATTCCTAGGGACGGAAAAGGACAGACGCCGTGCGGCTCCCCTCATAGGAAGTACGTAGGGTAGTCACATTCCTAGGGACGGAAAAGGACAGACGCCGTGCGGCTCCCCTCATAGGAAGTACGTAGGGTAGTCACATTCCTAGGGATGGAAAAGGACAGACGCCGTGCGGCTCCCCTCATAGGAAGTACGTAGGGTAGTCACGTTCCTAGGGATGGAAAAGGACAGACGCCGTGCGGCTCCCCTCATAGGAAGTACGTAGGGTAGTCACGTTCCTAGGGATGGAAAAGGACAGACGCCGTGCGGCTCCCCTCATAGGAAGTACGTAGGGTAGTCACATTCCTAGGGATGGAAAAGGACAGACGCCGTGCGGCTCCCCTCATAGGAAGTACGTAGGGTAGTCACGTTCCTAGGGATGGAAAAGGACAGACGCCGTGCAGCTCCCCTCATAGGAAGTACGTAGGGTAGTCACGTTCCTAGGGATGGAAAAGGACAGACGCCGTGCGGCTCCCCTCATAGGAAGTACGTAGGGTAGTCACGTTCCTAGGGATGGAAAAGGACAGACGCCGTGCGGCTCCCCTCATAGGAAGTACGTAGGGTAGTCACATTCCTAGGGATGGAAAAGGACAGACGCCGTGCGGCTCCCCTCATAGGAAGTACGTAGGGTAGTCACGTTCCTAGGGATGGAAAAGGACAGACGCCGTGCGGCTCCCCTCATAGGAAGTACGTAGGGTAGTCACGTTCCTAGGGATGGAAAAGGACAGACGCCGTGCGGCTCCCCTCATAGGAAGTACGTAGGGTAGTCACGTTCCTAGGGACGGAAAAGGACAGACGCCGTGCGGCTCCCCTCATAGGAAGTACGTAGGGTAGTCACGTTCCTAGGGATGGAAAAGGACAGACGCCGTGCGGCTCCCCTCATAGGAAGTACGTAGGGTAGTCACGTTCCTAGGGATGGAAAAGGACAGACGCCGTGCGGCTCCCCTTATAGGAAGTACGTAGGGTAGTCACGTTCCTAGGGATGGAAAAGGACAGACGCCGTGCGGCTCCCCTCATAGGAAGTACGTAGGGTAGTCATATTCCTAGGGATGGAAAAGGACAGACGCCGTGCGGCTCCCCTCATAGGAAGTACGTAGGGTAGTCACATTCCTAGGGATGGAAAAGGACAGACGCCGTGCGGCTCCCCTCATAGGAAGTACGTAGGGTAGTCACATTCCTAGGGATGGAAAAGGACAGACGCCGTGCGGCTCCCCTCATAGGAAGTACGTAGGGTAGTCACATTCCTAGGGATGGAAAAGGACAGACGCCGTGCGGCTCCCCTCATAGGAAGTACGTAGGGTAGTCCCGTTCCTAGGGATGGAAAAGGACAGACGCCGTGCGGCTCCCCTCATAGGAAGTACGTAGGGTAGTCACGTTCCTAGGGACGGAAAAGGACAGACGCCGTGCGGCTCCCCTCATAGGAAGTACGTAGGGTAGTCACATTCCTAGGGATGGAAAAGGACAGACGCCGTGCGGCTCCCCTCATAGGAAGTACGTAGGGTAGTCCCGTTCCTAGGGATGGAAAAGGACAGACGCCGTGCGGCTCCCCTCATAGGAAGTACGTAGGGTAGTCACGTTCCTAGGGACGGAAAAGGACAGACGCCGTGCGGCTCCCCTCATAGGAAGTACGTAGGGTAGTCACATTCCTAGGGACGGAAAAGGACAGACGCCGTGCGGCTCCCCTCATAGGAAGTACGTAGGGTAGTCACGTTCCTAGGGATGGAAAAGGACAGACGCCGTGCGGCTCCCCTCATAGGAAGTACGTAGGGTAGTCACGTTCCTAGGGATGGAAAAGGGCAGACGCCGTGCGGCTCCCCTCATAGGAAGTACGTAGGGTAGTCACATTCCTAGGGACGGAAAAGGACAGACGCCGTGCGGCTCCCCTCATAGGAAGTACGTAGGGTAGTCACATTCCTAGGGATGGAAAAGGACAGACGCCGTGCGGCTCCCCTCATAGGAAGTACGTAGGGTAGTCACGTTCCTAGGGATGGAAAAGGACAGACACCGTGCAGCTCCCCTCATAGGAAGTACGTAGGGTAGTCACGTTCCTAGGGATGGAAAAGGGCAGACGCCGTGCGGCTCCCCTCATAGGAAGTACGTAGGGTAGTCACGTTCCTAGGGATGGAAAAGGACAGACACCGTGCAGCTCCCCTCATAGGAAGTACGTAGGGTAGTCACATTCCTAGGGATGGAAAAGGACAGACACCGTGCAGCTCCCCTTATAGGAAGTACGTAGGGTAGTCACGTTCCTAGGGATGGAAAAGGACAGACGCCGTGCGGCTCCCCTCATAGGAAGTACGTAGGGTAGTCACGTTCCTAGGGATGGAAAAGGACAGACACCGTGCAGCTCCCCTTATAGGAAGTACGTAGGGTAGTCACGTTCCTAGGGATGGAAAAGGACAGACACCGTGCGGCTCCCCTCATAGGAAGTACGTAGGGTAGTCACGTTCCTAGGGATGGAAAAGGACAGACGCCGTGCGGCTCCCCTCATAGGAAGTACGTAGGGTAGTCACATTCCTAGGGACGGAAAAGGACAGACACCGTGCAGCTCCCCTTATAGGAAGTACGTAGGGTAGTCACGTTCCTAGGGACGGAAAAGGACA
Organism: Homo sapiens; assembly: GCF_000001405.40. Classification (NCBI taxonomy): domain Eukaryota; kingdom Metazoa; phylum Chordata; class Mammalia; order Primates; family Hominidae; genus Homo; species Homo sapiens. Next base: position 213,539 of record NW_003315952.3, on the reverse strand, counting down.
GAAGCCGTGCAGCTCCCCTCATAGGAAGTACGTAGGGTAGTCACATTCCTAGGGACGGAAAAGGACAGACACCGTGCAGCTCCCCTCATAGGAAGTACGTAGGGTAGTCACGTTCCTAGGGATGGAAAAGGACAGACGCCGTGCGGCTCCCCTCATAGGAAGTACGTAGGGTAGTCACATTCCTAGGGACGGAAAAGGACAGACGCCGTGCGACTCCCCTCATAGGAAGTACGTAGGGTAGTCACGTTCCTAGGGATGGAAAAGGACAGACGCCGTGCGGCTCCCCTCATAGGAAGTACGTAGGGTAGTCACGTTCCTAGGGATGGAAAAGGACAGACACCGTGCAGCTCCCCTCATAGGAAGTACGTAGGGTAGTCACGTTCCTAGGGATGGAAAAGGACAGACGCCGTGCGGCTCCCCTCATAGGAAGTACGTAGGGTAGTCACGTTCCTAGGGATGGAAAAGGACAGACGCCGTGCGGCTCCCCTCATAGGAAGTACGTAGGGTAGTCACGTTCCTAGGGACGGAAAAGGACAGACACCGTGCAGCTCCCCTTATAGGAAGTACGTAGGGTAGTCACGTTCCTAGGGATGGAAAAGGACAGACACCGTGCAGCTCCCCTTATAGGAAGTACGTAGGGTAGTCACGTTCCTAGGGATGGAAAAGGACAGACGCCGTGCAGCTCCCCTCATAGGAAGTACGTAGGGTAGTCACGTTCCTAGGGATGGAAAAGGACAGACGCCGTGCGGCTCCCCTCATAGGAAGTACGTAGGGTAGTCACATTCCTAGGGACGGAAAAGGACAGACGCCGTGCGGCTCCCCTCATAGGAAGTACGTAGGGTAGTCACATTCCTAGGGACAGAACAGGACAGACGCCGTGCGGCTCCCCTCATAGGAAGTACGTAGGGTAGTCACGTTCCTAGGGACGGAAAAGGACAGACGCCGTGCGGCTCCCCTCATAGGAAGTACGTAGGGTAGTCACGTTCCTAGGGATGGAAAAGGACAGACGCCGTGCGGCTCCCCTCATAGGAAGTACGTAGGGTAGTCACATTCCTAGGGACGGAAAAGGACAGACGCCGTGCGGCTCCCCTCATAGGAAGTACGTAGGGTAGTCACGTTCCTAGGGATGGAAAAGGACAGACACCGTGCAGCTCCCCTCATAGGAAGTACGTAGGGTAGTCACGTTCCTAGGGATGGAAAAGGGCAGACGCCGTGCGGCTCCCCTCATAGGAAGTACGTAGGGTAGTCACGTTCCTAGGGATGGAAAAGGACAGACACCGTGCAGCTCCCCTCATAGGAAGTACGTAGGGTAGTCACATTCCTAGGGATGGAAAAGGACAGACACCGTGCAGCTCCCCTTATAGGAAGTACGTAGGGTAGTCACGTTCCTAGGGATGGAAAAGGACAGACGCCGTGCGGCTCCCCTCATAGGAAGTACGTAGGGTAGTCACGTTCCTAGGGATGGAAAAGGACAGACACCGTGCAGCTCCCCTTATAGGAAGTACGTAGGGTAGTCACGTTCCTAGGGATGGAAAAGGACAGACGCCGTGCGGCTCCCCTCATAGGAAGTACGTAGGGTAGTCACGTTCCTAGGGATGGAAAAGGACAGACGCCGTGCGGCTCCCCTCATAGGAAGTACGTAGGGTAGTCACGTTCCTAGGGATGGAAAAGGACAGACACCGTGCGACTCCCCTCATAGGAAGTACGTAGGGTAGTCACGTTCCTAGGGACGGAAAAGGACAGACGCCGTGCGGCTCCCCTCATAGGAAGTACGTAGGGTAGTCACGTTCCTAGGGACGGAAAAGGACAGACGCCGTGCGGCTCCCCTCATAGGAAGTACGTAGGGTAGTCACGTTCTAGGGATGGAAAAGGACAGACGCCGTGCGGCTCCCCTCATAGGAAGTACGTAGGGTAGTCACGTTCCTAGGGATGGAAAAGGACAGACGCCGTGCGGCTCCCCTCATAGGAAGTACGTAGGGTAGTCCCGTTCCTAGGGATGGAAAAGGACAGACGCCGTGCGGCTCCCCTCATAGGAAGTACGTAGGGTAGTCACATTCCTAGGGATGGAAAAGGACAGACGCCGTGCGGCTCCCCTCATAGGAAGTACGTAGGGTAGTCACATTCCTAGGGATGGAAAAGGACAGACGCCGTGCGGCTCCCCTCATAGGAAGTACGTAGGGTAGTCACGTTCCTAGGGATGGAAAAGGACAGACGCCGTGCGACTCCCCTCATAGGAAGTACGTAGGGTAGTCACATTCCCAGGGATGGAAAAGGACAGACGCCGTGCGGCTCCCCTCATAGGAAGTACGTAGGGTAGTCACGTTCCTAGGGACGGAAAAGGACAGACGCCGTGCGGCTCCCCTCATAGGAAGTACGTAGGGTAGTCACATTCCTAGGGATGGAAAAGGACAGACGCCGTGCGGCTCCCCTCATAGGAAGTACGTAGGGTAGTCACATTCCTAGGGATGGAAAAGGACAGACGCCGTGCGGCTCCCCTCATAGGAAGTACGTAGGGTAGTCACGTTCCTAGGGATGGAAAAGGACAGACGCCGTGCGGCTCCCCTCATAGGAAGTACGTAGGGTAGTCACGTTCCTAGGGACGGAAAAGGACAGACGCCGTGCGGCTCCCCTCATAGGAAGTACGTAGGGTAGTCACATTCCTAGGGATGGAAAAGGACAGACGCCGTGCGGCTCCCCTCATAGGAAGTACGTAGGGTAGTCACGTTCCTAGGGATGGAAAAGGACAGACGCCGTGCGGCTCCCCTCATAGGAAGTACGTAGGGTAGTCACATTCCTAGGGATGGAAAAGGACAGACGCCGTGCGGCTCCCCTCATAGGAAGTACGTAGGGTAGTCACGTTCCTAGGGATGGAAAAGGACAGACGCCGTGCGGCTCCCCTCATAGGAAGTACGTAGGGTAGTCACATTCCTAGGGATGGAAAAGGACAGACGCCGTGCGGCTCCCCTCATAGGAAGTACGTAGGGTAGTCACGTTCCTAGGGATGGAAAAGGACAGACGCCGTGCGGCTCCCCTCATAGGAAGTACGTAGGGTAGTCACGTTCCTAGGGATGGAAAAGGACAGACGCCGTGCGGCTCCCCTCATAGGAAGTACGTAGGGTAGTCACGTTCCTAGGGATGGAAAAGGACAGACGCCGTGCGGCTCCCCTCATAGGAAGTACGTAGGGTAGTCACGTTCCTAGGGATGGAAAAGGACAGACGCCGTGCGGCTCCCCTCATAGGAAGTACGTAGGGTAGTCACGTTCCTAGGGACGGAAAAGGACAGACGCCGTGCGGCTCCCCTCATAGGAAGTACGTAGGGTAGTCACGTTCCTAGGGATGGAAAAGGACAGACGCCGTGCGGCTCCCCTCATAGGAAGTACGTAGGGTAGTCACGTTCCTAGGGATGGAAAAGGACAGACGCCGTGCGGCTCCCCTCATAGGAAGTACGTAGGGTATGTCACGTTCCTAGGGACGGAAAAGGACAGACGCCGTGCGGCTCCCCTCATAGGAAGTACGTAGGGTAGTCACATTCCTAGGGACGGAAAAGGACAGACGCCGTGCGGCTCCCCTCATAGGAAGTACGTAGGGTAGTCACATTCCTAGGGACGGAAAAGGACAGACGCCGTGCGGCTCCCCTCATAGGAAGTACGTAGGGTAGTCACGTTCCTAGGGATGGAAAAGGACAGACGCCGTGCGGCTCCCCTCATAGGAAGTACGTAGGGTAGTCACGTTCCTAGGGATGGAAAAGGACAGACGCCGTGCGGCTCCCCTCATAGGAAGTACGTAGGGTAGTCACGTTCCTAGGGACGGAAAAGGACAGACGCCGTGCGGCTCCCCTCATTGGAAGTACGTAGGGTAGTCACGTTCCTAGGGACGGAAAAGGACAGACGCCGTGCGGCTCCCCTCATAGGAAGTACGTAGGGTAGTCACATTCCTAGGGATGGAAAAGGACAGACGCCGTGCGGCTCCCCTCATAGGAAGTACGTAGGGTAGTCCCGTTCCTAGGGATGGAAAAGGACAGACGCCGTGCGGCTCCCCTCATAGGAAGTACGTAGGGTAGTCACGTTCCTAGGGACGGAAAAGGACAGACGCCGTGCGGCTCCCCTCATAGGAAGTACGTAGGGTAGTCACATTCCTAGGGACGGAAAAGGACAGACGCCGTGCGGCTCCCCTCATAGGAAGTACGTAGGGTAGTCCCGTTCCTAGGGACGGAAAAGACAGACGCCGTGCGGCTCCCCTCATAGGAAGTACGTAGGGTAGTCACGTTCCTAGGGACGGAAAAGGACAGACACCGTGCGGCTCCCCTCATAGGAAGTACGTAGGGTAGTCACATTCCTAGGGACGGAAAAGGACAGACGCCGTGCGGCTCCCCTCATAGGAAGTACGTAGGGTAGTCACATTCCTAGGGACGGAAAAGGACAGACGCCGTGCGGCTCCCCTCATAGGAAGTACGTAGGGTAGTCACATTCCTAGGGACGGAAAAGGACAGACGCCGTGCGGCTCCCCTCATAGGAAGTACGTAGGGTAGTCACGTTCCTAGGGATGGAAAAGGACAGACACCGTGCAGCTCCCCTCATAGGAAGTACGTAGGGTAGTCACGTTCCTAGGGATGGAAAAGGACAGACGCCGTGCGGCTCCCCTCATAGGAAGTACGTAGGGTAGTCACGTTCCTAGGGACGGAAAAGGACAGACGCCGTGCGGCTCCCCTCATTGGAAGTACGTAGGGTAGTCACGTTCCTAGGGACGGAAAAGGACAGACGCCGTGCGGCTCCCCTCATAGGAAGTACGTAGGGTAGTCACATTCCTAGGGATGGAAAAGGACAGACGCCGTGCGGCTCCCCTCATAGGAAGTACGTAGGGTAGTCCCGTTCCTAGGGAAGGAAAAAGGACAGACGCCGTGCGGCTCCCCTCATAGAAAGTACGTAGGGTAGTCACATTCCTAAGAGATGGAAAAAAGGACAGACGCCGTGCGGCTCCCCTCATAGGAAGTACGTAGGGTAGTCACGTTCCTAGGGATGGAAAAGGACAGACGCCGTGCGACTCCCCTCATAGGAAGTACGTAGGGTAGTCACATTCCCAGGGACGGAAAAGGACAGACGCCGTGCGGCTCCCCTCATAGGAAGTACGTAGGGTAGTCACGTTCCTAGGGACGGAAAAGGACAGACGCCGTGCGGCTCCCCTCATAGGAAGTACGTAGGGTAGTCACATTCCTAGGGATGGAAAAGGACAGACGCCGTGCGGCTCCCCTCATAGGAAGTACGTAGGGTAGTCACGTTCCTAGGGATGGAAAAGGACAGACGCCGTGCGACTCCCCTCATAGGAAGTACGTAGGGTAGTCACATTCCCAGGGATGGAAAAGGACAGACGCCGTGCGACTCCCCTCATAGGAAGTACGTAGGGTAGTCACATTCCCAGGGATGGAAAAGGACAGACGCCGTGCAGCTCCCCTCATAGGAAGTACGTAGGGTAGTCACATTCCTAGGGATGGAAAAGGACAGACGCCGTGCGGCTCCCCTCATAGGAAGTACGTAGGGTAGTCACGTTCCTAGGGATGGAAAAGGACAGACGCCGTGCGACTCCCCTCATAGGAAGTACGTAGGGTAGTCACATTCCCAGGGATGGAAAAGGACAGACGCCGTGCGGCTCCCCTCATAGGAAGTACGTAGGGTAGTCACATTCCTAGGGATGGAAAAGGACAGACGCCGTGCGGCTCCCCTCATAGGAAGTACGTAGGGTAGTCACATTCCTAGGGACGGAAAAGGACAGACGCCGTGCGGCTCCCCTCATAGGAAGTACGTAGGGTAGTCACGTTCCCAGGGACGGAAAAGGACAGACGCCGTGCGGCTGCCCTCATAGGAAGTACGTAGGGTAGTCACATTCCTAGGGACGGAAAAGGACAGACGCCGTGCGGCTCCCCTCATAGGAAGTACGTAGGGTAGTCACATTCCTAGGGACGGAAAAGGACAGACGCCGTGCGGCTCCCCTCATAGGAAGTACGTAGGGTAGTCACATTCCTAGGGATGGAAAAGGACAGACGCCGTGCGGCTCCCCTCATAGGAAGTACGTAGGGTAGTCACGTTCCTAGGGATGGAAAAGGACAGACACCGTGCGGCTCCCCTCATAGGAAGCACGTAGGGTAGTCACATTCCTAGGGATGGAAAAGGGCAGACGCCGTGCGGCTCCCCTCATAGGAAGTACGTAGGGTAGTCACATTCCTAGGGATGGAAAAGGACAGACGCCGTGCAGCTCCCCTTATAGGAAGTACGTAGGGTAGTCACGTTCCTAGGGATGGAAAAGGACAGACGCCGTGCGGCTCCCCTCATAGGAAGTACGTAGGGTAGTCACATTCCTAGGGACGGAAAAGGACAGACGCCGTGCGGCTCCCCTCATAGGAAGTACGTAGGGTAGTCACGTTCCTAGGGATGGAAAAGGACAGACGCCGTGCGACTCCCCTCATAGGAAGTACGTAGGGTAGTCACGTTCCTAGGGATGGAAAAGGACAGACGCCGTGCGGCTCCCCTCATAGGAAGTACGTAGGGTAGTCACATTCCTAGGGATGGAAAAGGACAGACACCGTGCGGCTCCCCTCATAGGAAGTACGTAGGGTAGTCACGTTCCTAGGGATGGAAAAGGACAGACGCCGTGCAGCTCCCCTCATAGGAAGTACGTAGGGTAGTCACGTTCCTAGGGATGGAAAAGGACAGACGCCGTGCGGCTCCCCTCATAGGAAGTACGTAGGGTAGTCACGTTCCTAGGGATGGAAAAGGACAGACGCCGTGCGGCTCCCCTCATAGGAAGTACGTAGGGTAGTCACATTCCTAGGGATGGAAAAGGACAGACGCCGTGCGGCTCCCCTCATAGGAAGTACGTAGGGTAGTCACATTCCTAGGGATGGAAAAGGACAGACGCCGTGCGGCTCCCCTCATAGGAAGTACGTAGGGTAGTCACGTTCCTAGGGATGGAAAAGGACAGACGCCGTGCGGCTCCCCTCATAGGAAGTACGTAGGGTAGTCACATTCCTAGGGATGGAAAAGGACAGACGCCGTGCGGCTCCCCTCATAGGAAGTACGTAGGGTAGTCACGTTCCTAGGGATGGAAAAGGACAGACGCCGTGCGGCTCCCCTCATAGGAAGTACGTAGGGTAGTCACGTTCCTAGGGATGGAAAAGGACAGACGCCGTGCGGCTCCCCTCATAGGAAGTACGTAGGGTAGTCACGTTCCTAGGGATGGAAAAGGACAGACGCCGTGCGGCTCCCCTCATAGGAAGTACGTAGGGTAGTCACGTTCCTAGGGATGGAAAAGGACAGACGCCGTGCGGCTCCCCTCATAGGAAGTACGTAGGGTAGTCACGTTCCTAGGGATGGAAAAGGACAGACGCCGTGCGGCTCCCCTCATAGGAAGTAGGTAGGGTAGTCACGTTCCTAGGGATGGAAAAGGACAGACGCCGTGCGGCTCCCCTCATAGGAAGTACGTAGGGTAGTCACGTTCCTAGGGATGGAAAAGGACAGATGCCGTGCGGCTCCCCTCATAGGAAGTACTTAGGGTAGTCACATTCCTAGGGAGGGAACAGGACAGACGCCGTGCGGCTCCCCTCATAGGAAGTACGTAGGGTAGTCACGTTCCTAGGGACGGAAAAGGACAGACGCCGTGCGGCTCCCCTCATAGGAAGTACGTAGGGTAGTCACGTTCCTAGGGATGGAAAAGGACAGACGCCGTGCGGCTCCCCTCATAGGAAGTACGTAGGGTAGTCACATTCCTAGGGACGGAAAAGGACAGACGCCGTGCGGCTCCCCTCATAGGAAGTACGTAGGGTAGTCACGTTCCTAGGGACGGAAAAGGACAGACGCCGTGCGGCTCCCCTCATAGGAAGTACGTAGGGTAGTCACGTTCCTAGGGATGGAAAAGGACAGACGCCGTGCGGCTCCCCTCATAGGAAGTACGTAGGGTAGTCACGTTCCTAGGGATGGAACAGGACAGACGCCGTGCGGCTCCCCTCATAGGAAGTACGTAGGGTAGTCACGTTCCTAGGGACGGAAAAGGACAGACGCCGTGCGGCTCCCCTCATAGGAAGTACGTAGGGTAGTCACGTTCCTAGGGACGGAAAAGGACAGACGCCGTGCGGCTCCCCTCATAGGAAGTACGTAGGGTAGTCACGTTCCTAGGGATGGAAAAGGACAGACGCCGTGCGGCTCCCCTCATAGGAAGTGCGTAGGGTAGTCACGTTCCTAGGGATGGAACAGGACAGACGCCGTGCGGCTCCCCTCATAGGAAGTACGTAGGGTAGTCACGTTCCTAGGGACGGAACAGGACAGACGCCGTGCGGCTCCCCTCATAGGAAGTACGTAGGGTAGTCACGTTCCTAGGGACAGACAGCAGACTGGGGTGGCCAGGGGCCAGGGCAGAGGAGAGCTATTGCTTAGTGGTTATAGAGTTTCAGTTTGGCAAGTTCTGGAGATGGGTTGCACTTCAGGTGATACGTTTGATGTTATGAATACTTTAATACAATGGAAACATTTTTAATTTTTTTAAAAAAGGATCACGCATACCCGGAGGCCAAAACCGTGGTCCGGTGCCGCAAAGGAGCAGCTCGGAAGTCCATGAGCTGAGGACTCACTGGCACAGATGAGGTTCTCGGCCCCACAGTGTGCGGGAATGCAGCTCTGTGGGGTGTCTTAGTCTCTTCCCCTGAAGACTCACGACAGAGATGGCTTGGCCACATTGCCAAGTCACCCTGAGCATCAACCTGGCCACTCCCCGTTAAACAGGGCCTTGACTGGCTGGGCGTGAGGTGGGGGAGCACTCTCAGCCCCCAAGGCCTGTCCTAGGGATGGCAGGGTAGCTCCATTGTTCGCCCCACGCCCCTCACTCTGGTGGCCTCATGCCCTGATGGATGCCTCTCCCCAAGCCCACCGTGGTTCCCTGGGAACCTTCCCCGATCAGGGTCCACAGAGGAGGCCTTGGATTCCACCAGGAAGTGTAAGCCGAGGTCCCCACCCCAAAAACACTTACTGTAGCCTCCTGGGAATGTGGCTTTTCCTCCTGGAGGGCGGCCTGACTCTATGTCATCATCCAAACACACAGTTCTCGACCCTGCAGTCCCGCTCTGTGGAATATAGGCTGAGTATCATTCATCAGAAAACCCAAAGCTGAAATGCTCCAAAATCCAAAACTCACTGGAGCATTTCAGATTTTGGATTTTCAGATTTGGGATGCTGAACTGGTTACGTATAATGCAAATATTCTAAAATTCGGAAAAATTCAAAATCTGAAGCACTTCTGTCCCAAGCATTTTGGAAAAGGGCAAAATCAACCCGTCTTTCCTAAGGCAATAACCGAGCACTGGGCTGATGGGGTGGGTGCGGGGTGATGGCTGCGGCGCTGCCCGTGAGGACGAGGATTGGAAACAAATGTCCCTCGGTGAGGTGCTGGATTACTTAAGTTTAATAAATCCAAACTGTGGAGCAGTGAAAAACGATGATGGAGAAGTTATGAGTTCGGAACGACTGCTCTGATGCGTAGTGAGGTGTTGGGGGACAGGGTGGGAACAGGTTGCATCTACATTAGCCTAGTTTTCAAAAAAACAAAAAACAAATAGTGTGTTTTCCCAGGCAATGGTGTAAGAAAATTCACACCGCCATGGTCGGCAGGGCGTCTCTGTGCAGTGATGTTATAGGTGGCCTAGTTTCATTTTACTTTTTTGTTGTGCTAATTTTGTATGCTAGGTATGTATTTTTCAGGAAAATAAAAAAAGGGAGAGGCTAGGCGTGGTGGCTCGTGTTTGTAATCCCAGCACTTTGGGAGGCAGAGGTGGGCAGATTGCTTGAGCCCAGGAGTTAGAGACCAGCCTGAGTAACATGGTAAAACCCCATCTCTACAAAAAATACAAAAATTAGCTGGGTGTATTGGCGCACACCACCTATAGTCCCAGCTACTCGGGAGGGTGAGGTGGGAGGATCACCTGAGCCTGGGCAGGTGAAGGCTGCAGTGAGCCGATTGCTCCACTGCACTCCGTCCTGGGTGACAGAGCAAGACCCTGTCTCAAAAAAAAAAAAAGTAAAAAAAAAAGAGAAAACTTCCAAGGCGGGTGGGGGAGACAGTGTGGCGTGCGGTTCAAAGCCTGCACGGGCCCCGCCGTTCACAGATGGTTCTTAGGGGTCTGCTTCATTTGGGGTCCCCCAGGCCCAGCCCACGGTGGAGGACAGGGAGGTGACGTGCTCAGGGCAGGATGAGCAGAGCTTTCGCTCATCAGAGGGAGGCGTAGCGAGCCCTTGGCTGGCACCCCATGGCCCCCGTGGCCTTTTGGACTTGGGTACCTGCTCTAATGAGCCTTGCAGCAGCTCTTCAGAGATGGGGTGGCCTTGGTGGCTGCTGTGTGTTTGCTGCTTCCTCCTGTCAGGCAGTCCTCTCCGCTCTGGTGTCCTGCCTGTAGGACACTAAGGGTCCACACGGACGTCTGAGCCACTGAGGATTTATTCACCACTCAACTGCAGTTTAGTGAGCATCTGCTTTGCATCTGTAAACTGTTGGGTGAGACTCTGGGGCCTTCCGTGTGGAGTAGAGGCCAACAGAGGGGTGTGCTGGCTTTGGGGAAATTGCTGAACTTGTTGGAGCCTCAGTTTCCCCACCTGAAAAGTGGAGATAATAAGCTTCTTCGATGCTTCTGGGAATGGGGGAGGAGACTGGCTACTTTTGCACTTTGTGGATTTTTAGACCATGTGCCTGCATTACCCATTCAAATAAATACGTGTTGTAGGAAGGCTCCAAGAGGATCAGAAAGGGTTTTCCAAAGCGGGTGCCATGAAGCACCCATCCCACCAGACAGGTTCCAGGCCGTTCAAGAACGACACAAAAGCAGGCCCTTCACACAGGGTGGCTGGAAGGGGCAGTGAGGGATTCATGCCAGGGACCTAGTCTGGACGTGGCAGTCTGTGCCTGGCACTGTGAGCATAAGGAGGTGCCCTGCCCAGTTAAGTGCCGAGTCCATGCAGACCCATTACTAAGGTCTAGTTTCTCTAGGAAAACCATCCAGGCAGATTGCGGGTAGAGAGCACGGTGTGTTCTTTTGCCCTCTGGGATAACCCTGTGCACCTGAGCTTAGTAAAGGCTCTGAGAGGTCCTGCAGCGATGGCGCTTAGGCTCTGAGAGGTCCCACAGCGACGGAGCTTAGGCTCTGAGAGGTCCTGCAGTGATGGAGCTTGGTAAAGGCTCCGAGAGGTCCCGCAGTGATGGAGTTTAGTAAAGGCTCTGAGAGGTCCCGCAGTGGCGGAGCTTGGTAAAGGCTCTGAGAGGTCCCACAGGGATGAAGCTTAGTAAAGGCTCTGAGAGGTCCCGCAGTGGTGGAGCTTGGTAAAGGCTCTGAGAGGTCCCGCAGCGATGGAGCTTAGTAAAGGCTCTGAGAGGTCCCGCAGCGAGGGAGCTTAGTAAAGACTCTGAGAATTCCCACAGCGATGGAGCTTAGTAAAGGCTCTGAGAGGTCCTGCAGCGACGGAGCTTGGTAAAGGCCCCGAGAGGTCCCACAGCGATGGCACTTAGGCTCTGAGAGGTCCCGCAGTGACGGAGCTTAGTAAAGGCTCTGAGAGGTCCCGCAGCGACGGAGCTTAGGCTCTGAGAGGTCCCGCAGCGACGGAGCTTGGTAAAGGCTCTGAGAGGTCCCGCAGCGACGGAGCTTGGTAAAGGCTCTGAGAGGTCCCGCAGCGACAGAGCTTAGGCTCTGAGAGGTCCCGCAGCGATGGAGCTTAGTAAAGGCTCTGAGAGGTCCCGCAGCGATGGAGCTTAGTAAAGGCTCCGAGAGGTCCCGCAGTGATGGAGCTTAGTAAAGGCTCTGAGAGGTCCCGCAGTGATGGACCTTAGTAAAGGCTCCCAGAGGTCCCGCAGTGATGGACCTTAGTAAAGGCTCCGAGAGGTCCCGCAGCGATGGAGCTTAGTAAAGGCTCTGAGAGGTCCTGCAGCGATGGAGCTTAGTAAAGGCTCTGAGAGGTCCCGCAGCGACGGAGCTTAGTAAAGGCTCTGAGAGGTCCCACAGTGACGGAGCTTAGTAAAGGGTCTGAGAGGTCCTGCAGCGACGGAGCTTGGTAAAGGCCCCGAGAGGTCCCGCAGTGATGGAGCTTAGTAAATAAAGGCTCTGAGATGTCCCGCAGTGATGGAGCTTAGTAAAGGCTCTGAGACGTCCCGCAGCGATGGAGCTTGGTTTAACCTAGTGCTTTTAAAGAGTATGTGATTAGAAACCTTTTTTTTTTTTTTTTGGCTTGACTCTTGTTAGTATCCCACAGTACTAATGTGATGCAGAGGAAGTTTGCGGGGTGGGAAGCAATGTCTCAGAATCAGGTGGATTCTGGTCTTCTGGTTTTGAATTCTTCCAGTAGGGAATTGGCCCACTGGTGATAAAGCTGTTTGTGTTTGCCAGGTGGCAGGAGGGGGGTGGCGGTGGTGCCCATGGGCCTCTCCTCTGTGGAGAGGCTGCTCTGTGCCTGGCACTGGCCCTTGAGGCTTCACGTTCATTCTTGGGCCTGATCCTCAAGTCCTCCCGGTGAGATAAGCCCTGCTCCTGTGTTTGCCTACTGATGAAGAAACTGAGGGCCAGGGAGGTCAGCGTGTCCAAATCACACCAGATGCTGGGTGCCAGACCCAGGATTCAGATTCAGGACGTCGGCTCGGAACCTTGGCCTGCCCTTCTCTGAGAAGGGTCATGTCAGTTGAGGTTTTTGCAAAGTGTTCGTTTACAGGCTCCCACCCCTCCTGACTAAATACCCTGAATTTATTTCCTTCATCAGAAAAGAGGCTATACAGTATGTGGTGTTTTCTGAAGGAGGCATTACAAATTTAGGGACCTTAACTCAGCAGCTGCTCTGAATTCTAATCAGTGGCTCTCTCCAAGAGGCGGTCCTTTCTGTTCCTGTTGGAGAGGCTGTCCCATCTGAGAAGTCCTCAGAGAAGAGCTTCCAAGGCTGTGATGTGGTCCAGCCTGGCTCTCCCTCAGCCTCGGTTGCTTCGCCCTGGAGCCTCGAGCGGAAGGGACAGGAAGGAGGCAGGCAGGTGGCATCTTGTGAACACCTTCTGGGTGCCCTTTGCTCTGTTGAGTACTTCCAACTTTCTCAGCAGCTATCATGTTTCATCAATTTAATCAATAAAGAAACTCAGGCTCAGAGAGGTTAAGTAACTCACTCAAAGCCACACAGCGAGCATGTGGAAGCTGCCATTGATTCAGCCTTGCTTCCAGGGACAGCAGGAGTGGGGAGCCTGGGTGTCCAAGCTGGGGATATTAGAGGAACAGGGGGACCCCTCAGAGCCCAAGGGGCTGTGCGTCCCAGACCCAGAGCACCTCCCACCCTGTGAGTTCAGGGTGGGCATCCCTGGATTCCTGGGGCTCTGCCAGCCTTTGGGGGTGTCTGTCTGGCCAGCTTTAGGGTGACTCTCACCACTTCCCCAGGGCAGTGATAAAGGGATGCTTTACACCTGCTTGGGCCCTGGCAGGCCCCCTCTGACCCACCTGGCTCTCAGAGTCCCTGGGGGACTACATAGGGTCAAGAGGGGCTCCTGGGAGGCTCAGGATGCAAGGAGGATAGAACTGAGGCAGGAAAGAGGGTGGAAAGCCAGTGGCTGTGCCATGGGGGCAGCCAGAACAAGTCTGGAGCTTTGTGGCCACTTCTGAGCCCCTCTCCCGAGGGGCAGTGACAAACATGGCAAGAGGGGGTGGCTCGATGAGAGGGGACTTGGGACAGCTGAGGAATCAGGGTGTTGTCCTTGAGAAGCTGGGGATCTGGGCATGGCACCAAGGAGAGCTGGGGGCAGGAGGAGGTGTCTGCAGGTACACGTGGCTGGGAGAGTCCATCCCATGCAGCTCTCTGCCTTGGGCCAGCAAGAGAAGGTGCCCGGGAGGTCAGCTGGCAGGGAGGAGAGCTTGGGGGCTGGGTGAGGTGCCTGCAGGTACTTGTGGCTGGGAGAGTCTGTCCCGTGCAGCCCTCTGCCTTGGGCCAGCGAGAGAAGGTGCCTGGGAGGTCAGCTGGCGGGAAGGAAGTGCCAGTCACTGGCAGATCTAGTGGAAACTCAGCAGTGCCTGGTGGCTTGTGGGCTTCCTGTCACTAGGAGTTTTCCAGCAGGGGCCGGAAAGGACTGGGGATGGGCAGAGGTCTGACTAGGCAATCTCTAGGATCCGAGTGGTGGATACAGACGGTAACAGAGGACGGTTTTCATAAACATGTCTCACATGCCAGGCCCATATTGAGATCCCTGCTCTGCAAGAGAGAAGCAGGAGGACATGGGCTTGTCTTTAAAGCAGGTGTAGACCCAGGTACAGTAGTCCCAGCTGCTGAGGAGACTGAGGCAGGAGGACCGCGTGAGCCCAGGAGGTGGAGGCTGCAGCGGGTGATGACTGCACCACTGCACTCCAGCCTGGGCAGCAGAGCAAGTCCTCAACTCTAAAATAAGGGAGAGAAAGAAGGTTTGGAGAGTTCATGTCCTGAGTCCTGGGAAGGTAACTGACAGCCCAGCCCATCAGCCAGGGAGGGCAGAGCCAGAGTTCCCACTCCCACTCTGCTCCTAGCTCTCCGCGTCCTGCCTCCCGTCATCTGGGCAAGGAGCAGGAGGGGAGGCTCCTCTGCGTCCTGTGCCCCAAGCAGCTCTCTTCCCCCACTCAGGTCTGGAAGAGGTCGGGGGCCTGGTTCTACAAAGGGCTCCCCAAGTATATCTTGCCCCTGAAGACCCCTGGCCGAGCTGATGACCCCCACTTCCGACCTTTGCCCACGGAACCGGCAGAGCGAGAGCCCAGAAGCTCTGAGACCAGCCGCATCTACACGTGGGCCCGAGGAAGAGGTAAGTCCCCTCTGCCTCTCTCCCAGGATGGCCTGTAAAGTTTGGGTCATTAGCCAGCCCGGCAGTTTGCAGGCACAAGGCCAGTCCCCCGCACCCTCCATCCACGAGGCTCATTCTGGTGATGCGTCCCTCCCTGTGCCCTCAGCTCCACACCTTCTCCCGAGTGAGCAGCGGGGACCTCCAGCAGGTGACTGTTCGCTCTGTGCAGGAGTGCGGCGGGAGGGCCCACGGGGGGCAGTATCACATACAAGTACTGCTCTGGGGGCAAGGATGCCATGAGCAGCACTACGCATCTTCACAGAAATGGGACGTCAATTAAGGTATTTTGCAAAGTATAAAACCTACATCTTTCCCAGGCAGGCCCTCACCATCTCTTCCTGGCACTTGCCTTGTGTCTCGGTAAGGGAGGACTCCTGGCTTCCCTGGTCCTAATAAGTATGGTGACTTTGTATCCCAGTGTCCCTGGGCGTTCTGGTGGCTACAGTAAGGTGTGTGTGTCTCAGGTGGCCGCCCCACTTGGCAACGATGGGGGCGCCTGGTTGTGGACCGTTCTCCGCAGCTTTCATGATGCTTTGATGTTTGTGGTTTTATTTCAAAGTTCCTGGTCTCACAACAGGCTCGGAAGTTATTTAATGACTGCATTTTATAGATGGGTGTACCTGCGGCTCAGAGAAGAGGAGGGACTTCCTCGGCAGGTGTGTGGCCGAGCTGGGATCCAAGGGCAGGCTCTTACCCTCTCTGGCATCTGGGTCCTTTTGCTCTGAAGTGCTCACGTTTCTGCCAAATACTCAGGGTCTGAGGGTCTTAGATGAGACGGCAGGCAGAGGGGTGAGGGAGGCTCGTTCGGATCATGGCTCGTCTTGGAGGAAGTGGACCCATCACAATAGACCTGGCGGCCGCTTCTCAGGGGCTTTGCGACATCCTGGTCTTCGGTTGTGACCTGACATCTGACCATCTTTATGTCATTCGGGCTGTTTTTTCTTGTTACAAAAGTAATGCATGTTTATTACGAACATGTGAAAGTTGTCCAGTGATGTATGTAGAAGGTATAAATCCCCCATACGTGGACCTGCCAGGTAGGTCGGCATCTGTGCCTTGGTGTGCAGCCTGCAGGCACTTTGTCCTCAGCACCCCGACTCCCTCATAGCAGCCTCTCCTCGCTGGTCCTACCGGATGCTGCGTACACCTCTGCTGCCTATGAGTTCACCCCCGACATCGCTGCCACGGACAGACATTGGTGGGGACCGTGGGATGCAATGCAGTGGAGACCATGCAGGCGGGGAGTCCCTCAGGAGGAGGGGGTGCAGGCCTGGCTGGGACACTGGCCTGAGGGGCACTGTGGCTGCCCAGCCTGGAACTGAGTGGCCCGAGATTGGCTGGAGAAGTGGCGGTCCTCCACCTGGTCCCTCTGCCACCCTTGGACCTCAGACCTTCTCCTGCTGAGCCCTCGAGATCTGTCCATGTCCCTCAGACAGTGGGAGCAGAAGCTGGTGGACACCTGTGGGTTTAAAATGCTGCTTGGAGCCAGTTGAGCCGGAGAGGCTGAAGGCCTGTGGGGGCAGCTGTGGCCTATGCCCCACTTCAAGAGCTGCCACTGCCCCGTCTGCTCCAAGTCAGGGCATACACACACACTCACATCCACGCACACAAACACAACCGCATTGACACACGCTCACACCTACACACACATCACCATGCACACACACATACTGATATCCACACACACACTGACATCCACACACACACACTGACATCCACATACACACTCACATCCACACACACACACTGACATCCACATCCACACACACATCCACACACACACCCACGTACACACACACTGACATCCACGTGCACACACACATGCTCTCATCCACACGCACACACACATCCACATGGACACACACGCTCACATCCACACACACAGACATCCACGTACACACAGACACATCCATGTGCACACACACATCCACATGGACACACACATCCACACACACATCCACATGTACACACACGTCTACACACACTTGCGCACGCACATTTATGCACACACATCCACATGCACACATAGTGCTCACATCCACACACACATCCACATACACACACTCATATCCACATGCATACACACTTGCTCACATGCAGACACACAAGCTCACACACACATGCATGTACACACACTAGCGTTACACTCATGCACACAGTAGCTTACATGCTGATTCACACGCACACACACTCGCACTCATATGCACACACACGGTTGCCCACACGCACACATACTCCCATGCACATGCGCACACCCTGGGGAGGAGCAGAGCCCCCCTCACTTCCTCAGGCACGCAGACTTGGCCTTTTAATTAATTAAAAGATGGCCTTTTAATTTCATGGGCGAGGAGGGCAGTGGCCCCATGCTCTTGCAGTAGAGTGTGGATCCTCTGGATTGGGGTCTGCTGGAAAGTCCCAGGAGATACTCGGAGGCTGTGAAAACCACCCTGCTCTCACCAGACGCTGCTCCTCCTGGGACCCTGCCTCCGAGGGCCCCGGGGCCAGCATCTTCTTCCTGCCCCACAGTCCCTTTCACTGGCTTGGAGCTGATCACAGCACCAGCTTGCTCGCTCTCTCAGCCTCTCTCTAAGCCTCTTTGCCCACCTCCAGTTCTTTCTCCCCCTCTCCCCCCCCATTCTCTTCCCTTCTCTCCCTCTCTCCCTCTCCCTACATCCCACATCTCTTAGGCTCATGCACCTGTAGCTCCCAACTTCTTCTCCCTGCATCCCAGGCCACCCTATTTTCTTTCTCATGCCCTGTTGGAAGAGGAAGGGTAATCAATAGAGGAAGGGTAATCAATAGAGGAAGGTAATCAATAGAGGAAGGTAATCAATAGAGGAAGGGTAATCAATAGAGGAAGGGTAATCAATAGAGGAAGGTGATCAATAGAGGAAGGGTAATCAATAGAGGAAGGGAATCAATAGAGGAAGGGTAATCAATAGAGGAAGATAATCAATAGAGGAAGGGTAATCAATAGAGGGGTAATCAATAGAGAAAGGTGATCAATAGAGGAAGGTGATCAATAGAGGAAGGGTAATCAATAGAGGAAAGTAATAGAGGAAGGTAATCAATAGAGGAAGGGTAATCAATAGAGGAAGGGTAATCAATAGAGGAAGGTAATCAGTAGAGGAAGGGTAATCAGTAGAGGAAGGGTAATCAGTAGAGGAAGGTAATCAATAGAGGAAGGTAATAGAGGAAGTGTAATCAGTAGAGGAAGTGTAATCAGTAGAGGAAGGTAATCAGAGGAAGGTAATCAATAGAGGAAGGGTAATCAGTAGAGGGGCAATCAGTAGAGGAAGGGTAATCAATAGAGGAAGGTAGTCAATAGAGGAAGGGTAATCAATAGAGGAAGGTAATCAATAGAGGAAGGGTAATCAATAGAGGAAGGTAGTCAATAGAGGAAGGTAGTCAATAGAGGAAGGTAGTCAATAGAGGAAGGTAGTCAATAGAGGAAGGGTAATCAATAGAGGAAGGGTAATCAATAGAGGAAGGTAATCAATAGAGGAAGGGTAATCAATAGAGGAAGGGTAATCAGTAGAGGAGGGGCAATCAGTAGAGGAAGGTAATCAATAGAGGAAAGGTAATCAATAGAGGAAGGTAATCAATAGAGGAAGGTAGTCAATAGAGGAAGGTAGTCAATAGAGGAAGGTAATCAATAGAGGAAGGGAATCAATAGAGGAAGGGTAATCAATAGAGGAAGGTAGTCAATAGAGGAAGGTAATCAATAGAGGAAGGGTAATCAATAGAGGAAGGGTAATCATTATAGGAAGGGTAATCAGTAGAGGAGGGGCAATCAGTAGAGGAAGGTAATCAGTAGAGGAAAGGTAATCAATAGAGGAAGGTAATCAATAGAGGAAGGGTAATCAATAGAGGAAGGTAATCAATAGAGGAAGGTAGTCAATAGAGGAAGGTAGTCAATAGAGGAAGGTAATCAATAGAGGAAGGGTAATCAATAGAGGAAGGTAATCAATAGAGGAGGGGCAATCAGTAGAGGAGGGGCAATCAGTAGAGGAAGGTAATCAGTAGAGGAAAGGTAATCAATAGAGGAAGGTAATCAATAGAGGAAGGGTAATCAATAGAGGAAGGTAATCAATAGAGGAAGGTAGTCAATAGAGGAAGGTATTCAATAGAGGAAGGTATTCAATAGAGGAAGGTAGTCAATAGAGGAAGGTAGTCAATAGAGGAAGGTAGTCAATAGAGGAAGGGTAATCAATAGAGGAAGGTAGTCAATAGAGGAAGGTAGTCAATAGAGGAAGGTAGTCAATAGAGGAAGGGTAATCAATAGAGGAAGGTAATCAATAGAGGAAGGGTAATCAATAGAGGAAGGTAATCAATAGAGGAAGGTAGTCAATAGAGGAAGGGTAATCAATAGAGGAAGGTAATCAATAGAGGAAGGGTAATCAATAGAGGAAGGTAATCAATAGAGGAAGGTAGTCAATAGAGGAAGGTAGTCAATAGAGGAAGGGTAATCAATAGAGGAAGGTAGTCAATAGAGGAAGGGTAATCAATAGAGGAAGGTAATCAATAGAGGAAGGGTAATCAATAGAGGAAGGTAATCAATAGAGGAAGGGTAATCAATAGAGGAAGGTAGTCAATAGAGGAAGGTAGTCAATAGAGGAAGGTAATCAATAGAGGAAGGTAATCATGAATAGATACTACAAGTCATGAACTTTTCAACCCACAGAGCAATCAGGTGAAAGGGTTGATGTTTCTGAGGTGGGTTCCTTTTTCTTCCTCCTTTAAAGTTTTTTTGTTAATTTTTTTCTTTTTTTTATTGAGACAGTCTTGCTCTGCCACCCAGGCTGGAGTGTGGTGGTGTGATCTCTGCTCACTACAACCTCTGCCTTTTGGATTCAAGCAATTCTCAAGTCTTAGCCTCCTGAATAGCTGGGATTACAGGCATATACCACCAAACCTGGCTAATTTTTGTATTTTTAGTAGAGACGGGGTTTCGCCATATTGGCCAGGCTGGTCTCAAACCCCTTGGCCTCAAACAATTCACCTGCCTCGGCCTCCCAAAGTGCGGGGATTACCAGCATGAGCCACCATGCCAGTCCTTTCTTTGTTAATTTTTAATTACATAAGAATACAAGATATATTTTAGCGAGTTAATTCAAAGGTGTGTGAAAAAGAGAAAGAGCAAGACTCCGTCTCAAAAAAAAAAAAAAAAGAAAAAAAAAGAAAAAGAAACATCTCTTCTACTTACCCTCATCTCCAAACCCTTTCTCTGTGTTCCTACAAACATATACTTGATAAAGGGGTGGGGTTTTTTTGGCTTTTGTTTTAGCAATAAAAATAGGCTCTTACCCAACACTCTGCATGGTGCTTTTTTCACTTAAAAGAGTATCAGGAGCATCCCTCCAGGCCAACGGATACAGATTTTACATTATTCATTTTCATGGCTGAGTAAAATCTCACAATATAGTGTATTATAATTAATCACCTATCGATGGACATTCAAATCAATTTCTAGGTTTTTTTACTTTTTTAATTTTAGAGACAGGGTATTGCTCTGTCACCCAGGATGGAGTGCCGTGGCACAATCATGGCTCGCTGCAGCCTTGACCTCCTGGGCTCACGTGATCCTCCTACCTCAGCCTCCCCAGTAGCTGGGACTACAGGTGCACACCACTGCACCTACCAAACTTTTAAATTCGTATATTTTGTAGAGATGGGAGTCTCACTGTGTTGTCCAGGCTGGTCTCAAAGTCCTGAGCTCAAGCTGTCCACCCACCTTGGCCTTCCAAAGTGCTGGAATTACAGGCATGAGCCACCATCCTTGGCCAACGAGATTATTATTATTATTATTATTATTGAGATGGAGTCTCACTCTGTCGCCAGGCTGGAGTGCAGTGGCACAATCTCGGCTCACTGCAACCTCTGCCTCCTGGGTTCAAGAAATTCTCCTGCCTCAGCCTCCTGAGTAGCTGGGACTACAGGCGCCCGCTACACGCCGAGCTCATTTTTTGTATGTTTAGTAGAGACAGGGTTCACCGTGTTGGCCAGGCTGGTCTCGATCTCCTGACCTCGTGATCCTCCCGCCTTGGCCTCCCAAATTGCTGGGATTACAGGCATGAGCCACCGTGCCCGGCCGAAGATGATTTTTAAATATTCATAAGGACACAATTGTTCACAGAAGCATTATAACCAAAAAGTGGCAACAACTCGTACGTCCATCAGCTGATGAATGGATAAAATATGGTGTAATCACACAGTGGAACGTTATTCAGTCGTAGGAAGAAAGTGCTGATCCACGCTGCAGCCTGGATGAGCCTTGAAAACACCATGCGAAGTGGAAGAAGCCGGAGACGAAAGGCCGCGTGTTGTGTGATCTCATCTATATGAGCAGGTGGGAACAAGCCAGTGCACAGAGGCAGACAGTAGATGGGCGGTTGCCAGGGCTTGGGGAGGATGGGGAGGGGAATGGGGACTGACTGCTAATGGGTACACAGAGCTGATGCAAATGGTCTGAAACTAGATCGTGGTGGTTACGTAAACGTATGGCTATACTAAAAACCACTGACTTGTATACTTTCTGAGGGTACCTTTTATGGTATATAAATTATATTTCAGTTTTTAAAATTCATAAGGTGGAGAATAGCTTACAACAAAAAAACCTTTTTTTTTTTTTGAGACGGAGTTTCACTCTTGTTGCCCAGGCTGGAGTGCAATGGCATGATCTCAGCTCACTGCAACCTCCACCTCCTGGGTTCAAGTGATTCTCCTGCCTCAGCCTCCTGAGTAGCTGGGATTACAGGCTTGCACCACCACGCCCCGCTAATTTTGTATTTTTAGTAGAGATGGGGTTTCTCCATGTTGGTCAGGATGGTCTTGAACTCCTGACATCAGGTGATCCATCCACCTTGGCCTCCCAAAGTGCTAGGATTAGAGGCGTGAGCCACTGCACCTGGCCAAAAAACTCTTTCTAATAGCAAGGGTAGGCTGGGTACACTGGCTCATGCCTGTAATCCCAGCATTTTGGGAGGCCAAGTCAGGAGGATTGCTTGAGTCAAGAGTTCAAGACTAGCCTGGGCAACGTAACGAGACACTGTCTCTACAAATAAATTTGTAAGACTTAGCCAGGTGTGGTGGCACATAGCTGTAGTCCCAGCTACTCAGGAGGCTAAGGTGGGAGGATCACTTGAGCCCAGGAGCTTGAAGCGGCAGTAAGCTGAGACTGCACCACTGCACTCCAGCCTGGGTGAAAGAGTGAGACCCCTATCTCTCAAAAAAACAAAACAAAACAAAACAGAATCGGGAGGGTAGTGGAAAGAACTATCCAGCCAAATTTTAAAGCTTACTATAAAGTTACTGAAATCAGTAAGAACGATATAGTATTGGCATCAGGATAAACAGAATATTTATTTGTAGGAATAAACAGACGAGTGGAATAGACAAGAGTAGAGAAAGGGTAGCCTGAGAATGTATGGACGCCAACCATAAGTCACTTTTCAACTTAATGAGAAGCTAACAGACCTATCTCATAACTGGAGCTGGTGCAATTAGATTTCTTTCTCCTTCTAGGTGTATCCAGAAACACACTGCAGATAGGTAAGATCGAAATGTTAAAAATAACACAATGAAAGTATTAGGGAAAGAGTAGACGTGTTCCTGTCCTCTGTGTTATCTCAGGGAGACCCAGTGACTGCACTGCACCTGCAGGACAGGTGCGCTGACTACCTGAGTTTGCTGCTCTCTCCCTCCCCTGGACGCTGGGTATTGATTTTGGCCAAGGAGTTGCCTGCAGACCCCTTGGTGGGTCCCAGCAGGGTATTCCTTCTTTCCCCAGGAGGGGGTGGGGAACGGCCTGGCCTGAGTACCTCTTGGTACCTGGTCACAGGGTCTGCCTCTGAGCGATGTCTCTCCCCCTCCACCTGATCCCTGCAGACAGTGTGTGCTCTCCCCTGCTCTTCCTGGCATACCATTGCTCATATATGACAGCAGTAAAGTCAGCTTTTGCATAGGGCCTGGTCCCTGAGGTCCCCTGTGGTATATGAGGTGTAAATGGCGGCACCGGTGCTGTGGGCCCCGGGGTGTAACACCTTTAGAGCTGGGTTCATCCCCTCCACAGGCTTCTTGCCTTCAAGCTGGATTTCCACCCTGTGCACAGAGAGAGAGCTGCTGGGGGTGGGAGGTGAAAGTAGCCACATCAACATGGCATACTTGAGTAGCGAAAGAGTACATCTTTTTCTCATAAAATACGAAGCTCAGAGGAAGGAGCCACGGCTTCGGTTCAGCAGCTTCAGTGATGTCAGGACAGATGTCTTTGCAATTCTTCTCTTTCCCTCATGGTCACAAGATGGGTGCTGCAGTTCCAGCTGTCACTGTAAAGAAAGGAAGAACGATAAAGGCGCGGCTGGAGTCACTACGCGCGGAAGCGATTCTCAGGTGGACGTTGTTCTCTGCCTCCAACGCCGAGGACAGTTAACAGGATGCGGCTTCTTCTCTTCAACCTCCAGAGCTGTGACCCGCAGGCACCGCTGCCTAGGTCTGCCCTGGAGTTTCGTTTCTTTTCTTTTCTCTCTCTCTCTTTTTCTCTTTCTCTCTCTCTTTCTGGAGTTTCGTTTCATTTTGTTGCTTTTCTTTCTCTCTCTCTCTTTTTCTCTTTCTCTCTCTCTTTCTGTCCCTCCCTCTTTTCTTTTCTCCTTCCTTCCTTCCTCTTCCTTTCTCTTCCTTCCTTTCTTTCTCTCTCTCTCTCTTTCTCTCTTCTTTCTTTCTTTTCTTTCTTTCTCAGGGTTTCACTCTGTCACCTAGGCTGGAGTGGAGTACAGTGGCTCAGTCTCAGCTAACTGCACACGACTTCCCGGACTCAAGCAATCCTCCCACCTCTGCCTCCCAAGTAGCTGGCCATGTACCACCGCACCTGCTAATTTTTTTTGTATCTGTAGAGACGGGGTGATTCCACGTTGTCCAGGCCTGGTCTTGAACTCTTGGGCTCAAGTCATCTGTCTGGCTCAGCCTCCCAAAATTCTGGTACTACAGGCATGAGCCACCGCACCTGGCCTGCTGTGTCATTTCTGCCTGCCTTTCTCAATTGTGACTGAGCGCCTGACACCAGGGGCCTGAAGCCAGTGTTCAGAGGGCTCTCAGGTGGGGGCCAGGACCTCTGGATTCATGAGGTTTTACCATGTGGACCTCGGCCTGGGATCCTGGGGTATCATTGAAAGCCTTGTCACTGGGCTGTGGCCTGGCCAGATTTGGGGAGGCCTCTCCACTTTGCCCAGCACCATCAAAAGCCCTGCTCACAGGGTGTAAATACCCATTTCCTCCTCACGTCCATGCCCTTAGAGAGGAACCAAAAAGCTCCCAGGCTGGGACACAGGCAGCTCCGGCTGGGAGGCAAATTCCTTTTCCCTTCTCCTCTGAGGCCTGGGTCATTGTCCCTCCTCAGGCCTCTCTGCAGGAATCCTGCCGCCTTCCACCGTCCATCCTTCCCCAGAGGGGAGTGCAGGCCTCCTGGGTGGCTTTGAACGGGGTGACATACCGGTTCCCTTCAAGGTCTGTTCCAGAACAGGGTGACACACTGGTTCCCTTACAGGTTTTGGATTTGTTCCAGGTGGGGAGTTTTAAGAAAAATGGGAGTTTCACGATCACTTCAGTGGCTCACTTGATGTTAGACAGATTTTACAAATTCCAAACTGTGGTCCTTTTTGTGGTGGCGTGAAAGCAAGCCTGAGGGTTCTGTGTGGGTTGAACAGCCTGGTTCAGCTCAGGCCGCAAATGTTTGCCGGGGCCGCCCTTCCCCAGTGATCCTGCCGCCCCCACCCCACGCCCTCTACCTGTCTTCCGGGAAGAGCTGAGTCCCTCCGAGCTGTACTAGCCCCAGCGCTCTGTGACTCATGGCCGCTAACCCAGCTGGTGCTCAGAGCAGCCTCCAGGGCAGCTACAGACGGTGGAATGGACTGTCGATGATGGATGAGGAGGGGAAGGCTGACCAGGGTCCTGTAGGCGGCCAGGCTGTGCCCAAGAGGGCCCAGGATCCCGGCTTCCAAAACCCAGCGCATGCCCCGCCCGTGGCGGAAGCCGTGCAGCGTCAGGCTGTCGCTCAGTTCTCGACGCTCACTGGCTTTTTCTTTTCCGACTGTTGGGGATTTTTGGTTGTGAGGATCAGGGACCACCAAGGCTGGCACGAGGTAGAGGTTGCTGCCAGACCACTGAGGAAGGTTCTCCCAGAATCAGGGCGGGAGACGAAGGCTGGCGAGGCCGCGAGGAGACAGACAGGGCGGCTGAGCTGCTTCTACTTGTGCCAGCTCTGTGCTCCCGACGCCCGCTCTGCAGCTTGCCAGCCCTCCAAGCCAACCATCTGCCCCACCCCCACCCCGCTCTCAGGACCTCACGTCCATACTTGGGAGAAAAAGTGATTGGCCCAATTATTTCTGTTCTGTGTCCGATAGTCAAACATAACGGATGGCGTGGCCAGTGTCCGATAGTCAAACATAACGGATGGCGTGGCCAGCTAAGGCCACTTCTCCCAGACCCAGAGCAGAGCTGAGGCAGGGCAGGGGACATTTAGGTTTCCTTGATCAATAGCCACAGCAGGGGACATTTAGGTTTCCTCGATCAATAGCCATCCAGCCACAGAACTGAGTGTTTTGCATCTGACGGAGGAGTGAGCTCCCTGTCAATGGCAGCATTCAAGCCCAGAGGTAGGACATTAGAGTGGGGGTCCTGTGGGTCAGGAGCTGTGAGAAGCTCACTGTGGGCTGGCACTGTGTGTCCAGAGTTAAGCCCAGGTCGGGAGCAGGGCTGGCACAGTGTGAGGCCTTCTGTGCTCCAAGATCAGGGAAGCCATGTGGCCGACCCCAGCTTTGAACCTGGAACCCCCGTCTTGTTAGTGCGGAGCCACCGCCGACCCCAGCTTTGAACCCGGGACCCGTCTTGTTACTGCAGAGCCTTGGCCGACCCCAGCTTTGACCCATGGACCCGTCTCGTTAGTGTGGAGCCTTGGCCGACCCCAGCTTTGAACCCTGGACCCGTCTTGTTACTGCGGAGCCTCCGCCGACCCCAGCTTTGAACCCGGGACCCGTCTTGTTACTGCGGAGCCTCCGCCGACCCCAGCTTTGAACCCTGGACCCGTCTTGTTACTGCGGAGCCTCCGCCGACCCCAGCTTTGAACCCTGGACCCGTCTTGTTACTGCGGAGCCTCCGCCGACCCCAGCTTTGAACCCTGGATCCGTCTTGTTAGTGTAGAGCCTCCGCCGACCCCAGCTTTGAACCCTGGATCCGTCTTGTTAGTGCAGAGCCTCGGCCGACCCCAAATTTGAACCCTGGATCCCTCTTGTCACTGCAGAGCCTCGGCCGACCCCAGATTTGAACCCTGGATCCCTCTTGTCACTGCAGAGCCTCGGCCGACCCCAGCTTTGAACCCGGGACCTGTCTTGTTAGTGTAGAGCCTCGGCCGACCCCAGCTTTGAACCCGGGATCCATCTTGTTAGTGCGGAGCCTCCGCCGACCCCAGCTTTGAACCCGGGATCCGTCTTGTTAGTGTGGAGCCTCCGCCAACCCCAGCTTTGAACCCGGGACCCGTCTTGTTACTGCAGAGCCTCCGCCGACCCCAGCTTTGAACCCGGGACCCGTCTTGTTAGTGTAGAGCCTCGGCCGACCCCAGCTTTGAACCCTGGATCCGTCTTGTTAGTGTAGAGCCTTGGCCGACCCCAGCTTTGAACCCTGGATCTGTCTTGTTAGTGCGGAGCCTCGGCCGACCCCAGCTTTGAACCC
This sequence comes from Homo sapiens, assembly GCF_000001405.40. Taxonomy (NCBI): domain Eukaryota; kingdom Metazoa; phylum Chordata; class Mammalia; order Primates; family Hominidae; genus Homo; species Homo sapiens. The sequence goes on along the minus strand of NW_003315952.3, from coordinate 186,974 downwards.
TGGATCCCTCTTGTTACTGCAGAGCCTCGGCCGACCCCAGCTTTGAACCCGGGACCTGTCTTGTTAGTGTAGAGCCTCGGCCGACCCCAGCTTTGAACCCAGGATCCATCTTGTTAGTGCGGAGCCTCCGCCGACCCCAGCTTTGAACCCTGGATCCATCTTGTTAGTGTGGAGCCTCCGCCGACCCCAGCTTTGAACCCGGGATCCGTCTTGTTAGTGTGGAGCCTCCGCCGACCCCAGCTTTGAACCCAGGATCCATCTTGTTAGTGCGGAGCCTCCGCCGACCCCAGCTTTGAACCCTGGATCCATCTTGTTAGTGTGGAGCCTCCGCCGACCCCAGCTTTGAACCCGGGACCTGTCTTGTTAGTGTGGAGCCTCCGCCGACCCCAGCTTTGAACCCGGGACCCGTCTTGTTACTGCAGAGCCTCCGCCGACCCCAGCTTTGAACCCGGGACCCGTCTTGTTAGTGTAGAGCCTCGGCCGACCCCAGCTTTGAACCCTGGATCCGTCTTGTTAGTGCAGAGCCTCGGCCGACCCCAGCTTTGAACCCGGGACCCGTCTTGTTAGTGTAGAGCCTCCCCCGACCCCAGCTTTGAACCCGGGATCCATCTTGTTAGTGCAGAGCCTCCGCCGACCCCAGCTTTGAACCCGGGATCCCTCTTGTTACTGCAGAGCCTCAGCTGACCCCAGCTTTGAACCCTGCACCTGTCTTGTTAGTGCAGAGCCTCGGCCGACCCCAGCTTTGAACCCGGGACCCGTCTTGTTAGTGAGTGAAGAGCCTCCGCCCACCGAGCTAATAAGCAGCCCTGTGGCTGCCGTTTTTCCGTCAAACGCATATGCTGTTTCCTGACTTCTTCACGCGGCATGCTATTTATACCAGCCGATCCATTCATTCTTAATGAGGTGCAGTTGTGGATTGTAAAATGTTTTATTTTCAGATAGGATTGCTGACCGCCCAGAGCCAGCTGCTGCTATGCCGCCTTCCTTCTCTCTCTGTCCCTGAGAGATTTGCATTTTGGAAGCTCAGCCTCCTTCTCCTCACCCCCAGCCCACTCCCCACCCCCGTATTTTGCTAGCAGACTCTGGATTTGCCATTTCTGTCACATATACCAGCCGCGGTACGTGAATTCTCCACAGCCTTCAGAGCAGCTGGGAGTGTGTGTTGTACACACCGGGGCCGGGGGGGCTGGAGCTTGCAGAAGGAGGCGGAATGGAGTAGGAAGCCTCCCTGTCAGGAGGTGGGTGCCGTCTGTCCTCTGGGACCACACATTTGCCTGTGTTTTGGGTCACAGACTGGTGGAGCAGTGATTCAATCTGGCCTACTGCTTAAAATTCATTGTCAACTAGTTTAAATGTGGAGAACTCTCATTTTTAAAAAAACTGGAGCTCTGGCTTCCTTTGTGGAAGTCAGAAGGGCTTCCGATACCTCCCTGCTCAGGGAAGTTGGTCAGGGTAAGTAGCCGCTCCCTGCTCAGGGAAGTTGGTCAGGGTAAGTAGCCGCTCCCTGCTCGGGGAAGTTGGTCAGGGTAAGTAGCCGCTCCCTGCTCGGGGAAGTTGGTCAGGGTAAGTAGCCGCTCCCTGCTCAGGGAAGTTGGTCAGGGTAAGTAGCCGCTCCCTGCTCGGGGAAGTTGGTCAGGGTAAGTAGCCGCTCCCCGCTTGGGGGAAAGTTGGTCAGGGTAAGTAGCCGCTCCCTGCTCAGGGAAGTTGGTCAGGGTAAGTAGCCGCTCCCTGCTCAGGGAAGTTGGTCAGGGTAAGTAGCCGCTCCCTGCTCAGGGAAGTTGGTCAGGGTAAGTAGCCGCTCCCTGTTCGGGGAAGTTGGTCAGGGTAAGTAGCCGCTCCCTGCTCGGGGAAGTTGGTCAGGGTAAGTAGCCGCTCCCTGCTCGGGGAAGTTGGTCAGGGTAAGTAGCCGCTCCCTGCTCGGGGAAGTTGGTCAGGGTAAGTAGCCGCTCCCTGCTCAGGGAAGTTGGTCAGGGTAAGTAGCCGCTCCCCGCTTGGGGGAAAGTTGGTCAGGGTAAGTAGCCGCTCCCTGCTCAGGGAAGTTGGTCAGGGTAAGTAGCCGCTCCCTGCTCAGGGAAGTTGGTCAGGGGAAGTAGCCGCTCCCCGGTTGCATTCTGTGGTTTGCTGCAGTCCCCACCCGGCCCTGTTGTCTCTGACACCCTTTCAGCATCACCGTTGCAGTGTTTTTAAGAAGAAAGTGAAACCGTTCTTGTTTCACATCCCTGTGAAAAGAAAGAAGACAGACCAATAGGGGTGCCTGTTGCAAGAAAAATGGGCATGCTTCTCTCAGAAGGGAAGGGCCCTCATGTCCAGCTCACTTCACTCCCTGACCTTTGCACCTGGCCAGTGGGAGGCAGGGGCATGACCAGGTCACGTCTGTGTGACTGTACTCCTAACCCTGACCCCTTGACCCTGCCCCTAGTGGCTGCCATGACCATGGAGGTGGCCCAACGTGACCTCATCAGCAGGGCTTACAGGCCCAGCCCCCACAGGGCTGGTGTTTTCCTGGGGGACTCCTGGGCCGGACAGTCTTGGCGTTGGAAGTCCTTTTTCCTCTCTAGGTGTTGGTTTCCCCATGAGTAGAATGGATGAGGGGCTGGGACAGAGTCTGTTCTCTCCCAGCGGTCGTGTCTTACAGGTCTAAATCCAAGGGAATGAAACTTACAGAGGAATTTCAGGCGGGGGGTAGAGCAGTGGCTGGTAAGGCAGCTCTCAGATCAGGCTCTACTGGAAAGCCCAGCCCCATTTCCGTGTTGGCCCCACCCTCTGCACACACACGCACACATGCCACACAGACAGGCACATGCTGTCAAACGAAATCCCGTCAGACCCACCCAGCATCCCCACTATGCTTTGATAAGCGCTCACTAAGTGCCATGAACTGACTGAAGCTTCCTTCCCAAGTCCTAGCCCCAGGAAGGCCTCTTATGCTTAATTATCACCTTCCCCATCTCTGTTCATTTTCCTCCCTGCATGGATTCTGTAGTCCCAGGGAGCTGGAAGTACCTGGGATTTTTGAAATGTAAAGCTAATAGAAGCCAACACACACACACACACACACACACACACACACACACACACACACACACACGCCGGAAAGGACTGTTTAGAGACAAGGAAGGGGGGAGTTGTCTTTGAACCACCTGAGAACGGCACCACAGGCCCTGTGTGGCACCTTGGAAGCCACTGACTCAGATCTCCCTGGTGCAGGTCTGCTGTTTGGGTCAAGAAAATAAACAATCAAACAATGTCATAGACAGTTGTGTCTGTGGCTCTGGTCCAGCCAGACACTTGGGGAATGAATGTCATCCCTCCCAGCTGAGACAGGGCGAGGGGAGGGGGGTGACGCTGCACTGCCTGAGGCCACCGTGGGTCCCGCTGGGAGAGACACTGATAGTCGGCCTTGGTCTTCTCAGGCAGCTGCCATTCTGCCAGGGTCAGCCGAGGCCTGGGTACCATTTGCCTGTCTGTCTGTGCAGGTAAAAGGGATGGGCTTTGGCCCTTGGTGCTGAGGAGTCCGATAAAAACAGCAACAGCTGTAGCTGCCATAGATGACACGGGTGCTCATTGCAGGCTGTCCTGGGCGCTGTGCGTCTCCGTTATTTCGTGTCATCCCCCAACAACCTGTGACGGGGCCGCTACTGTTGTCCCATTTTACAGAATAGGAAACTAAGTCATGGAGAGGTCAAATAATTTGCACCGTAGTCTCAGCATGGAAAGGCAGAGAAACACCTGCAGCAGTCAGGAAACTGCCCTTTCCCTAAATCTCAGGGGAGTAGAGGCCCGGCCACGTCTTGCTTGGCGGGTGTTTTGAAACGGAAGCTCACACACACGAATTTGTTTTGACCTTTGGAGCTCTTGGTTAAGCCAGACACAAGCTCAGTGATGAGGGGCATGAATGGAGGGGCCGCCCCCAGAACAGATGTCCTGAGCACAAATGAGCCGCTGTTGCTTTCCTGCCACACCCGACCTCTTCCCCCAGCAGCCCACCTGCCTGTCGTGGGCCTCCTCGCTGGCTTAGAGGTGGATTTCCAAGAGCAGAAGGCCCTCATCAGCCACACCACGGAGGTCAGGAGCATGGCTGTCGCCTCTAATTTGCCCGAGACCCAATGACAACCTTGGCTGATTGGTCAATTCCAGCTGCAAGGTGACATCTGCGGGCCCCTTGCCCCTGTCTTAGCTGAACTGGGAGAGTGGGGCCCAGCCCCCAAGGGCCAGCCTCTGGCTTGCTTTTGGTGTGCAGAGCTCCCGTGTGTGCCTGGCCCATGCTAGCCTCTGCCTCGTGCAGTGAAGCACGTCCATCTCCAGCCGCTCACCTGTCTCGGGGACTAAGTGAAGTGAATAAATCTGGGCCTCTCTGCCCCATCTGATTCCAGCAAAGGCCTGGGAGATAACCGCCCTGGCTCCTGTCAGCTCTCAGCTCTCTCCCAGGGCCAACTGTCCGTCACAGGTGAGGCCTGGCCTTGCACATGGGGCTCAGCTGATTTCCCGCTGGTGGTCCAGAAGTGGGCAGCAGGGCCCTGGCCTGCACACAGGAAGGGGCAGGCAGGCCTCCCTACCTTGGTTGCTCCTGGGATAGACAGGAGTTCCAGGCAAAGCAGGCAGCCCACCCCAAACCTAAGCTCTGACCACAGACCCCATGGGCCTGAGGGAGTGAGATTCCAGCCCAAGTGGGGGAACCTGAGGCACAAACCCAGAGGCCAAGAAAGCAGTGCCCTGAGGATATGTGACAGAGAGACCTGGGGAGGGAGAGACAGAGATGGAGGCCCAGAGATGCAGAGAGGCAGATCCTGGAGAGTGAGAGGAGCTGGCATAGACAGAAGGAGGAACCAAGAAACACTCTAGAAGGCTCTGAACACACAAAGACACAGATACGGAGGGAAATGAAGATAAGAAATTCAGAGGCAGAGGGAGAGTTTGGAAACATCAGCAAGAGGCCGGGTGCCATGGCTCACGCCTGTGATCCCAGCACTTCGGGAGGCCAAGGCGGCTGGATCCCTCGAGCCCAGGAGTTCGAGACCAACCTGGACAACATAGCGAGACCCTGTCTCTATGAAAAACAACAACAACAACAACAACAAACAAGGGAGGCACAAAGAGATGAGGTGGAAGAACAGTGAAGGCCCCAGAGACACACGGAGAGAAAGGCTGGAGTCAGGATGCACCCGAAAGCACGTCCTGCACCCCAGTGAAGTCGTGGGCAGGGGGCATAGGCTTGCCGTGTTTCATTCTTTCATAAACCAAAAGCCATCATCTGTCCCTGACAGTGCAGACCACACCCAACCCAGACCAGGCCATGTCCCCTGTATGCCTGAGCCTGGGGCCTTTCTCCTGAGCCAGCAGGATGGTCCTGGCCCCAGAGGAGTCCACTGCCTGGCCTTTGCTTTTCCTGTTCTCTGTCCAGGATGCCTGGCACACCCCAGCCTCAGCTTTTGTGTCTAAATTATGCCCATCCTTAAATTCCAGCTCGTCCAGGAAGCCCTTACTGAGTGCCCCTCTCTCCCTGAATGGTCCCCCGCACTTCGCGTTCTCTCTGGAGGGAGCCGATCTCTTCTTCCGTCCATCCACCTTTCATTCTATCTGGAGCTCCTCAAGCGAGTGCAGGGACTGTGAGATTTCGATGCTGGTGACCACATCTCTATCGATTTGAGGATTTGTCTTCGTTATCTGGTGCCTCCTGTCTGTCTCTGGGCCTGAAGGAGGGAGTAAATGAAAATCGATGGTAAATGAATAAGCAAGTGCAGGACGCCCTCCTCCACTCCCCAGACCTGGATTCCCAGCCCTGTCTGTGCCCATCAGCTCCCGTGCCTGGGGCTGTCCTCGGGGGCCTTTCCATGGCAGCCTGGAAGGGGGACCAAGGAAGCAGCGCTCCCCAGGTACCATGTCCTCTCCAGCCCTCTGAGGTAGTCCTGTGGCTGTCAGGGGTGGTCAGGTGGTAGCCAGCAAAGGGCCAGAAGCACACCCCATATCTCCTGGCTCCAGGGTCCCTGAGGGAGGGAGGGAGGGGCAGGCTCTGAGCTGCTTCTGGCTGCCAGTGGACCCCTCCCTAAGCGGACAGGCCCTCTGGGCCTCAGAGCCCCCTTTCTCCCTTTCCAGACCCACAACCTGCAGGGAGTTTCCAAACCAAAGGAAGAGCGTGTTTCCCCCAACCCTGCACCCTGGCCCGGAGGTGGGTTTGGAAGAGCAGGCTGTGTGAACCGGGCACTCTCCCCCAGGACCCACTCATCCATGGCCATGGAAGCAGCCTCCTACAGCCCCTCCCCATTCAGCTGTTTTTTGCCAGGCTGAGGCCACCAAGCATCCCCCTGAGTGTCCCTTCAGGGGAGGCTGGGAGAGGGGCCTGGCATCCCTGAGGTCCCTCCGTCGTGGCTCAGAAGGGCTGCTTGCCCAGCGCTTGTCCTGGGGGAAACCCCAGCTCTTTGGGGGACATGGAGGTGACAGATGGGGTCTGGGGTCTCCTTTCCCTCTGTGGCCCACCCCTTGCTGACCCCAGCTGGCCCTGCTGTCTTTGTACAGTGCGGTTTCCTGTCCTGGGGAGCATTTTCAGGAAAACAGTCAGCAAGTATTTCCTGAGTAACCGCTTTGCCCAAAACCCAGCAGTGGGGCTGAGGGAAGGGACACTTGCCTTTAGGTATGGCCTTGCCCTCGAGTGGTGCCTGAATATGTTGAGGAAGTTGAGGCAGGCATTGGTAGGAGCTGAAATGCAAGCCAGACAGCATCTGGGTGGGGAGAGGAGGGAGGTTGCGTCTTCCCTGCTTCTTTCCATTGGCATTTTGCCCGTGAGGATTGAGACTTTTCAGTGGAGAAATGATTTGAATGGGTTCCTGGAGGGGGTGGATTAGATTCTAATTTTTTAAAAATATGTATAGGCTTGTATAGCCTTTTAAATTTGCAAAGCTGTTTGTCCTACTTAGTAGTTATTTTTGTCTCCATTTTACAGATGGGAAGACTGAGGTTGAAAAAGATTAAGGTATTTGCCCAAGAGCATCCAAGGCAGGACCAGAGCTCAACCCTAGCTGCTGAGAGTGAACTAGAGCTCTCTCCCACACTGCAGCCTCTGCTGCGACAGAAAAAGGGTCCAGAGAGGGCACAGAAGAGCATGGTGGGGAGACCGAGAGGGGACTGGCCGCCTGGAGAGGAGGATTTCTGAGGGGATAGAGCCGTTAGGGTCAGGCAGGACCCTGGGGCATCCTGCGTGCTTGGTGAGGTGGAAAAGCGGGGTGTCTGGCAATAGAAAGGCCTGGGTTCAAATCCCAGCTCTGCCTCTGAATGACTTCTGAAGGCATCCTGTGTCCTGGGTGTCCTACAAAGCCCAGCTTGGGAATCCACACTTCCTCGAAAGGGGAGAGTCCACCTGCGAGGTTGGCCTGGGCACCCCAGGGCCAGCCTGTGCTGCATGGTGTGGGCCCGTGAGTTCCAGCTGCCTCTGAAATGTAACAGCTCTTGCCTATCAAGCACCTACCACAGGCCAGATGCCGACCGCGTTACTCCTTTTGACCCTCACGACAACCCGGGGTGAGAGTCCCCATCCCCCTTTCCGCAGGCGAGCCCCTGAGCACACAGAGAGGTAAAGGACTGCTCCAGGGCCGGGCACTCACGCCTGTAATCTCAGCACTTTGGGAGACCGAGGCGGGAGGATTGTTTGAGCCCAGGAGTTACAGACCAGCCCTGGCAAATAGGGAGATGATGTCTTTACAAAAACTAAAAATAAAAAATAGGAAACTGGCCTAAAGTTATACCACTGGGAGGTGGCAGAGGCAGGACACCAACCCAAGTCTCAGAGCCGGTGACTCCCCCACCCCAGGCTCCCCTCCAGCTGCCACCAAGATGGAGCCCCAGCCTTGGGAGACATCTCAGTGGGACTTCAGGCCAAGGACCCTACCCTGTGTGCAGGTGGAGCAGCCGTCCCCTGTCCCAGCAGGGACAGACAGTCCTGCGTCTCTGCAGCTGTGCCTGCCTGGTGGGCTGGAGACGGCTAATTGGGAGTGTCTACACTCCCAGGGGCCTTATCATCATTCCTTTACATTAGAGAATTTTTTTTTTGTTTTTAGTATGCAAAATTTTCCACCATCTGCTTTGCCTTGGCAGAATGTTTGCTGAAAATATCTCTCTTCCTCTATAATTCCCATAATTTCTGGGGGCTTTGGGAGCCTCCAAGCAGAGTGGCCGTAGCTCACAAGTGCCTCCCAAACTCAGGCTGCTGGCTGTCCTTGTGCCGGGCGGCAATGCTCTGTGGCCCAGTGGGAGCATCTCCCCACCCCGACCAGGGAGAGGCACCAGGGCTGTCTCCACCCATGGGCTGACCCAAGGTTAAATCCCAGGATTCAGACCCAGAGTGGGTGCCTGGGTCAGCCCCTGTGTTTTTGTAGTGAAGCCTGGAGAGATGCCTGGGGCCACGGAGACAGGTGGTGGCTGAGCAGAGCCTGGAAGCAGGGCCCCCACATCCCAGCGCAGTGCTGTGAGGCCACACGGCCAGCATGACGCCTGTCCCCTGGACCATCCCAGGCCAGGCCTCTCCACAGGACAGCTGCCACCCATGTCCTTTGAGGCAGTCAAGAAAGCGTTTCCAGAAGGAAAGACTCTTCCCCCCGCTCCGTGTACCAAAACCCTGCGTTTCCATGGTGACAGTCAAATTGCAAACCCAGCCAAGAGTGAGCAGGGGGAAAGAAAAGCTGGCCTCTCCCCAGAGAAGTGGGCACGGCTGGCGCTGGGGCTGGCCACTGCTGAGGATGAGCACCAGGCAAGCAGGCAGCCCTTCTGGGCTGCAGTGGGGAAGCCTCAGGGATGCCAGGTCCCCAGCAAGTGGCTCAGGCCCCTGTGGAGGGGCCCAGGAGGGGAGCTTCTCCCCCACCCCTGCCTCTCGGCGGCACCCGGGTGACTCCATGATACTTCTTCCTCCGAAAGGCTGTTGGGACAGCCTTCTCCCTGGTGTACTCGCATCTTCCATCTGAAAAACCAGGCGTGGGCAGAATACAGGGCTCGTCGGTGAGCCATCCCAGACTCAGCCTTTGGAGAATTAGAGAGAAAAAAAATGTATCAGCCTTCAGACACACAGAGTGTTATGTTGAGGATGGAAGAGCAAGGGCCAGATGTATGAGTCTGAAATCTTTGTGAATAGACCTGGAAGACTGACAATCACAGCTGCTATGCAGGGAGAAAGGTGGCAACAGCAATCGAATGGCAAATTAGCCGAAGTTTGAGTTTTACGGTGACATTTCAATGGAGGGAGGAAGAAGAAAAGGCTTCTTCCTTTGCAGCCCGAGGAAGCCAGGAACATTTGGGGACACCGTGTTTGTGTTGGGCCCAGGGCTTCTCAGCAGGGTTTGCTCGGTGTGGCCCTTCCGCCCTGCCAGTAAATGCCAAGGCTGGTGCGGGCACTGCTGACTTCCTTTGGTTTATTTCTTTCGAGTGGTGTTTATTAGAGTGGATTAGAAATGGGATTTGGGTCTGTACCACAAAGACCTCTAAGCCCCAGCTTGAAATCCCAACACAGTGAGCAGAGAGGGTCCAGTCACGGAGAGGCTCTTCCCTGCTTCTTCACGGCTGTGGCCCTTTGGGGTCTATAAACGGAGATGAAGAACAAGCCAGGGAGGATGCATCTAATGAGATGAGTCTGTCTCATCGGCTTCCTGGCGCCTGCTGTGTCACCTGTGTGAGCTCAGTTGGCATCTGAGGCTCTTCCCCACTTCTTCACGGCTGTGGCCCTTTGGGGTCTATAAATGGAGATGAAGAACAAGGTGACTGTAACTCAGGGAGGATTTCTACCTGTTTTTTGTGAATCCTTGTGCACACGGGCACCAAATGGGGACTAGGCCAGGTGGCACCCTGACCCTAACTCCACCTCCAGGGTTGCTGTTTTGGATAAAATGCACGACTCATAACAAACGCCGTCCTCACGACATGGCACGGCATGGTTCACGGTTGTCTTGCCGTTTTCGCCTGCTCCCAGCCCAACTCTGTGACCATGTGTGATAGATGACAGAACAAGGAAGAGTGGGGAGATGGAGGGTGAGCTCACCTCCCTAACCCCAGTCCTGGGACATCCCATCCCATCGTCTCCTTCTGAGTCCTTTGACATCTGCCCCTTTGCACCAAAGGAGCCTGGTACTGTGTGACACCACGGAGCCCCGTGCCCACCGCCAGCCCCAGACTGTGTAGATTTTCCATATTAGCTGTGGGGGAGATGGGACATTCCAAGTCAGGAAGCATGACTAGACCTCCCATAAGCATCTCTGCCAGAGAGAGGCGGAAACCGGTGTGCAGACGAGCCACCCCACCCTCCGCAGGACTGTCCTCCTGCTGGACACCTCCCTGCTCCCGGGAAGTGTGAGCCACAGGCCTCTAATTTCACTGTAGCTGCCCCAAGGGCAACATGGGAACAACTTGCTCCAGGAGCCCAGCAGGAATCCCTGGCTCCTTCCCACCTCCTCCTATCCCTTTTTCATGGGACCCATGAGGTTGGCATCTCATCAGTGAGTCAAAACTACAGAAATGCTTATAAAACTGACACCCATGAGGTCCAGTCTTGGTGGATTCATGATCAAAGCAGCTCAGTCCAGGACCCGAAAAACAACTGCAAAATAAGGCAGGTTTTCCTTGCATTTCTCAAGTACTACGAAGAGGGCACACGGACCACAGCCATGCCCCATCCCCATCTCCTCTTGCTGCGGCATCATAAAAGTCCAAGGAGCCGGAGTAGAACTCTTCCTGGGGAGCAGGACAGAAAAAGGCAGAGCCTCTGAGCAGATGGAGGAAGGAGAGGCCAGGCCTGATCCCATGCTCATCACTCTTTTTTTTTTTTTCCATTATATTTTAAGTTCTAGGGTACATGTGCATAACGTGCAGGTTTGTTACATCTGTATACATGTGCCGTGTTGGTGTGCTGCACCCATTAACTCGTCATTTACATTAGGTATATCTCCTAACGCTATCCCTCCCCCCTCCCCCAACCCCATGACAGGCCCGGTGTGTGATGTTCCCCACCCTGTGTCCAAGTGTTCTCATTGTTCAATTCCCACCTATGAGTGAGAACATGCACTGTTTGGTTTTTTGTCTTTGCGATAGTTTGCTGAGAATGATGGTTTCCAGCTTCATCCATGTCCCTACAAAGGACATGAACTCATCCTTTTTTATGGCTGCATAGTACTCCATGGTGTATATGTGCCACATTTTCTTAATCCAGTCTATCACTGATGGACATTTGGGTTGGTTCCAAGTCTTTGCTATTGAGAATAGTCCATGCTCATCACTCTTGCTCCAGTGTACAGGTCAGGTCCACAGAGAGGAGAGCCACACCAGCCTCATTTGCATGTGCAATTTGGTCCCTGCCCTCAAGGAGCCTCACAACCTGCTAGGGGAAGCAGACATGCAAACAGAGCAGACAGTGGTTGGTGCAGTTGTAGCAGAGAGCACAGGGCATTCAGCCAGCCAGGGCACAGGTGAGACGGAGGGCTTCCTGGAGAAGACAGTTTTCTGTGCCAAGAGAAGACGGGTGGGCAGGGCATTCTGGGCAGGGGCAAGCCAGTCCCAGCGGGAGGTGGTGGCAGGAGCCACAAGCCGCAGGAGGCTGGAGGCACCCAGGGTGAGACAGCAGGTGGCGTGGGATGCAGGAGGAAAAGTAGACAAAGGGCAGGAGCCCAGTGTGGTCCTGGGGGCATGGGGAACCTTTAAAGAGGGTGAAGCTGGGATCTGTGCTTTTGCTGGAGCATCCCCTGGCTGTGCAGAGAACACAGAGTGGAGTGCCTGCAGGTGGGGCCCTGGTGGGGCATTGTCACAGGAGTCCAGGTTGGAGGAGCTGACACCTCGAGTTAAGGCAGTGACAATGGTGAGGAAGTGACTGATTTAAGAACCATTTGAGTGAAACTGGCAGGACATGAGGGGAAAAGAGGCAAGACCACGAGTCCCCTGACCTTCATGAAGCACCTACTGTGTGCTGGCCGCTCTGCTGGGGGTGCACCCTTGTGTGCTGGCCTCTCTGCTGGGGGTGAACCTACTGTGTGCTGGCCGCTCTGTTGGGGGCACGCCCACTGTGTGCTGGCCGCTCTGCTGCGGGTGCACAGGGTTGAGAGTCTTCCAGGTCTTCATGGCAGCCAGCTCCAGCCTCTGGTTGCTTGTTCCAAGACCTGTGGCTCCCTTAGCTGAAAGGTGACAGAGGCTGGAGCCATGAAGGCTTTTCCAGAAGCCTCTGGATCTACATGGCAGCTACCGTTTCCTCATCCCAGTGCCCATGGTGGATTTTCATAACTGACCAGGCACTTCCTCCCACTAAGCTTCAGTGCGGTCTCTGAATTCTTCCCTACACACTGCTCCAGAAAGGGCTCACTGGATCAGATGAAACGTGCTAGCCACCGCAGTATAGACGGATTTTGTTTCCAGTCTTACCTCTCACCAGCGGCTCAGGGTTGTTTGGAAGACGATGCTCACTAAGGGCCCAGCAAAGTGCCTGGCATAAGAGCTCAACCCGCCCTAACCTTCCTCCGTAACCACCAGTGTTTTGCATTCCCCAAGGAAAACGCTGACAGGCGCCCATGACTCCTGTCCCATCTGCTGAGTTTCTCGCCTATGAGAGCTGTTACCCTTGATCCAGACCTTCCTGTGCTGTTGTACTTGGTATTGCAATGATATCACTTAATTAAATGTTATGCGAATTGATGGAAAGAGGCAGAAAACAGACAATTGTTTCATGAAAACCGAGACTTTGGAAAGTCTTTTTTTTTTTTTTCTTTTTTGAGACAGAGTCTTGCTCTGTCGCCCAGGCTAGAGTGCAGTGGCGCAATCTCAGCTCACTGCAACCTCCGCCTCCCAGGTTCAAGTGATTCTCCTGCCTCAGCCTCCCGAGTAGCTGGGAGTACACGTGCCCATCACAACGCCAAGCTTACTTTTGTATTTTTAGTAGAGATGGGGTTTCACTATGTTAGCCAGCCTGGTCTTGAGCTCCTGACCTCAAGTGATCCACCCGCCTTGCCCTCCCAAAGTGCTGGGATTACAGGCGTGAGCCACCACACCCAGCCCTGGAAAGTATTGATGGAGGCAACTTGCTTTATAAAAATATATGGAATTAGGGGTGGGCAGGACAACTGTGGAAACCAAGAGGAAGAAATGGAAAAAGGAGGATTCTGCAGTTGTCCTGCTTGGCCAGGGTCTGTGGGTCCCGCTGCAATTCAGAGAAACTGCACCTGGGGTCACAGACAATGCAATACGGGTGCAGTTTATACCTGAGAGACTGTGTGGGCCAATCTTGCAGAAGCACCCAAGCCTGGCATCAAAAGATTGGTGAATGGATGTACATTTCTGTGTTAAAAATTAAAATAGAATGTTTAAAGGGTAGCTATATCCTGTATTATGACTCTCACTGTTGATTACCCAGCCAAATACGGTTTCCATTTAGTCCAGAAAAGAGAGTTTCTCCCACAGTGCATGTTCACTGTGACAACATCCTCACCTCCCCTTGCTGGGATTCCAGCCCCATCCGTCTGGTTCCCTTCCGCATTTGTGAGACTGCACTGTGCGTTACTGGATGAACTGGGATGAGAGCCCAGGCCTGCTGGCTTCCAGTTCAATTCTTGCAGTAAAATCAGAGGGTTGTGAGCAGGAGCCACGGAGCCAGCCTGCCAGGATGAGAATCCGGCTCTTCTACTTACAACTTGGGCACGTGCCCCCGTTTTCTTGCCTGTGAAATGGGGGTAATGCTGTTTCCTACCTCACAGAATTGTTCTGAAACTTCAATGAATGTGTCTATGGAAACTGCCTGGAATGCTCCCTAAGGGTCAGCTCTGACTGTCCCCACATCCCTGCAGAGCATTGCCTTGGGCCTTGTCTCAGCGAGTGGAGGCCTCAGAGCTGTTGTTCTTGGGCCTATTGTCTCAGTGAGTGGAGGCCTCAGAGCTGTTGTGCTTGGGCCTATTGTCTCACTGAGTGGAGGCCTCAGAGCTGTTGTGCTTGGGTCTATTGTCTCAGTGAGTGGAGGCCTCAGAGCTGTTGTTCTTGGGCCTATTGTCTCAGTGAGTGGAGGCCTCAGAGCTGTTGCGCTTGGGTCTATTGTCTCACCGAGTGGAGGCCTCAGAGCTGATGTGCTTGGGTCTATTGTCTCAGTGAGTGGCGGCCTCAGAGCTGTTGTGCTTGGGTCTATTGTCTCAGTGAGTGGAGGCCTCAGAGCTGTTGTTCTTGGGTCTATTGTCTCAGTGAGTGGAGGCCTCAGAGCTGATGTGCTTGGGTCTATTGTCTCAGTGAGTGGAGGCCTCAGAGCTGATGCGCTTGGGTCTATTGTCTCAGTGAGTGGAGGCCTCAGAGCTGTTGTGCTTGGGCCTATTGTCTCACCGAGTGGAGGCCTGAGAGCTGATGTGCTTGGGTCTATTCTCTCAGTGAGTGGAGGACTCAGAGCTGATGTTCTTGGGTCTATTGTCTCAGTGAGTGGAGGCCTCAGAGCTGTTGTGCTTGGGTCTATTGTCTCAGTGAGTGGAGGCCTCAGAGCTGTTGTGCTTGGGCCTATTGTCTCAGTGAGTGGAGGCCTCAGAGCTGTTGTGCTTGGGTCTATTGTCTCACCGAGTGGAGGCCTCAGAGCTGATGTGCTTGGGTCTATTGTCTCAGTGAGTGGCGGCCTCAGAGCTGTTGTGCTTGGGTCTATTGTCTCAGTGAGTGGAGGACTCAGAGCTGATGTGCTTGGGTCTATTGTCTCAGTGAGTGGCGGCCTCAGAGCTGTTGTGCTTGGGTCTATTGTCTCAGTGAGTGGAGGTCTCAGAGCTGTTGTTCTTGGGTCTATTGTCTCAGTGAGTGGAGGCCTCAGAGCTGATGCGCTTGGGTCTGTTGTCTCAGTGAGTGGAGGCCTCAGAGCTGTTGTGCTTGGGTCTATTGTCTCAGTGAGTGGAGGTCTCAGAGCTGTTGTTCTTGGGTCTATTGTCTCAGTGAGTGGAGGCCTCAGAGCTGATGCGCTTGGGTCTGTTGTCTCAGTGAGTGGAGGCCTCAGAGCTGTTGTGCTTGGGTCTATTGTCTCAGAGAGTGGAGGCCTCAGAGCTGTTGTGCTTGAGTCTATTGTCTCAGAGAGTGGAGGCCTCAGAGCTGATGTGCTTGGGCCTATTGTCTCAGTGAGTGGAGGCCTCAGAGCTGTTGTTCTTGGGTCTGTTGTCTCAGTGAGTGGAGGCCTCAGAGCTGTTGTGCTTGGGCCTATTGTCTCAGTGAGTGGAGGCCTCAGAGCTGTTGTTCTTGGGTCTATTGTCTCAGTGAGTGGAGGCCTGAGAGCTGATGTGCTTGGGTCTATTGTCTCACCGAGTGGAGGCCTGAGAGCTGATGTGCTTGGGTCTATTGTCTCACCGAGTGGAGGCCTCAGAGCTGATGTGCTTGGGTCTATTGTCTCAGTGAGTGGAGGCCTCAGAGCTGTTGTGCTTGGGTCTATTGTCTCAGTGAGTGGAGGCCTCAGAGCTGTTGTGCTTGGGCCTATTGTCTCAGTGAGTGGAGGCCTCAGAGCTGTTGTTCTTGGGTCTATTGTCTCAGTGAGTGGAGGCCTGAGAGCTGATGTGCTTGGGTCTATTGTCTCACCGAGTGGAGGCCTGAGAGCTGATGTGCTTGGGTCTATTGTCTCACCGAGTGGAGGCCTCAGAGCTGTTGTGCTTGGGTCTATTGTCTCAGTGAGTGGCGGCCTCAGAGCTGTTGTGCTTGGTTCTATTGTCTCAGTGAGTGGCGGCCTCAGAGCTGTTGTGCTTGGGTCTATTGTCTCACCGAGTGGAGGCCTCAGAGCCGATGTGCTTGGGTCTATTATCTCAGTGAGTGGCGGCCTCAGAGCTGTTGTGCTTGGGTCTATTGTCTCAGTGAGTGGCGGCCTCAGAGCTGTTGTGCTTGGGTCTATTGTCTCACCGAGTGGAGGCCTCAGAGCTGTTGTTCTTGGGTCTATTGTCTCAGTGAGTGGAGGCCTCAGAGCTGATGCGCTTGGGTCTGTTGTCCCAGTGAGTGGAGGCCTCAGAGATGTTGTGCTTGGGTCTATTGTCTCAGTGAGTGGAGGCCTCAGAGCTGTTGTTCTTGGGTCTATTGTCTCAGTGACTGGAGCCTTCAGAGCTGATGCACTTGGGTCTATTGTCTCAGTGAGTGGAGCCCTCAGAGCTGTTGTGCTTGGGTCTATTGTCTCACCGAGTGGAGGCCTCAGAGCTGATGTGCTTGGGTCTATTGTCTCAGTGAGTGGAGGCCTCAGAGCTGTTGTGCTTGGGTCTATTGTCTCAGTGAGTGGAGGCCTCAGAGCTGATGTTCTTGGGCCTATTGTCTCAGTGAGTGGAGGCCTCAGAGCTGTTGTTCTTGGGTCTGTTGTCTCAGTGAGTGGAGGCCTCAGAGCTGTTGTGCTTGGGCCTATTGTCTCAGTGAGTGGAGGCCTCAGAGCTGTTTTTCTTGGGTCTGTTGTCTCAGTGAGTGGAGGCCTCAGAGCTGTTGTGCTTGGGCCTATTGTCTCAGTGAGTGGAGGCCTCAGAGCTGTTGTTCTTGGGTCTATTGTCTCAGTGAGTGGAGGCCTGAGAGCTGATGTGCTTGGGTCTATTGTCTCACCGAGTGGAGGCCTGAGAGCTGATGTGCTTGGGTCTATTGTCTCACCGAGTGGAGGCCTCGGAGCTGATGTGCTTGGGTCTATTGTCTCAGTGAGTGGAGGCCTCAGAGCTGTTGTTCTTGGGTCTATTGTCTCAGTGAGTGGAGGCCTCAGAGCTGATACGCTTGGGTCTGTTGTCTCAGTGAGTGGAGGCCTCAGAGCTGTTGTGCTTGGGTCTATTGTCTCAGTGAGTGGAGGCCTCAGAGCTGTTGTTCTTGGGTCTATTGTCTCAGTGACTGGAGCCCTCAGAGCTGATGCACTTGGGTCTATTGTCTCAGTGAGTGGAGCCCTCAGAGCTGTTGTGCTTGGGTCTATTGTCTCACCGAGTGGAGGCCTCAGAGCTGATGTGCTTGGGTCTATTGTCTCAGTGAGTGGAGGCCTCAGAGCTGTTGTGCTTGGGTCTATTGTCTCAGTGAGTGGAGGCCTCAGAGCTGATGTTCTTGGGCCTATTGTCTCAGTGAGTGGAGGCCTCAGAGCTGTTGTTCTTGGGTCTGTTGTCTCAGTGAGTGGAGGCCTCAGAGCTGTTGTGCTTGGGCCTATTGTCTCAGTGAGTGGAGGCCTCAGAGCTGTTTTTCTTGGGTCTGTTGTCTCAGTGAGTGGAGGCCTCAGAGCTGTTGTGCTTGGGCCTATTGTCTCAGTGAGTGGAGGCCTCAGAGCTGTTGTTCTTGGGTCTATTGTCTCAGTGAGTGGAGGCCTGAGAGCTGATGTGCTTGGGTCTATTGTCTCACCGAGTGGAGGCCTGAGAGCTGATGTGCTTGGGTCTATTGTCTCACCGAGTGGAGGCCTCAGAGCTGATGTGCTTGGGTCTATTGTCTCAGTGAGTGGAGGCCTCAGAGCTGTTGTGCTTGGGTCTATTGTCTCAGTGAGTGGAGGCCTCAGAGCTGTTGTTCTTGGGTCTATTGTCTCAGTGAGTGGAGCCCTCAGAGCTGATGCACTTGGGTCTATTGTCTCAGTGAGTGGAGCCCTCAGAGCTGTTGTGCTTGGGTCTATTGTCTCAGTGAGTGGAGCCCTCAGAGCTGATGTGCTTGGGTCTATTGTCTCACCGAGTGGAGGCCTCAGAGCTGTTGTGCTTGGGTCTATTGTCTCAGTGAGTGGCGGCCTCAGAGCTGTTGTGCTTGGGTCTATTGTCTCAGTGAGTGGCGGCCTCAGAGCTGTTGTGCTTGGGTCTATTGTCTCACCGAGTGGAGGCCTCAGAGCTGATGTGCTTGGGTCTATTGTCTCAGTGAGTGGCGGCCTCAGAGCTGTTGTGCTTGGGTCTATTGTCTCAGTGAGTG
Organism: Homo sapiens; assembly: GCF_000001405.40. Taxonomy (NCBI): domain Eukaryota; kingdom Metazoa; phylum Chordata; class Mammalia; order Primates; family Hominidae; genus Homo; species Homo sapiens. The sequence continues at coordinate 169,145 of NW_003315952.3, read as the reverse complement.
GCGGCCTCAGAGCTGTTGTGCTTGGGTCTATTGTCTCAGTGAGTGGCGGCCTCAGAGCTGTTGTGCTTGGGTCTATTGTCTCAGTGAGTGGAGGCCTCAGAGCTGTTGTTCTTGGGTCTATTGTCTCAGTGAGTGGAGGCCTCAGAGCTGATGCGCTTGGGTCTGTTGTCTCAGTGAGTGGAGGCCTCAGAGCTGTTGTGCTTGGGTCTATTGTCTCAGTGAGTGGAGGCCTCAGAGCTGTTGTTCTTGGGTCTATTGTCTCAGTGACTGGAGCCCTCAGAGCTGATGCACTTGGGTCTATTGTCTCAGTGAGTGGAGCCCTCAGAGCTGTTGTGCTTGGGTCTATTGTCTCACCGAGTGGAGGCCTCAGAGCTGATGTGCTTGGGTCTATTGTCTCAGTGAGTGGAGACCTCAGAGCTGTTGTGCTTGGGTCTATTGTCTCAGTGAGTGGAGGACTCAGAGCTGATGTGCTTGGGCCTATTGTCTCAGTGAGTGGAGGCCTCAGAGCTGTTGTTCTTGGGTCTGTTGTCTCAGTGAGTGGAGGCCTCAGAGCTGTTGTGCTTGGGCCTATTGTCTCAGTGAGTGGAGGCCTCAGAGCTGTTGTTCTTGGGTCTGTTGTCTCAGTGAGTGGAGGCCTCAGAGCTGTTGTGCTTGGGCCTATTGTCTCAGTGAGTGGAGGCCTCAGAGCTGTTGTTCTTGGGTCTATTGTCTCAGTGAGTGGAGGCCTGAGAGCTGATGTGCTTGGGTCTATTGTCTCACCGAGTGGAGGCCTGAGAGCTGATGTGCTTGGGTCTATTGTCTCACCGAGTGGAGGCCTCAGAGCTGATGTGCTTGGGTCTATTGTCTCACCGAGTGGAGGCCTCAGAGCTGTTGTGCTTGGGCCTATTGTCTCACCGAGTGGAGGCCTGAGAGCTGATGTGCTTGGGTCTATTGTCTCAGTGAGTGGAGGACTCAGAGCTGATGTTCTTGGGTCTATTGTCTCAGTGAGTGGAGGCCTCAGAGCTGTTGTGCTTGGGCCTATTGTCTCAGTGAGTGGAGGCCTCAGAGCTGTTGTGCTTGGGTCTATTGTCTCAGTGAGTGGAGGCCTCAGAGCTGTTGTGCTTGGGTCTATTGTCTCAGTGAGTGGAGGCCTCAGAGCTGTTGTTGTTGGGTTTGTTGTCTCAGTGAGTGGAGGCCTCAGAGCTGTTGTGCTTGGGCCTATTGTCTCAGTGAGTGGAGGCCTCAGAGCTGATGTGCTTGGGTCTATTGTCTCAGTGAGTGGCAGCCTCAGAGCTGTTGTGCTTGGGTCTATTGTCTCAGTGACTGGAGGACTCAGAGCTGTTGTGCTTTGGTCTATTGTCTCACCGAGTGGAGCCCTCCGAGCTGTTGTGCTTGGGTCTATTGTCTCAGTGAGTGGAGGCCTCAGAGCTGATGTTCTTGGGTCTATTGTCTCAGTGAGTGGAGGCCTCAGAGCTGTTGTGCTTGGGCCTATTGTCTCAGTGAGTGGAGGCCTCAGAGCTGTTGTTCTTGGGTCTGTTGTCTCAGTGAGTGGAGGCCTCAGAGCTGTTGTTTTTGGGTCTATTGTCTCAGTGAGTGGAGGCCTCAGAGCTGTTGTGCTTGGGTCTATTGTCTCAGTGAGTGGAGGCCTCAGAGCTGTTGTTCTTGGGTCTATTGTCTCAGTGAGTGGAGGCCTCAGATCTGTTGTGCCTGCATCACGGTGATAATCAGCCTCCGACACGGCCAGTGGGTTCTGGTTCCACTAGAGGAACTAGAACAGGGGGTGTTATGTGGAGGTGGCTGGCCAACAGGTGAACTCTTCTCTGCTGGTCAGCCTGAGCCCAGATCCCAGCCTCCTCACATCAGGACTCCCCTCTTTGTGCAGCAGAAATGTGTGTCCTCCCATCCCCAGGCCATTATTTCTTCTGCCCAAAGCGAAAGGGCCAGCTGAGCTGCTACACCACGTGGTAATGAGCTGGGGAGGCCTGCCCTCGTCCCTCCGTCCATGCCTGCAGGTAGGGGCTGGTCGGGTGACCTCCTGTGCTGTGGTCTGTCTCTTCCAGTGGTTTCCAGTGACAGTGACAGTGACTCGGATCTTAGCTCCTCCAGCCTAGAGGACAGACTCCCATCCACTGGGGTCAGGGACCGGAAAGGCGACAAACCCTGGAAGGAGTCAGGTAAGGTGGGGAGTGAAATGCTGCTTATTGGCCGGGCACGGTGCAGTCCAGCCTGGGCAACAGGAGCGAAACTCCATCTCAAAAAAAAAAAAAAAAAAAAAAAGGAAGAAAAAGAAAAGAAAAGAAAAGAAACTATTAGGCCGGGCACAGTGGCTTATGTCTGTAATCCCAGCACTTTAGGAGGCTGGGGTGGGCAGATCATGAGGTCAGGAGATTGAGACCATCTTGCCCAACATGGTGAAACCCCACCTCTACTAAAAATATGAAAATTAGCTGGGTGTGGTGGCGGGTGCCTGTAATCACAGCTACTTGGGAGGCTGAGACAGGAGAATTGCCTGAATCCAGGGGGTGGAGGTTGCTGTGAGCCCAGATTGCATCACTGAACTCCAGCCTGGCGACAGATCAAGACTCCATCTCAAAAAAAAAAAAAAAAAAAAAAAAAAGTGCTGTTTATTTCCAAAGCCCCAGGGACAGAGTGGTTTTGCTGCTTCCCAGTGGGTGTCCAAGGAGTTCTTCTACATCTGGAAGGAGAAGCAGGCCTAGGGATGGGACAACAGGCTCCTTGAGGCTCTTCTGTACACACAGCAGGGTGAGGAGGGCAGGCAAAGGACAGGAGCCAGGGCCAGCCAGGCCACCCGTGCCCTTGGCCTGCATACCTGGGACTCCTCCCATGCCCACCTGTGAGCGTTCCCCAACTGAGAGTTTGCCTCTTGAATCATGAGAGCTGAGAAAATCAGGTGCAGACCTCCCTGCACTAGGTCAGTCCTGCCATGAAACCACCATGGGGTCCCCAGGACCTGCTGTGACCTCTGGGCCTGCATTTCCTTCTTGTTAGCAAGTGAGACAGAACGGGTGGCCTCCAAAGCGCCTTCTGACTTGGACATCCCTGAGCTCACCCTCTGGGAAACTGCTGTATGAAAGAGGGTTAACGGGGGCATTGAGACTGGTATAGAGAAGGCCTGGGAGAGGAAAGGAAAGACATTTTCCTGTCCTTCAAACACACAAAGGACTTCTGGGAAAAGGGCCAGCTTCATTCGGTCACTCCACAGGTCGGAACTGGGACCCTTGAAAGAAATTTCAGGGAGGCCAATTTTAGTACAGAAGAAGAAAGGGCTCCATAATAACTGCCCCAAACAGGAATGAAATGCCTTGGAGGTCCTGATTTCAGCGAGGCCAATTTTAGTGCAGAAGAAGAAAGGGCTCCATAATAACTGCCCCAGATGGGAACGAAATGCCTTGGGGGTCCTGATTCCAGTGAGGCCAATTTTAGCGCAGAAGAAGGGCTCTGTAATAACTGCCCCAAACAGGAATGAAATGCCTTGGAGGTCCTGATTTCAGCGAGGCCAATTTTAGTGCAGAAGAAGAAAGGGCTCCATAATAACTGCCCCAGATGGGAACGAAATGCCTTGGGGGTCCTGATTCCAGTGAGGCCAATTTTAGCGCAGAAGAAGGGCTCTGTAATAACTGCCCCAGATGGGAATGAAATGCCTTGGGGGTCCTGATTTCAGCGAAGCCAATTTTAGTGCAGAAGAAGAAAGGGCTCCATAATAACTGCCCCAAACAGGAATGAAATGCCTTGGGGGTCCTGATTTCAGCCAGGCCAATTTTAGTGCAGAAGAAGAACGGGCTCCATAATAACTGCCCCAAACAGGAATGAAATGCCTTGGGGGTCCTGATTTCAGCCAGGCCAATTTTAGTGCAGAAGAAGAAAGGGCTCCATAATAACTGCCCCAGATGGGAACGAAATGCCTTGGGGGTCCTGATTCCAGTGAGGCCAATTTTAGTGCAGAAGAAGAACGGGCTCCATAATAACTGCCCCAAACAGGAATGAAATGCCTTGGGGGTCCTGATTTCAGCGAGGCCAATTTTAGTGCAGAAGAAGAAAGGGCTCCATAATAACTGCCCCAGATGGGAACGAAATGCCTTGGGGGTCCTGATTTCAGTGAGGCCAATTTTAGCACAGAAGAAGGGCTCTGTAATAACTGCCCCAGATGGGAATGAAATGCCTTGGAGGTCCTGATTTCAGCGAGGCCAATTTTAGTGCAGAAGAAGAAAGGGCTCCATAATAACTGCCCCAGATGGGAACGAAATGCCTTGGGGGTCCTGATTCCTTGAGGCCAATTTTAGCGCAGAAGAAGGGCTCTGTATTAACTGCCCCAAACTGGAATGAATTGCCTTGGGGGTCCTGATTTCTGCGAGGCCAATTTTAGTGCGAAAAAGAAAGGGCTCCATAATAACTGCCCCAGATGGGAACGAAATGCCTTGGGGGTCCTGATTCCAGTGAGGCCAATTTTAGCGCGAAGAAGGGCTCTGTAATAACTGCCCCGATGGAAATGAAATGCCTTGGAGGTCCTGATTTCGGGAGGCCAATTTTAGTGCAGAAGAAGAATGGGCTCCATAATAACTGCCCCAGATGGGAACGAAATGCCTTGGGGGTCCTGATTTCCAGTGAGGCCAATTTTAGCGCAGAAGAAGGGCTCTGTAATAACTGCCCCAAACCAGGAATGAAAATGCCTTGGGGGTCCTGATTTCAGCGAGGCCAATTTTAGTGCAGAAGAAGAAAGGGCTCCATAATACTGCCCCAGATGGGAACGAAATGCCTTGGGGGTCCTGATTCCAGTGAGGCCAATTTTAGCGCAGAAGAAGGGCTCTGTAATAACTGCCCCAGATGGGAATGAAATGCCTTGGGGGTCCTGATTTCAGCGAGGCCAATTTTAGTGCAGAAGAAGAAAGGGCTCCATAATAACTGCCCCAGATGGGAACGAAATGCCTTGGGGGTCCTGATTCCAGTGAGGCCAATTTTAGCGCAGAAGAAGGGCTCTGTAATAACTGCCCCAGATGGGAATGAAATGCCTTGGGGGTCCTGATTTCAGCGAGGCCAATTTTAGTGCAGAAGAAGAAAGGGCTCCATAATAACTGCCCCAGATGGGAACGAAATGCCTTGGGGGTCCTGATTTCAGTGAGGCCAATTTTAGCGCAGAAGAAGGGCTCTGTAATAACTGCCCCAGATGGGAATGAAATGCCTTGGAGGTCCTGATTTCAGCGAGGCCAATTTTAGTGCAGAAGAAGAAAGGGCTCCATAATAACTGCCCCAGATGGGAACGAAATGCCTTGGGGGTCCTGATTCCAGTGAGGCCAATTTTAGCGCAGAAGAAGGGCTCTGTAATAACTGCCCCAAACAAGAATGAAATGCCTTGGGGGTCCTGATTTCAGCGAGGCCAATTTTAGTGCAGAAGAAGAAAGGGCTCCATAATAACTGCCCCAGATGGGAACGAAATGCCTTGGGGGTCCTGATTCCAGTGAGGCCAATTTTAGCGCAGAAGAAGGGCTCTGTAATAACTGCCCCAAACAGGAATGAAATGCCTTGGGGGTCCTGATTTCAGCGAGGCCAATTTTAGTGCAGAAGAAGAAAGGGCTCCATAATAACTGCCCCAGATGGGAACGAAATGCCTTGGGGGTCCTGATTCCAGTGAGGCCAATTTTAGTGCAGAAGAAGGGCTCTGTAATAACTGCCCCAAACAGGAATGAAATGCCTTGGGGGTCCTGATTTCAGCGAGGCCAATTTTAGTGCAGAAGAAGAAAGGGCTCCATAATAACTGCCCCAGATGGGAACGAAATGCCTTGGGGGTCCTGATTCCAGTGAGGCCAATTTTAGCGCAGAAGAAGGGCTCTGTAATAACTGCCCCAGATGGGAATGAAATGCCTTGGAGGTCCTGATTTCAGCGAGGCCAATTTTAGTGCAGAAGAAGAAAGGGCTCCATAATAACTGCCCCAGATGGGAACGAAATGCCTTGGGGGTCCTGATTCCAGTGAGGCCAATTTTAGCGCAGAAGAAGGGCTCTGTAATAACTGCCCCAAACAGGAATGAAATGCCTTGGGGGTCCTGATTTCAGCGAGGCCAATTTTAGTGCAGAAGAAGAAAGGGCTCCATAACTGCCCCAGATGGGAACGAAATGCCTTGGGGGTCCTGATTTCAGTGAAGCCAATTTTAGCGCAGAAGAAGGGCTCTGTAATAACTGCCCCAGATGGGAATGAAATGCCTTGGGGGTCCTGATTTCAGCGAGGCCAATTTTAGTGCAGAAGAAGAAAGGGCTCCATAATAACTGCCCCAGATGGGAACGAAATGCCTTGGGGGTCCTGATTCCAGTGAGGCCAATTTTAGCGCAGAAGAAGGGCTCTGTAATAACTGCCCCAGATGGGAATGAAATGCCTTGGAGGTCCTGATTTCAGCGAGGCCAATTTTAGTGCAGAAGAAGAAAGGGCTCCATAATAACTGCCCCAGATGGGAACGAAATGCCTTGGGGGTCCTGATTCCAGTGAGGCCAATTTTAGCGCAGAAGAAGGGCTCTGTAATAACTGCCCCAAACAGGAATGAAATGCCTTGGGGGTCCTGATTTCAGCGAGGCCAATTTTAGTGCAGAAGAAGAAAGGGCTCCATAATAACTGCCCCAGATGGGAACGAAATGCCTTGGGGGTCCTGATTCCAGTGAGGCCAATTTTAGCGCAGAAGAAGGGCTCTGTAATAACTGCCCCAGATGGGAATGAAATGCCTTGGGGGTCCTGATTTCAGCGAGGCCAATTTTAGTGCAGAAGAAGAAAGGGCTCCATAATAACTGCCCCAGATGGGAACGAAATGCCTTGGGGGTCCTGATTTCAGTGAGGCCAATTTTAGCGCAGAAGAAGGGCTCTGTAATAACTGCCCCAAACAGGAATGAAATGCCTTGGGGGTCCTGATTTCAGCGAGGCCAATTTTAGTGCAGAAGAAGAAAGGGCTCCATAATAACTGCCCCAGATGGGAACGAAATGCCTTGGGGGTCCTGATTTCAGTGAGGCCAATTTTAGCGCAGAAGAAGGGCTCTGTAATAACTGCCCCAGATGGGAACGAAATGCCTTGGGGGTCCTGATTTCAGCGAGGCCAATTTTAGTGCAGAAGAAGGGCTCTGTAATAACTGCCCCAGATGGGAATGAAATGCCTTGGGGGTCCTGATTTCAGTGAGGCCAATTTTAGCGCAGAAGAAGGGCTCTGTAATAACTGCCCCAGATGGGAGTGAAATGCCTTGGGGGTCCTGTCTTGGGACCAAGACTGGGTTGGGAATGGAAGTTTGAGCTAAATCAGAGCTGGCAAAGACCTGACACATGTACCACCACCCCCCTCTCCTGTGACCATGGCAGACATTACTAGGTGATCATGATACTCTTTCCACAGAGCCCTGATGTGCCCTCAGAATCCTCCTCAGTGCAGTTTTCTAAGTGGCCAATATCAGCAGGTAGAGATGGTGCAAGAGATGAAAACTGTCCCTGGACCAGTGACTTCCCAGGCTCCATCAGGCTGAAGATTCTAGAGAAAATTTAGAAGAGTATAAAGGAAACTTACCTGCCAGCCTCGGTTTCCAGGGCAGGCTTTATACTCCCCTCCTCCTCCCACCATGGGCTCTTGTCCCCTCGCTCCACACCCACCCTCAGCTCTGACCAAGCAGGACTGGGAGACAAGAGAAGTTCAGCAAAGTAGCAGGCTCCACGTCTGCTCTCTTGGCCAGGCAAAGACCAGAAACCATGTTTGAGTGAAGACCCTTTAGTGAGTTAAGGCAGCAGTCAACATCTCTCATTAGGTTAACCAAAATATATATCCCCCACCCCCACCCCCATTCTGTGATAATTGTGGACTTTCATGTTGGTGATCTGTGACTTAGTGAAAAGACCTGCAGGCCCGTTCTTGGACCCACCAGCAACAGCCAGAGGGTGGGGTCGGGCCAGAGCCTTGCAGCCATGTGGGTGAGGTCAGGCCAGAGCCCGGCAGCCATGTGGGTGAGGTCAGGCCAGAGCCCGGCAGCCATGTGGGTGGGGTCAGGCCAGAGCCCGGCAGCCATGTGGGTGAGGTCAGGCCAGAGCCCGGCAGCCATGTGGGTGGGGTCAGGCCAGAGCCCGGCAGCCATGTGGGTGAGGTCAGGCCAGAGCCCGGCAGCCATGTGGGTGGGGTCAGGCCAGAGCCCGGCAGCCATGTGGGTGAGGTCAGGCCAGAGCCTGGCAGCCATGTGGGTGGGGTGGGGGGCAGACATCCCATAGAGATCTAGAGTTCCAAACGAGGAACTGGACTGAGATCACCCCGTCTCGGTTTGAGATCCACGGGGCCCACACGTGATTTCCCACAGGTGGCAGCGTGGAGGCCCCCAGGATGGGGTTCACCCACCCGCCGGGCCACCTCTCTGGGTGCCAGAGCAGCCTGGCCAGTGGTGAGACGGGGACAGGCTCTGCTGACCCGCCAGGGGGACCCCGCCCCGGGCTGACCCGAAGGGCCCCGGTGAGTACCCAACTGCTGCCTTCTCCCCTCTCCTGCCCCCGCGGCCGTGTCCTCTCTCACTCACTCCTCCCAAACTGGAGACTGGTCGGTGACATTTTCAATTCTGCATGTTGTTTACCAAGCACTGTGCGGGGGAACAAGGTGAGCCAGACCCCATCCCTGCCTGCAAGGAACAGAGAGAGGGACCCAGAATGATAATGGTAGCCATCCCTAGCCACTCTCGGTAATCACAGCAGTGGTTACCATCCTCTGCTACATAAAACGTGTCGGGCTCCCCTGGGGCGAACTTTCATTCTCTTGGCAGAGTGGCTGGGAGGCTTATTGTCCCATTTGATGGGTGTAGAAACCAAGGCACAGAGAGAGAGTGAGGGGAGAATCCTGGGCTCCCACCCTGCCCTGCACCTGCTGGGCCCAGCCCTGGTTGGCCCAGGATCATCCTGTGGCGGGGGTGAGGGTTCTCCTTAAACTGAAGCCAGAGAAAACTGCGCAGGTGCAGGATCAGCCCTGTCTCCTTCAAGAAAGAAGCCCTGGGCAGGTTGGGCCCCTCCCTGGCCAGAGGATTCATGGGTACACGCATGCACCAGGGCAGCAGCTGATCTCCGTCCCCGGGGTGTGGAGGGCACCCGGCAGCCACCCACAGGAACGCCTGCCGCACCTCTCTCCTTCCCCACTCGATGGCTCCCAGGAGCTGCAGAGCATCCGGGAGGCATCTTTGGCTGTGGAGTGGACCCTGCCCCCTCCCTCTAGCCTCCTGGAGGTCCTCCACAGAGGACAGTGTGGAATCCGGCAGCCCCGAGTTCTTGTCCCAGCCCTGCCACCCACAGCCATGTGACCTTGAGCAGACCCCCAGGTTGAACCATATGAAATTGCTTTTTTTTTTTTTTGAGACAGGATCTCATGCTGTTGCCCGGGCTGGAGTGCACTGGTGTGATCACCGTTCACTGCAGCCTCGACCTCCTGGGCTCCAGTGGTCCTCCTGCCTCAGCCTGCCAAGTAGCTAGGACTATAGGCAAGTGCCACCATGCCCGGCTAATTATTTTTTGTATTTTTCAAAGGGACGGGGTCTCCCTATGTTGCCCAGGCTGGTCTCGAACTCCTGGGCTGAAACAGTCCTCCCACCTTGGCCTCCCAAAGTGTTGGGATTACAGGCAAGAGCCACTGCGCCCAATTGAAATTGCATTTTTGTGGTTCAAAAACAGTGAAATATCGGCAGTTCAATATGGTTCACCCTTATATTTGATCTCTCTGTGCCCAGTTCTATTATCGGTACGGTGTCCTTCACAGGGTTCCGGGGAGACAAAATCCAGTGTCACATGGACTGCCTTCCCCTAGGAGGTCCTCAGTAAATGTCCAGTGATAAAGGCGGAAGCTGTGTGGCCCAGTGCAGAGAGGGTTCCTGGGCTTAAGAAACAACCTGGGGAAAGATTGGCTTAAAGGAGGGTGTTCTCTTTCCGTGCCCATTTGCTCCTTCCGGCATCCTGAGGTCGCCATGTTGATCACCTGGGTTAGGAGGAGGGCCTGAAGCCCAGAGGGGCAGGTGACTTTCCTGCCATCACACAGCAGAGCAGAGCGGTGCTGGTCTCGAGCTCGGGCTGAGGCACGGATGCTGTCAGCAGAAGCCTGCCTTCCCCACCAGCTCCTCCATCTCATTCCCAAAGGCCGAGCTGTCACCGGGGAGGGAGGGACTCCACCGCTGCTCACCATGTGGTGGCCTTTTCTCTCATCCAAAGGTAAAAGACACACCTGGACGAGCCCCCGCTGCTGACGCAGCTCCAGCAGGCCCCTCCAGCTGCCTGGGCTGAGGTGTCTGGTGCCTGGAACAGACTTCCCTGTGGAGGATTCCTGCCAGACCCTGCCCGGCTCCTCCCTGACCGGTCCTTGTGCCCTCACCAGACACCCTGTTGGCCATGACTCAACAAACCAGTGTTGGGAGCCGTCTGCCTCCCCAGCTCAGTGCCTTTCTGCACCCCTTCTCTCCTGGGGAGCTGTCTGCATCCGCCACCCCCTCCAACCACTGCCCTCAGCCCCCGACCTTATTTATTACCCTCCCCTCCCACACCCCCAATCTACCTGGTGATGATTTTAAGTTTGCGCGTGTCTTGGGTTGGGCTGGGGGGTTTCCCACATGCAGTGTCAGAGGGGCCGCCCGGTGGGGCTATCTCCGTTGCTATATTAATGGCAAGACTAAATGAAACCTAGGGCACGGCCTCCGAAGCTGCGTGTGGCCCCTTAGAGGTGAGCATCAGAGCCAGAGCAGTGAGGGGGAGACTCACCCACCCTCTCCCTCTCCCTTCAGCTCTGGGAGGCAGGCGCAGTGCCCCCCTCCCGTGGGCTGGCCCAGGACCGCAGTGAAACCTGGGTCTGTTTAGTTTCTTTGGTTTTTGTATGTTTGTTTGTTTTTGACACAGTCTCGCTTTGTTGCCCAGGCTGGGGTGCAGTGGCACGATCGCGGCTCACTGCAACCTCCACCTCCCGGGCTCAAGCGATTCTCTCACCTCAGCCTCCTGAGTAGGTGGGATTACAGATGCCCGCCACCACACCCAGTTAATTTTTGTATTTTTAGAAGAGATGGGGTTTCTCCATGTTGGCCAGGCTGGTCTTGAACTCCTGGTCTCAAGTGATCCGCCCGCCTCGGCCTCCCAAAGTGCTGGGATTACAGGTGTGAGCCACCGCACCCAATCCTATTAGGTTTCTTTGAATCCCCTCATGGCCTGCCTGGTTTTTGCTCAGCCTGTCTTCAGCTTGAGGAGCTGGGAAGCTCTGGTGGATGCTATGAACTCACTTGCTGAAGAGCAGCGTTCAGGTGCATCCCCAGCCAGGGCACGTGGCTCCCTCAGCCATGAATTCACTTCTCTTCAGGAGGTTTGGCTTGGCATGAAAATACTTCATTCAGAGTATGGGCAAATGCTTCTGGAAAACCCTTCCCTGAAGAGAGAGAACGTGTGTGTGTGTGTCGGTGTTCACACCCTCCCATCCTTCCTGCCTCCTGCCCCAAACCCCGGGTTCCTGGGTCTGGAAGGGCCTTCTCTCCAAGCTGGGAGCTCCTGGGCCCCCACCATTCACTTTTTGTCCTTGCTGCTGGCAAACAGTAAAGAAACTCACTTTCCCTGTGGCACGTTATGCTTCAGAATTAAAACAATGAAGATTAAAATTTGCACCGAGCCAGTGTGTTGATCGAAGACCACGATTGCCTGTGTTTCTGAGATGCGTCCATGGAAAAATGGAAAAAACTGTGGTGCGTTGACTTGCTGGAACCCTTCCTAAGCCGCAGTGAAAGGAGGGGCTAGATCTGTGTGTGTTCATGCAGCTCACACACCTGATGCTGAACGGATAAGCAAGGCCATCTACATACAAAAGTACACACAAATAATCAGAATGAGTTCTGCAAACACATACGTATGTATGCAAAAATGTCTTTTAAATGCACAAGGACTTCTGGTTATATATGGTGCACTGAATATATTCATATTTTCCTCTGTCCCTCAAAACCCCACTAGAATGACGTAAAGGAATGAAAATGGCATAAAGCACAAAGACAAAAAGAACAGGAGAGAAGATGGCAGTGAATGACAAATATCTGAAGAGCTTTGGAAGCTGGAACAGTATGATTTGCTTAGTGTCAGCCTCAAAATGTCTACAAAGAAGGAAGCCAAGCATGAACAAGCCCATTTGCTTTGCAGAATCCCCCAAATGCACAGAACTTGGAGGGGCCAGGTGTCCCAAAGGTGGAAGTTCAGGGTGGGTCTGAGAATTGTCTTGATTGAAAGAAGTGTTTACACCCTCAGGTCCCCTCTCCCGGCCTGGTGACTGCCCTTCTCTGACCATGGCAGGAGACAGGTTTACTGCCGGCCAATGGTGATCTGAAAAGATTCTGGATTGGGGACCCCAAGGGTAGCCAAAGGCTGGGGCAAGGTGCCTTCCTGAAATCAGGATGTAAATGGGGACGCCCTCATTCCCCTTTAAAATCCCTGATGGAGGCTGATAAAAGCCAGGCCTAGTCCCCATCCATCCACCCCCAAGGCAGGACATTTATTATTATTATTTTGAGACGGAGTTTCGCTCTTGTCACCCAGGCTGAAGTGCAATGGTATGATCTCGGCTCACCGCAACCTCCGCCTCCCAGGTGCAAGTGATTCTCCTGCCTCAGCCTCAAGTGAGTAGCTGGGATTATAGGCATATGCCACCACGCCCAGCTAATTCTGTATTTTTAGTAGAGATGGGGTTTCTCCATGTTGGTCAGGCCGGTCTTGAACTCCTGACCTTGTGATCCACCCGCCTCAGCCTCCCACAGTGCTGGGATTACAGGCATGAGCCTCTGCACCTGGCTGGCAGGACATTATTGAATTTCTCTCTGGGAAACTGATCAAAGAGAACAGATGGACAGATCCTGACACTGGGGGTTCCCCAAACAGTGGGTCTCTGCCCAGTCCACTGTGAGACCTCCAGTCCACAAGCCTCACCCACATGTTCAGTGCTGCCTATTAGCTTTGCTGTGTTTCACTCAGAGTGGGGACAGCCAAGGGCACCCAACGTTTGATGAAATCCAATAACTGAAAATAGAGACTCCAGTACACAGAAAAAAGGAGAGGAAAATCCCCTGAAGTATTACACCTATGAAATGAGAAAAGAATTTTATTTTTTTAAAGGCAGTGTTGAAGTTCTTGAACATTAAAAATATAATAGCAGGAATTTAAAATGCATGAGAAGGGATGGAAGAGGAGAGAAAATCTCCCAGAAAGTAAAATGCATAAAAGCAAAAGAGGAAAAAGTCAAGAACATTGAACAACAACAAGATCAGCTCAACACAGAAGATCCAGCCTCCATCAAATAGGAATTTCAACCCAAGAAACAGAAAACAGAGGAGAGGAGATTGTTGAAGAAATGACACAAGAATATTTCCCAGGACTGAAGAGAATGGGCTTCCATAGAGAAAGCCTGTAAGTGACCGGCAGAGGGACGTGAAGCCTCCACACCCGTGTGGCCCCTCCACCATCCCGAGCAGCAGTTTGGTGATGCCCAGTAGACGAAGGTGGGCGCTGCCTGCAGCCATCCCTGAGGTCCTCCTGAAACACACATGCTCACTCGCCAGCTCTGGGGCGGGACCCCAGTGTGCACATCTAACATGCTGGCAGGTGACACATGGTTGAAGGGACACTCCTTGAGTAGCATTGGTCTAGGGCAGTGGTTGTTCCCCTTGGCTGCTCACTGGAATCACCTGGGGAGCTTTAAAAGTACTCCTGGCAGACCCACCACTAGAGATTTTGGTTTAATCGATTTTGGATGTATCCTTGGCTGGCATCGGGATTTGTGAAGCTCTCCAGATGACTCCAATGTGCTGGGAGGCCTCAGGACCATTTCCCTCCAGAAACTCATCTACATGGGCTCCAGGAGACATGCACTGAATATTTACAGCTCAAATTTAGAAGCAACCAAAAAAGCCTTCAACAGAAGAATAGGTACATAAATTGTGATATATGCAAACAATAGAATATTATGCAGTGGTGAAATTGAGTCACCACCCTCAGAGTATGTGTATCTCACCAATAATGCTGACAAAGAGACAGGTGGCAGAAAAATACGTGACACCATCTATATAGAGATTTCACAAACATGCAAGAATGTTATATATTAAAATATATTTTATGCAGCAAGAGAATTCAGAAACAGGAAGGATAACAAAACAACAGACTCAGGACACATCTTGGGAAGAGGAGAAATACAATTAAAGAGGAATCTTAATGTTTTATTAAGCTCAGTGATAGGTAGATGGGTTTGTAATATTTATATTTTACTTCATATTGTATATTTATATGTTTATTATAGATTTGTATTATTATTATTTTTTTGAGATGGAGTCCTGCTCTGTCGCCCAGGCTGGAGTGCAGTGGCGCGATCTCAGGTCACTGCAACCTCCGCCTCCTGGGTTCAAGCAATTCTCCTGTCTCAGCCTCCCGAGCATGTGCCACCATGCCCAGCTAATTTTTTGTATTTTAGTAGAGACGGGGTTTCACCGTGTTGGCCAGGATGGTCTCTAACTTCTGACCTTGTGGTCCATCTGTCTCAGCCTCCCAAAGTGCTGGGATTACAGGCGTGACCCACCGCGTCTGGCCTAGATTTTTATTTTTTATATGTCAGAAATATTTTAAAGTAAATTAAGGAACTACACCAAACATTCTTATGAAATTTCAGGACACCAGGATAATCAGAAAATATCCCAAAGCCTTCCAAAGAGAGAAAAAAAAAGTCACATACAAAGGATCAGGAATTTAAATGGCGCTGAAATTCTCAAAGCAAATTTTGAAGTCCGAGCACAGAGAAGCAAGAGCTTCTGAATTCTGAGGGCAAACAATTTCTAAGTTGACTTTTCTATCCAGCTAGAACTTCGTGCAGTGTGAAGTTAGAATGAAGATATGTTCAGACATGTGAGTTCTTGAAAAATATCACCTCCCTTGCCCTCTTTCTCAGGCAGCTACTGTAGGATGTGCTCCAACCAAACAAGGGAGAAAACCAAGAGAAAATGGGCACAAGAAACTGGAGCCCTCACACAGGAGAGAATCCTCAGGGTGATGGTGGAGCTGGGTGGCTGGTCCAGCCAGCCCAGATGAGGACAGAGGAGGTGCACAAGGATATACAAGAAGCATATGTGTCTCAGGGAGATCGTAAGTGAGAGCTACATCGTGATATTTTATAGTACATAATGCTGTATAAAATTACAAAATCAAGACATAGAATCCGCATGAGGTTTTAGATACCAAGGAACTAAAAGAGTTCTAAGGTGTCTCGAGGTGAGCAGGGGATTCCTGCTTTATGTTATAAACTTTGTAGGACAGTTACCCTTTTAAAACCTACTATATTTCATGTATAACAATGAATTTTTATGGAAAAATACACATCAAACTGCTGACAAACCCACAGGGCGGGGGGCGGCGGCAGTGAGCCCAGGGCCATAGCAGATGAGTGAGTAAACACCTGCCTGGCAGAGAAAAGACAGCCTGTGGGCTGCCCCACAGTCCCTAGGTCCACACCCGACCTGGGAACACCAGCCTGGGAGTGGCTCGGGCCTCTGCCCGCAGTTCTAAGCTGCAGGTGCGCTACCCACGCCTCTGTAGGACCAAAGCCCTCTCAGACCTGATGCAGATGAGCCCCCACACTCAGCCCCCACCAGAACCCCATGACTGGGCCAGACCCAGTCCCTGCAGCCCCAGGGTGGATTCCAAATGCATTTCCTAGAAGGCATTCATTAAGACGACGTCATCGTGGAAGTGTCAGCTTCAGAGCTGAGGTGGGCTGCAGATCCCTCACGGGAGCCTGCGGCTGCCTTGGAGTCAAGGGTTCTTTGTGGGCTGGTCTGGGAACCAAGAAATCCTTTCTTTATGAAACTGCTTTCTTAGTCCCAAGCAACCAACTTACAAGTTAGCTTTCAGAACTGAGCCTTTCCTGGTAGAAGGTGGAAGGTGTTCTGTGACATCCGTAAAAATCAGGGCATACGGAAGGGACTGGATTTGTCCCAAATACCAGATAACCCAAGTGGTTCCTAGAAGAGGCCGCAAGTGGAGAGCTCATGAACTTTGGACCCTGGTTTCAAATCCCAGATCTGCTACTTAGTGCCTGAAAGTATGGGTGCTTCTCTGTGCCTCTGTTTTCTCATCTGTGAAATGGGGATAACACTTCCGTCCCAGGATGACTGGAAATTTAAAACATGAGGGCCCCAGTACAGCTCCCACCACCGTGACCAGTATGTCAACAGCTACCAGCTGTTTCTCCCGTAGAATTCAGTGAGGCACGTGCCTCAGGAGTGGTCAAGATGCCATAAGAACGTGAGAAGGGTGGCAGCCTGGTACCCGGGGCACAGTAAACCTTCATGCTTCTCCCTTTGGGGCTTTGGAATAATGGTGCTTATCCACATTCATTCCTCTGTCGAGCATTAATCGGGCAGATGCTGGTGCAGGTGCAGTGTTCTAGGCCCTGGGTTTGGTAGTGGACAAAACGGACATGGCCCCGTCCTCCTGCTGCATCTGAACCACCCAAGGGACTTGTTAGAACACAGAACACACTAATCCTACCTCGGAGTTTCTGATTCAGAGGTCTGCCGTGGGGCTGACAATGCATATTTCAGTTCCCAGGTGATGCCGAGGTTCCCATTGGAACCAGCTCACCTGTGACTCCTGGGGCTGACATCCCTAAACCCGCACCAGCTGGGGCAAAAGATACACGGACACTGGCAGACGACCGAGGGGCAGGGGATGCGGATCAGGCTGGCAGAGAAAACGCAGCCCTCACAGCCCTGCTGCCGCGTCCCGCCCCCGACAGATGCACGGCTCCGCGCTGTTGCTCAGCCCTGGCGCACAGGCCCAGCGGGTTAGAGGATTTCCACCCCAAACAGCGGGGGCCGGCATCTTTCCCACATGAGAAAACGCCCGCTTTCTGCCCGTGCCTCTCAGGGTCCTCAAATGCCGGCAGTATCTGTCCTGCCTGTTCCAGCCTGTCTGTGAACCGGCGGTGGCAGCGGCGTGTTGGCACAGCAGGCTGTGGAGAGGGAAGCTGCCTGGCTCCGGGAGGGAGGCCCATCAGGACTCCAGGCCACGCCCTCCCTGGCTCCCGGGCTTCCCTCCCCGCGGCCCCCACCTCCTCTCACCAACTGGGCTTTGTTTGCTGACAACAAACAGCCTCAGTTCCACGGAGCCACGGCCAGGGAGAGAGGAAGCATCTTGCTGTGCGGGGATGACCATCACCATCACGGCCACCGTTTGTGGAGTCAGGCACCTGCAGGAGCTTTGGGGAATGTCCATCCACCTATGAGTCAGGGACATTTATTGTTCCCACTTTACAGAGGAGGAAACTGAGGCCCAGAGAAGTCAAGAGGGCCCGAATTGGAATCGGGGTAGTCGGATGCCAAAGACCACGCCCCGCAGGCTGCACTGCGAGGCCAGGGTTTGATATGAAAAATGTTGGGTTCCAAGGGCAGAGGATGCGGGCAGAGGATGCCAGCTGTGTCGGCAGCACAGATGGAAACTTCCAGATGGATGGGGGAAAGTCAGCCCCTTGTCCCGCTGGGGTATTTTCCCAATGCTAATGTAACAAATGAGGGTAAGTCTCAGGCAATGCAGAGATTTTGCCCCCATTCTGAAAACGGTCTCATGTCCGCGGCCCCACCTGGCTGCGAGCCCCAGGTTCTGAGCTCAGCCTTCCTTCGTCGGCACTTGGGGGTGGGTTCCTTGAAGCAGCCGCCCTTGCAGGTGCAGGGGTGGCTTTGGCTGGGAGAGTTTCCAGTAGCTTCCATGGATCAAGCGGGCTCTCAGGGCCTTTGGAGCCCAGAGCCTGTCTCCAGGCTGACCTTCAACCTCAAGGAGGGCTGTGGGAGCTGGGCCATGGAACGTGGCACCTGAACTCCAAGAAGGGGAGCTGATCCCTTGGGCCCCCAGCGCCGCTCACAGGCTCCCAAAGTTGTCTCATTTTCCCACAAGCACCTGCCTCCCCTTTTTAAAAATTGCAGCAACATTACATAGAATTTAAGTATATAGTTCAGTGGCATGAAGTACATTCACAACAGTGTGTAACCATTACCATCATCCATTTCCAGAACTTTCCGTGATCCCATAAACGACTACCCATTTCCCCTCCCCCAGCCCCAGTAACCACATTTCCACTTTCTGTCTCTATTGCTGACTACCCCGGGTTTCTCATATAAGTGGAATCATATATTTGTCCTTTTGTGTCTGGCGTCTTTCACGTAACATCGTGTTTTCAAGGCCTATTCCTGTTGGAGCACGTCGGATTTTTATTCCATTTTACGGCTGAATGATATTTGTGTATATCCATCATCTGCCGATGGACACTTGGGTTGGTTCCACCTTTTGGCTGCTGTGACGAAGGCTGCTATGAACATAGGTGTACAGATATCTGTTTGAGTCCCTTCTTCCAATTCTTTTGGGTAAATACCCAACAGTGGGCTGGGTACAGGCTCACACCTGTAATCCCAGCACTTTGGGAGACTGATGCAGGCAGATGGCTTGAGCCCAGGAGTTTGAGACCAGCCTGGGCAATGTGGCAAGACCCCATCTCTACAAAATATACCAAAAAATTAGCCAGGCATGGTGGCCCACACCTGCAGTGCGAGCTACTAGGGAAGCTGAGGTGGGAGGATAGCTTGAGCCTGGGAAGTCGAGGCTGCAGTGAGCCATGATCATGCCATTGCACTCCAGCCTGGGTGACAGAGCCAGAACTTGTCTTAAAAAAAAAAATACCCAAGAGGAATTGTTGGATCATATGGTAATTCTAAGGTGAATTGTTTTTAGAACCATAGTCCACTGAGGCGTACCACTTTACACGCCCACCAGCGATACACAAGGGTTTGCCTTTCCTTTGAACGCAGGATGCCATCCTCCTGAGCCCCTCACTGGCCTCCAGCACCATCCCCTGCCCCGGGAGCTTCAGCTGTTCCCCTGATGTTTGGAGCCCTCCTGGCCTCGGTGCCGGCAGCATGGGCATGCGCCCTGGGCAAGCACACAGGGCCCTGGGCTCGGTTCAGCGATCTGCTGTCGCCATCTGGAAACGCTTTGTTAGGTTGAATAACGGTCCCCCCATTTTCATTGTGCACCAGGTCCTGGGATCGTGGAGCGGGTCCTGCCTGGCCTGGCTGTCTTTCCGGGCGCAGACTCTGTAAGTGCAGCCCGATCGATAGTCCAGGCCGACCGGGATGAGTCCTCTGACTCTGTGGAGGGGCAGCCTGCGGAGGTGGCAGGAGTGCCTGACCGGGCGTCTGGGACACAGGTTCACATCCCGGCCCTGCCTCGAGCCCTCCGTGTTTGTCACTCCCCGTCTGTGAGACGAGAGAGTCCCTCGCTGTGTTCCCCAGAGCCCCCTGGGTGGGAGACAGGAAGTTCCGGAGGGCAGTTTGGGATGCCGCCAGCAGAGTGGCTGCCGCTGACCTGTTCGCTGTATTGCGATGGGTTCAGGACACACTACCCCAAAATACACCTTGGCGACTGAATGTCTTCAGCTGGAGAAACCTGAGAAGGAGCATGTGCAGGAAGGACTTTTTGACCGTCCCCTGAAGCAGGTCGGAAGCCCCTGGTGCGAGAAGCGCCCTGCTGGTACCTGGAGGAAAGGAGCATCTTATCGCGAGACCATGGAGCGGGGTTGGAATGACATGCCTGGCTCAGGTCCCCGCTCACTCCACTGACCTTGTTCTCTTCGCCCAATCACGTTTCCCCACCACCTTCTACCTTCCTCGAGCTGCCGTAAGAAACACTCGCCCAATCATGTTTCCCCATCGAGGTGCCATAAGAAACACTCGCCCAATCACGTTTCCTCATCGAGCTTCCGTAGGAAATATTCGTCTAATCACGTTTCCCCATGGAGCTGCCGTAAGAAACACTCACCCAATCACGTTTCCCCATCGAGGTGCTGTAAGAAACACTCGCCCAATCACGTTTCCCCATGGAGCTGCCGTAAGAAACACTCACCCAATCACGTTTCCCCATCGAGCTGCCGTAAGAAACACTCGCCCAATCATGTTTCCCCATCAAGGTGCCGTAAGAAACACTCGCCCAATCACGTTTCCCCATTGAGGTGCCATAAGAAACACTCGCCCAATCACGTTTCCCCATCGAGCTGCCATAAGAAACACTCACCCAATCACGTTTCCCCATCGAGCTGCCGTAAGAAACACTCGCCCAATCATGTTTCCCCATCGAGGTGCCGTGAGAAACACTCGCCCAATCACGTTTCCCCATCGAGGTGCCATAAGAAACACTCGCCCAATCACGTTTCCCCATCGAGCTGCCGTAGGAAACATTCGTCCAATAACGTTTCCCCGCCACCTTCTACCTTCCTCCAGCTGCCGTAAGAAACACTCACCCAATCACGTTTCCCCATCGAGCTGCCTGCCGTAAGAAACACTCGGGCTCTGTGGTGCCTTCAGGTGTTCACTTCTTCATGGAGCTTCCGTGTGACGTAACACATGCTAAATACATGCTCAGACTTTTCTCTGGTTAATCTGCCCCCCCCTTTTTTGTATTTTTTTTTTAACAGGGGGCCCAGCCAATGAGCCTGAGGTGGCTGTAAGGAAAAAGCTCAGTTTCCTCCCCTATGATTGGTTCCCCAGCAGGAAGGAGGCTGAGGCTGGATGGGGAACTGGCCTGCCTGCAGCCTCCACCCCAGGCCACCCTGCCCTGCACTCCGCCCATGGGGGAGAGAAGCCTCCTACATAAGGTGACCAGCTGGAGGGTCCAGCTGTTGGAGGTACTAGGCAGAAGGGGCCCTCGCCAGGGGAGATGGACGGCACACAGACGCACACACACGTGTGCATACACTAGTATGTACAAACACAGAAAGGTTCACCTGTTTACAGAATACGTAGGAGGCCAGGTGCAATGGCTCATGCCTGTAATCCCAGGACTTTGGGAGGCCAAGGCAGGAGTATCACCTGAGCCCAGGAGTTCGAGACCAGCCTGGGCAATATGGAGAGATGCCATCTCCACAAAAATTAAAAAAAAAAAAAAATAGCCAGACGTGGTGGTGCATGCCTGTAGTACCAGCTACACAGGAGGCTGAGAAGGGAGGATCACTTGAGCCCAAGAGTTTGAGGCTGCACTGAGCTGTGACTGTGCCACTGCACTCCAGCCTGATTGACAGAGCAAGACCCTGTCTCAAATATATGTGGAGGACCAGTGCCTTTAAATTGCTCATCCAAGTGCCAGCAAATGCTCTTCTGCACAGGGGAGGGATGAGACCAAAGGAAAACCTGGCACTGGCATTGCCCGGAGTATGTGAGGAGAAGGACCTCGCCAGGCCATGTGTGAAGAGCATTGGCAGAGCCCCTGCCATGGCTAAGTCCTGGTGTCCCCTGCAAAGCAGGGCCTTGATGCTCCAGTTTCCTGTCCCTTTCCTTTCCTCTGCAAACGGTCAGGGCTCTGACCCGCAGCGCCCGGCCCCACCCCGGGGCTGTCTTGTGCAGAAAGCAAAGCAGAGTGTGCCTCTCCTCACCCCACAGTACCGAGGAGAGCAGGCAGGCAGGAGGAGGAGGAGGCAGGAGCTCAGAGATCCTTAGGAGCCCCCGACGAGGTGCCCCCAGTCTCCACCAAGACGGCCGAAGCTCTGAGCCTTTGATGCAGACCTCAGGATGTCTGCAGCTTCTTCAGTGCCAATTACCAGAAAATAATTCAGCGTGCTCACCCCCTGCCTCTCAGCGGCTGCTCTTTGGAGACATTTTAAGTCTGACTGTACCTGCTGAGCAGCTGACAAATGAAGCTTCTCCCTCCCTGCTCCCTCCTTCCCGACTGCCATCGCCTCCACCTTTGCCCAGGCTCTTTCATGGGGAAAAGGGAACCAAAAGCTGGGCCCTGTCATCCCTGCCCCCACAGCAGGGGCCTGCCCAGATCAGTCGCTGCACCTTCTTCCCAGGCTCTGCTTCCAGACGTGGCATGGCAAGGCTGGGTTCCCTAGAGCCCGGCTCCTGAAGGCAGAAGTCAAGGCTTATTCACCTTTGGGTCCCTAGTTAGCTGTCAAGAAATATTGCTGGATCAATGGATGCATGGATGCATGGGTAGATGGAGGGGTAGGGGATGGGTCAGTGGGTGGTGGAGGGGTGAGGATGGTTGGGGGATGGGTGGATGGCAGGTGAGTGAGGAGATGGATGGAGGTCTGGATGAGTGAGGGATGGGTGAGGAGATGGATGGGTGAGTGGGTGGAGGAGTGGGGGATGGGTAGGGCGATAGTTGAGTGGGGAATGGGTGGGGGAAGGATGGGTGGGGGATGGGTTAACGGATGGCTGGGTGGGGGAAGGGTGAGTGGGGGCATAGGGGGTAGTTGGATGGATGATGATTGGGTGGGGGATGGTGGGGGTGGGTGGGTGGAGGACAGATGGGAGGATGGATGATGGACAGACTGATGGAGCATTGGACAGATGGATGGAGAGACAGGTGCATAGACATTCTGCATGGACCAATGTGCTGAAGGACATCTGAGAGGATGGACAGATGAACAGAGGATGGACCAGTGTCCTGATGGGAAGAAGGATGTGTGGATGGATGGAAACACTCCAGGCCCAGGGCCTGTGTGCTCTGCATCCCTAGGGAGGGGCCAGCAGATCAGGAGCCCCAACCTACACTTCCCAGAAGCTGTGGGTCCTCGGCCAGGAGCACTCAGTTCACAGCAGCCACAGGAATCCTGGGCAGAGCAGCTCTTGAGCCCTGGTCTCTGTGCCTCAGCCTGGTCTGCGTACCTCAGAGGGCCCTTGTGTGGAGCCCTGGTCTGTGTGCCTCAGAGGCCCTCGTGGGGAGCCCTGGTCTGTGTGCCCCAGCCCGCCTCAGTGACCCCCAACAAATTCCCCCCCTATCAAAATCACTATAGCTGTAGTCCCAGCTACTTGGGAGGCTGAGGCAGGAGGATTGCTTGAGCACAGAAGTTGGAGGCTGTAGTGAGCCATGATCTCGCCACTGCACTCAGCCTGGGTAACAAAACAAGACCCTATTCAAAAACAGTAAATAAATGAAAGAAAACCCACTGCCACATTCCTTATGCTAATAAGGCTAGCCAGCCCTTAATGTGTGTGCAGATGAGATCTTACTCAAACTCATTCACACAGAAGTACAGGCATGTGTCACCTAACAACCAGGATACGACAGGGATACTTCCAAGAGATGTGTTGTCAGGCAATTTCATCATTGTGCAGACATCATAGAGAGCACGGACGTAAATCTAAGTGGCAGAACCTACAGCACACCTAGGCTATGTGGGAGAGCCTGGGCTCCTGGGCTACAAACCTGTGCAGCATGTAGCAACTGCGACACCGTGGAATTATGTGTGTAGCTAATCATAGAAAGGGTACAGTAAAAATACGGTATAAAAGATGTTTTAAAATGACACAGGTGTATAGAGCACTTCCCGTGAATGGAGCTTGCGGGACTGGAGTCGCTGTGGGAGAGTCAGTGTGTGGTGAGTGTGAGGGCCCAGGGCATTACTGTCCACTCGTATGTGACTGGCAGTGTAATAGGTGTGTTCACACCAGCGTCACCACAAACGAGTGATAACGTGTTGCACTGTGACATTACACGCCGCAACCTCACTAGGCAACGGGAATTTTCAGCTGCTTTGTAGTCTTATGGGACCACCGCTGGATATACAGCCTGTCATTGACAAACTTCGTTATACAATGCATGACTGTATTCTAAAATAAATCACTCAGGCCATAGCACCACTCTCCTCCACTCTGCTGCCTCCAGAGTGTGTAAGTACAGACAGGTCACTTGGCCAGTGCGGGCCTCAGATTCCCTGTGAAACACGAGGCCGAGTCAGACGCACTCCAGGGTCTCTTGGCCCTGAAAGTCTGTGACTTTGTGGCATCTCTGCCCTAGGCTGTGGGGTGAGACCGGGCCAGGTCGCCAGGCTCCTCACACTGCGGGAGGGCCCTTCGTCCAAGCCCAGCGGCTCCTGCAGAACCTGAGAGCTGTGCCAGGCGCACCTGGGAGAGCAAATCAGCCAGACTCTAAAGTGGGGTCCAGAGCCATCTCCCTCTGAAAGAGCTGATGACGTGGTTTGGATCTGTGTCCCCCCGGCGTGTCATGTCGAATTGTAACCCTCAGCGTTGGAGGTGGCGCCTGGTGGGAAGCGACTAGATCACGGGGGCGGTTTTCCCATGACTGGTTGAGCACCATCCGCCTTGGTGAGTCCTCACGAGCTCGGCCATTTACAAGTGGGTAGCACCTCCCGCCTCACTCTCTTGCTGCTGCGCTGGCCGTGTGGCATGCCTGCTCCCCCTTAGCCTTCTGCCATGATTGTAAGTTTCTTGAGGCCTCCTCAGAAGCTGAGCACATGCCAGCATCAAGCTTCCTGTACAGCCTGAGGAACCGTGAGCCCATTACTTTGCTTTTCTTTATCAATTACCCAGCCTTGGGTACTTTATAGCAGTGCAGGAAAGGACTAATACAGCCAGGGATGGTGACCCGCAAGGCCTGGAACCAGACCCCAAATGTGGCCTTCCCCAGCTCTTAGCGCCTTCCAAGTCTAAGCTGACAGCTCGGCATTGTTGCAGGTGGAAACACACCTGGATTTTCTGAACAGCTGGGGAGGGAACAGCTCCTCTTGGAGAGGAATTGTCTTCGTTTAGGAAAAATGCTTTTAAAGGGCACATTTCAACCCGGGGCCAAGGCCACAAAAGAGACGTTAGAAACGAACAAAATTTAGAGGAAAGAGCAGAGGTCAGAGTGAGGGGTTGAGGCAGGAGGTCCCTGAGTGAAGCTCCCTTCCACCCCTGCATCCCCCACACTTTCAGGGGGCGGCCAAAGGAGTTGTGTGTCATGTTCCATTTGATGCTGTTTGCACTACGGTGATCTCAGCGCCCCCATCCCACCCCAAACGTCTGCGGTGTCTCCCACACCCAGGTGCCTTGTGCCTGTGGATTGCACTACGGTGATCTCAGCGCCCCCATCCCACCCCAGACGTCTGCGGTGTCTCCCACACCCAGGTGCCTTGTGCCTGTGGATTGCACTACGGTGATCTCAGCGCCCCCATCCCACCCCAAACGTCTGCGGTGTCTCCCACACCCAGGTGCCTTGTGCCTGTGGATTGCACTACGGTGATCTCAGCGCCCCCATCCCACCCCAGACGTCTGCGGTGTCTCCCACACCCAGGTGCCTTGTGCCTGTGGATTGCACTACGGTGATCTCAGCGCCCCCATCCCACCCCAGACGTCTGCGGTGTCTCCGACACCCAGGTGCCTTGTGCCTGTGGATTGCACTACGGTGATCTCAGCGCCCCCATCCCACCCCAAACGTCTGCGGTGTCTCCGACACCCAGGTGCCTTGTGCCTGTGGATTGCACTACGGTGATCTCAGCGCCCCCATCCCACCCCAAACGTCTGCGGTGTCTCCGACACCCAGGTGCCTTGTGCCTGTGGATTGCACTACGGTGATCTCAGCGCCCCCATCCCACCCCAGACGTCTGCGGTGTCTCTGACACCCAGGTGCCTTGTGCCTGTGGATTGCACTACGGTGATCTCAGCGCCCCCATCCCACCCCAAACGTCTGCGGTGTCTCCGACACCCAGGTGCCTTGTGCCTGTGGATTGCACTACGGTGATCTCAGCGCCCCCATCCCACCCCAAACGTCTGCGGTGTCTCCCACACCCAGGTGCCTTGTGCCTGTGGATTGCACTACGGTGATCTCAGCGCCCCCATCCCACCCCAGACGTCTGCGGTGTCTCTGACACCCAGGTGCCTTGTGCCTGTGGATTGCACTACGGTGATCTCAGCGCCCCCATCCCACCCCAGACGTCTGCGGTGTCTCTGACACCCAGGTGCCTTGTGCCTGTGGATTGCACTACGGTGATCTCAGCGCCCCCATCCCACCCCAAACGTCTGCGGTGTCTCCCACACCCAGGTGCCTTGTGCCTGTGGATTGCACTACGGTGATCTCAGCGCCCCCATCCCACCCCAGACGTCTGCGGTGTCTCCCACACCCAGGTGCCTTGTGCCTGTGGATTGCACTACGGTGATCTCAGCGCCCCCATCCCACCCCAAACGTCTGCGGTGTCTCCCACACCCAGGTGCCTTGTGCCTGTGGATTGCACTACGGTGATCTCAGCGCCCCCATCCCACCCCAGACGTCTGCGGTGTCTCCGACACCCAGGTGCCTTGTGCCTGTGGATTGCACTACGGTGATCTCAGCGCCCCCATCCCACCCCCAAACGTCTTGCGGTGTCTCCCACACCCAGGTGCCTTGTGCCTGTGGATTGCACTACGGTGATCTCAGCGCCCCCATCCCACCCCAAACGTCTGCGGTGTCTCCCACACCCAAGTGCCTTGTGCCTGTGGATTGCACTACGGTGATCTCAGCGCCCCCCATCCCACCCCAAACGTCTGCGGTGTCTCCGACACCCAGGTGCCTTGTGCCTGTGGATTGCACTACGGTGATCTCAGCGCCCCCATCCCACCCCAAACGTCTGCGGTGTCTCCGACACCCAGGTGCCTTGTGCCTGTGGATTGCACTACGGTGATCTCAGCGCCCCCATCCCACCCCAGACGTCTGCGGTGTCTCCGACACCCAGGTGCCTTGTGCCTGTGGATTGCACTACGGTGATCTCAGCGCCCCCATCCCACCCCAAACGTCTGCGGTGTCTCCGACACCCAGGTGCCTTGTGCCTGTGGATTGCACTACGGTGATCTCAGCGCCCCCATCCCACCCCAGACGTCTGCGGTGTCTCCCACACCCAGGTGCCTTGTGCCTGTGGATTGCACTACGGTGATCTCAGCGCCCCCATCCCACCCCAAACGTCTGCGGTGTCTCCCACACCCAGGTGCCTTGTGCCTGTGGATTGCGCTACGGTGATCTCAGCGCCCCCATCCCACCCCAGACGTCTGCGGTGTCTCCCACACCCAGGTGCCTTGTGCCTGTGGATTGCACTATGGTGATCTCATCGCCCCCATCCCACCCCAGACGTCTGCGGTGTCTCCCACTCCCAGGTGCCTTGTGCCTGTGGATTGCACTACGGTGATCTCAGCGCCCCCATCCCACCCCAGACGTCTGCGGTGTCTCTGACACCCATTTGCCTTGTGCCTGTGGATT
This sequence comes from Homo sapiens, assembly GCF_000001405.40. NCBI lineage: Eukaryota > Metazoa > Chordata > Mammalia > Primates > Hominidae > Homo > Homo sapiens. The sequence goes on along the minus strand of NW_003315952.3, from coordinate 142,131 downwards.
GCACTACGGTGATCTCAACACCCCCATCCCACCCCAGACGTCTGCGGTGTGTCGGACACCCAGGTGCCCAGAGCCTGTGGATTGCAGTACGGGGATCTCAGCGCCCCCATCCCACCCCAAACGTCTGCGGTGTCTCCGACACCCAGGTGCCTTGTGCCTGTGGATTGCACTACGGGGATCTCAGCGCCCCCATCCCACCCCAAACGTATGCGGTGTCTCCGACACCCAGGTGCCTTTGTGCCTGTGGATTGCACTACGGTGATCTCAGCGCCCCCATCCCACCCCAAACGTCTGCGGTGTCTCCGACACCCAGGTGCCTTGTGCCTGTGGATTGCACTACGGTGATCTCAGCGCCCCCATCCCACCCCAAACGTCTGCGGTGTCTCCGACACCCAGGTGCCTTGTGCCTGTGGATTGCACTACGGTGATCTCAGCGCGGACCATCCCACCCCAGACGTCTGCGGTGTCTCCGACACCCAGGTGCCTTGTGCCTGTGGATTGCACTACGGTGTTTTCAGCGCCCCCATCACACCCCAGACGTCTGCGGTGTCTCCCACACCCAGGTGCCTTGTGCCTGTGGATTGCACTACGGTGATTTCAGCGCCCCCATCCCACCCCAGACGTTTGCGGTGTCTCCGACACCCAGGTGCCTTGTGCCTGTGGATTGCACTACGGTGATCTCAGCGCCCCCATCCCACCCCAGACGTCTGCGGTGTCTCCGACACCCAGGTGCCTTGTGCCTGTGGATTGCACTACGGTGATCTCAGCGCCCCCATCCCACCCCAAACGTCTGCGGTGTCTCCGACACCCAGGTGCCTTGTGCCTGTGGATTGCACTACGGTGATCTCAGCGCCCCCATCCCACCCCAAACGTCTGCGGTGTCTCCGACACCCAGGTGCCTTGTGCCTGTGGATTGCACTACGGTGATCTCAGCGCCCCCATCCCACCCCAGACGTCTGCGGTGTCTCCCACACCCAGGTGCCTTGTGCCTGTGGATTGCACTACGGTGATCTCAGCGCCCCCATCCCACCCCAAACGTCTGCGGTGTCTCCGACACCCAGGTGCCTTGTGCCTGTGGATTGCACTACGGTGATCTCAGCGCCCCCATCCCACCCCAGACGTCTGCGGTGTCTCCGACACCCAGGTGCCTTGTGCCTGTGGATTGCACTACGGTGATCTCAGCGCCCCCATCCCACCCCAGACGTCTGCGGTGTCTCCGACACCCAGGTGCCTTGTGCCTGTGGATTGCACTACGGTGATCTCAGCGCCCCCATCCCACCCCAAACGTCTGCGGTGTCTCCGACACCCAGGTGCCTTGTGCCTGTGGATTGCACTACGGTGATCTCAGCGCCCCCATCCCACCCCAGACGTCTGCGGTGTCTCCGACACCCAGGTGCCTTGTGCCTGTGGATTGCACTACGGTGATCTCAGCGCCCCCATCCCACCCCAAACGTCTGCGGTGTCTCCGACACCCAGGTGCCTTGTGCCTGTGGATTGCACTACGGTGATCTCAGCGCCCCCATCCCACCCCAGACGTCTGCGGTGTCTCCCACACCCAGGTGCCTTGTGCCTGTGGATTGCACTACGGTGATCTCAGCGCCCCCATCCCACCCCAGACGTCTGCGGTGTCTCTGACACCCAGGTGCTTTGTGCCTATGGATCTGGGGGGAATGGGGGCTGAATGTCACATCTGAGTCTCTGCGGTTCAGAAACGTGTGCAAGCACACGTACCGACCTCAACACCGAATTAACTCAGCCAAAGCAGGCCTCAGAGCCACAGGTGATATTACAGAAACCTTAGCAAGGGCTTCGGCCTTCCCCAGGACACAGACATGACCTGGCACTTTTAGTGCAATGAGGAGCGGGAGACCACAGGCAGAGTGAGCAACCATCCAGGTTTTCCAGGACCAACGGGTTTCACAAGATGCGGGACTTTCAGGGCTAAAACCAGGAAAGCTCCCAGCAAACTGGGGAGAGTTGATCCCTGTAAACAGCCACCACCTGGGTCAGATGGACCCCAGCTGGAGGCCAGACTGGGTCTTTACACACTTGCCCTGAGTTAGCGCTCACATTAAAGGAATAATGGGGGGTGGACACCATTCCCTCCACTTCACAGAGGAGGAAACTGAGGCTGAGAGAAGTCCGTCAACTTGCACAGGACCACACTGCCAGCGAGTGACAGAGCGAGGATTTGAGCCCAAGGCCCGTGCTCTTAAGCTGTGTGTTGTCACGTGGTATCCGGAGGATCCTCGACTTGTCAAAAACTGAAATCAACACCCTCAACAGCCTTACTCTGTGCCCCGGTCCAGGGCCTGGCCCAGGAGTCCCCTTGCTTTCTGTAGCCCTCTCTGCATTCCTACCAATGCCTTTGCCTGCCTAGGACCACCCCCTGCCTGTAGGTCGCAGTAGCCCTCTGCCACCCTTCCCACGTATCAGCCTGGCAGAGCCCTGTGGAATTTCATCACACAAGCCCCTCTGGATTCAGAAGAATCACAAATGCTGCCTGGTTGCTGTTCTCAGCCCCCTCCCCACTGTGTCCCTGTCCCAAACACCCCCTGACCCTCCGCCAAGCCTGCAGGCAGCACCTCCCTCGTCTGCTCCTCCCTCAGGAAACAGCATTTCCCGCCCAGCCTGGGGATTTCCAAGCTGGAAATTCAAACAGCTCAGCACGGAATAGGCTCCAACAGGGTCAGGTAACGGAAATTACAAGATGGTAAATTATTCCAGGGAAAGGGCAATTTTCCTCATATGCTGCCTGACTCTGAGAACACTGTGATCATGGTGGAAATTGGAGGGTCAGAGCTGGTGTCTAGGGAAAGAGAAAGGAAGGCACTGTGCCCGCCGCTGTCAGTGAAGCCCCAGGTGTGAGAGAGGGTGTGAGGTCAATCCCAGGCTGGGCCCACAGCCAGGCACGTCCTCGCTAGAGGCCCAGGACCTGCCACCAGCCACAGCTGAAGAGGCTGGGGCGTCAAGGCAGAAAGCCAACATCCCGGAGTCATACAAGTGCACGTTCTCTTCCCAGCTCTGGCACATACCAGCTGTGTGACCTTAGGTAAGTAACTTGACCTCTCTGAGCCTCCTGGACACAGCAGTAGTGAGGGCTACATGAAATAACGTGGGGCACATGGTCAGAATGGTGCAGCAGTAAATGGCAGCTGCCCACTCCCGTGATCAGAGGGCTCTGGGTGCGAGCTGCAGCAGGGCGTGGTGGAAACTGCCATGAGATGCAGGACCCTCCAATTATCTAGGGGGCCAGGCCCATCTCAGAGGAGCAGCTCCAGAGGTGAGCGCACACCACTGCTAATTCTGCAGAGGGTCCGGTCTGACTCCTACCTCCCACCCAGCCAAGGCTCTCACCTGTGTACCCTCTCCTGTCTCTGAGGCTTCCAGGTGATGGAAGTTTATCCTTTCCCTTGCCTATTTGTGTTATGTTGTGGTTTTATGATTGCTTTTTAGCCCGTTTTATGGAAATCTTTCTAAGATGTACTAGGAGCACCTCCTTTTTCCAGATCAACGTAGAAGTGTCTTGTAAACTTCGATGACTCGGTGCTGTGGAAGTAAGGAGACCTCTTTGTCCCCACACTGCCTGACCGCGGCGTGTTGGAGCTGCCTCCTTCTCCAGCCCCAGACAGCCCTCCCAGCTTCCTCTTGAATCTGCAGCCGGTTACCCCTGGGGAGACCAAGCCTTGCTGGTGGAGGGGAGATAAACAAGCTCACCAAATCATTATTCTTAATTTGCAGGAAGGCCAAAGCTCCCTCTGAGCCGAGCTCTAAAGACATTTTTTACTGTTTAGAAGCCTTTGATTCCTTTACTTCCCAGCAACTGGCTGAGTTCCCAGGGCTGAAGTTGCCTTGAAGTTTGACTGCTGAATAAGAAAAAGAGTTTTCCTCTGTTTTGTTGTTAATCCAGAGTTTGAGCTGGGAGCATAAAGATTTCAAACATACCAAATAGGATTTCTTCAACTAGATTGTTTTGGAAAATACAAATATGAGATCTGAGAAGGACAGATACAAAAGAAAAAGAAGTCTCAGTTCCAGGCTAAGGTGGACGGAAAGGGGGTGCCCTAAGGAGGCTCGAACCTGAGACAGTCTGAACCAGAAAAACCTCCCCTAGAGTTTGGGGGCTGGCGTGCAGCTGCTCACATTTTTATCTTGCTAAATTAAGAATATAAAATAAGAACCATTGGATAAGATCACCCTTATTTTAGAAAAGAGAGGGGAAAAGTCAACCAAAAAAGCTGTTTTTTTTTAAATTAAAGGGATTTAACTTTATGAAAAACTTCCTACATTGCCCTGTGCTTTTCTTATTTTGTCATGGGTGAGTAAAGCTGTCAGCTTCTCGGCTTCTGTAAACCACCAGGGTAGGACCAAGACTTGGAGGCTGGATACTAGAATGCCTGGGTTCCAAGCTTGGGATCCTGCTGTGGATGTCTGGGTTCCAGGGTCGGGATCCTGCTGTGAACACCTGGGTTCCAAGCTCGGGATCCTGCTGTGAACGTCTGGGTTCCAAGCTCGGGATCCTGCTGTGAACACCTGGGTTCCAAACTCGGGATCCTGCTGTGGACGCCTGGGTTCCAGGGTCGGGATCCTGCTGTGAACGCCTGGGTTCCAAGCTCGGGATCCTGCTGTGGACGCCCGGGTTCCAAACTCGGGATCCTGCTGTGAACGCCTGGGTTCCAGGCTCGGGATCCTGCTGTGGACGCCCGGGTTCCAGGGTCGGGATCCTGCTGTGGACGCCCGGGTTCCAGGGTCGGGATCCTGCTGTGGACGCCCGGGTTCCAGGGTCGGGATCCTGCTGTGGACGCCCGGGTTCCAAGCTCAGGATCCTGCTGTGGACACCCGGGTTCCAAGCTCGGGATCCTGCTGTGGACGCCCGGGTTCCAGGGTCGGGATCCTGCTGTGGATGCCTGGGTTCCAAGCTCGGGAACCTGCTGTGAACACCTGGGTTCCAAGCTCGGGATCCTGCTGTGAACGCCTGGGTTCCAAACTCGGGATCCTGCTGTGGACGCCTGGGTTCCAGGGTCGGGATCCTGCTGTGAACGCCTGGGTTCCAAGCTCGGGATCCTGCTGTGGACGCCTGGGTTCCAGGGTCGGGATCCTGCTGTGGAGGCCTGGGTTCCAGAGTCGGGACCCCTTTGTGAACACCTGGGTTCCAAGCTCGGGATCCTGCTGTGTTGCGTGAGCGGGGGTCGAGTGTTCTCTGTGCTGGGTTGTGCAGTCCAAGTTGTGCAGACATACAGCCTGGGTGTGAATCTGGAGTCCATCTCTAGCCACGGGGCCCTGCAGAAGGCTGCTGTGCCTCAGTTTCCCCATCTGTAAAATGGCAGTAGACCTGCTCGTGGACCTGTGGTGAGTCCCCCTGTCTGGCTGTCGTGTCTGCTCACTGGCTGCTGCTTGTGGTTGCTTGTTAGGTGTGGTTCCTACAGGCCCTTGCAGGTCTGTGTAGACTCAGAGGAGTCGGGGGGCAGAAAGGAGCTTTGGGGATGGAAGCACCAGACCAGTGAAAAGAGAAGCAGCGGATTCGACGTGGCCACACGGGGCCAGGAAGTCCCCAGAGATCATGCCTAGCTCCGTCTTCCAGGTCCTGAAACTTTATCTAAGGACCTCAGCAAGCACTTGGTAGCATAAAGAGAGGGTGGTGGGGCATGGGGCCCTCCTGGCTGAGAGTGCCTTTCGGAGAAGGGGTCTGCCCCTGATGGAGCATTTCTCAGATCTGGACCCTGACAGATGGGCCACCAGGGGACCCTGGAAGACTGAACTCCTGTCTCCCACTACACACACATGTACACACACACACGCATGAGCACACATACACACTGACATTCTCACCCTGAGTAACACAGGATCTGTGAACACCAATTCTAGTCATTTCAGTGTGTGTACAGCTGTGTGAGTGTGTGTACAGCTGTGTGTGTACAGCTGTGTGTGTGTACAGCTGTGTGTGTGTACACCTGTGCCTGTGTGGGTGTGCACCTGTATGTGCCTGTGTGGGTGTGCCTTTTAGGGTGTGTACACCTGTGTGGGTGTGCATCTGGAATGGTGTGTGAACGCACATGTGGTCTCAGGTACACATATGCATGTGTGTGCACACATGTGTACAGCCTACACACACAGAACTGTGCACACACTCAACTGACTAGAGTTGGTGTTCAGAGATCCTGTGTTGCACATGTATATATGTAAGTATCTGTGGATATAGGCTGAGCATAAAAGAATTTAAAAGTTTGTTCTGGTCAGGCACGGTGTCTCATGCCTGTAATCCCAGCTCTTTGGGAGGCTGGGATGGTGGATCACTTCAGGTCAGGAGTTTGAGACCAGCCTGGCCAACATGGAGAAACCCTATCTCTGCTAAAAATACAATTAGCTGGGTGTGGTGGCAGGTGCCTGTAGTCCCAGCTACTTGGGAGGCTGAGGGAGGAGAATCACTTGAATCCAGGAGGCAGAGGTTGCGGTGAGCCAAGATCTCACCACTGCACTCCAGCATGGTGACAGAGCCAGACTCCATTTCAAAAAAAACATAAAAATAAAAGCTTTTTCTGGCATCTCTCTCTCCCCCTTTCCACCCATCCTCCTCTTTTCTCTCTTTTATTCCTTTACTGTAATGAAAAAAAGGAAAGGCAGCCAAGGAGACCAGAGACCAGCAAAGGGCCAGCGAGCTTGAAGTCACGTAGACGTAGATTCAAACCCCAGCTCTGTTATTCTCTGTCCAGTGATACTGAGCAAGTCACTTAACCCCTCCAAGCCTCGGTTTCTCATTCATACCGTAGGATAAAAACATTTGCCTGACATAGCACGCGACAGTAAGAGTGCATGAATTCACAGTGGGTGGCTAAGTGGCTGACTCTGGGGTCAGACTGGGTTTGCAGCCACCTGTTCTGTGAGTTTCTAATAGGGTGACCGTGGACAGTTTGTTACCCCCTCTGCCTCCGTGTCATCGTCCCTAAGACTGTCACCTTGTGGAGTTGCTATGAGGAGTGAATGTGGTCGCATATTTAATACCTTGCAGCAGTGCTTGGCACATGCAGGAGCTTTATAAGGGGCAGTTATTAAAATGTGTATCAAAGGCACTTAGGAAAAAAAAAGAGAGAAAGCAAAAAAGCATTTAGACAGTTTTCTCTTCAGAGACAAGATCTTGCTCTGTCGCCCAAAGCTGGAGTTCAGCGGCGAGATCCTAGCTCACTACATCCTGGAACTCCTGGGCTCAAGCAATCCTCCCACCTCAGCCTCCCAAGTAGCTGGGACTACAGGTGCAGCCACTGTGTCCAGGTAATTTTTGAAAAAAAATTTTTTGTGTAGAGACAGGATCTCACTATGTTGCCCGGGCTGGTCTGCAACTCCTGGCCTCTTAAAATCCTTTCACCCTGCCTTCCCAAAGTGCTGGGATTACAGGCACGAGCCACCATGCCCAGCCTATTTAGAGTTTTTAGGAGGGATGGAAATGATCTAAACTTGGATTGTGCTGGTGGTTGCACAAGTCTTTAAATTTGCTGGTGGTTGCACAAGTCTTTAAATTTACTAAAAATCATTAAATTGTGCACTTAAAATGGTTGAATTTTATGGTGTATAAATTATGTCTCAATACAGCTGTTTTTTAAAAAGCATTTAGAGTTAGTGAAAAAGCAACTTGCAGAATAATATACACAGTATTGTTGTCATTTGTGAAACGTTTTAAACTATGTAAAACAATACTTCTCTAATATTTGTCGTAAAAATATCAAATGCAGCCTGGAATGACATATGTAAATCTCATAATTATGCTTGCCCCTGGGGTGGGGTTGAGACACAAGAAGGGAATTTTTATCTGTAATGTTTTATTGTATTTATACTTTTTAAAGGCCAGGAAAGCTGGGCAACGATGTCACATAAAGTCATAACATAAAAACGGCAAAGCCAGGCACAATGGCGTGGGCCTGTGGTCTTAGCTACTCGGGAGGCTAAGGCAGGAGGATCGTTTGCATCCAGGAGTTCAAGTCCAGCCTGGGCAATATAGCAAGTCGCCATCTCTAAAAAAATAAATAATCATGGGGGCAGGGAGAGGTGCCTAATGAGAGAAACACATGCTGGGGGTGGGGAAGGCTGGCAACTTCCTGTTTCATGACTTGGGTGGTGATTATGCTGATGTCTGCTTTATAACTAATCATTTTAGGCAACTGTGTTTTATGCAGTTTTATATGCTATCGTTCACAATCTTATGAGTTCAAAAATCTCGGGCTGGGAGCGGTGGCTCGCACCTGTAATCCCAGCAATTTCAGAGGCTAACGGGGGAGCATCACTCTAGCCCAGTAGTTTGAGATCAGCCTGGGCAACATGGCGAAAACCCGTCTCTGCAAAAAAATACAAAAAAATTAGCCGGTTGTAGTGGGATGTGCCTGTAGTCCCAGCTACTGAGGGGGCTGAGGTGGGAGAATCACTTGAGCCCAGGAGGTGGAGGCTGCAGTGAACCGTGATTGTGCCACGGCACTCCAGCCTGGGCGACAGAGCAAGACCCCGACTCTTAAAGAAAAGCAAACTAAACAAAACCCTCCATAAAAAATGAAAAAGTTAGGGTGGATATGTTTTGGGATTTGTTATGTTATTTTCTACAGTCTTGTGTATTAAAATTCAAAATAATTAAAACAAAATTATGGCCTGCCTTGCAGGTTGGGGTGGGGGCTGTTAGGTATTTGGGATAACACACTGAAGTGCCTGGGGAGACGGAGGGAGGCTTGCCCGCCCTCCTCAACTAGGGGAGCCCCGAGGCGTGGCTGTCTCCTTTCCCCGGAGGAGCAGCCTGCCCTCCCAGGCTCCCAGACGCCAGCAGATGCTTGGCACAGGGGCCTCAGACAGCCTCCCTGATTTACGAGGCTCTACACGTTCCCCGCTGATGGATGGCCCTCCGCTCGCCCTCCCTCCTCCCTCTAAACGCTGCTGTCTCCAAGGCCACTGGCCCAGAGTGGGAGCCGCACAGGCAGGGAGGAGCCGGGCTGGCCTCCCTCCTCCTCCCACCCAGCTGCCCTGTCACCCGGTGGTCTCCCCCACGGCTGCCTCCCTTCCACCTCCGTGAATTGAGTGCTTGCCCTGCATGAGCCAGGCACCAGGCTAGGCCTCTGCCTCCAAGGAGGCTTGCAGACCAGAAATGAGCAGGGCCTGAACACAGCTGCTTTCCACGGTTCCCCAGGCCTCCCTAGGAGTTGGCCTCGAGTGAGACCTTCAGTGAGGATGAGCCCCCCATGGGATGGTTTGGTGGCAGAATATTCCAGGAGGAGGCCCTGGACAGTGCAAAGGCCCCGAGGTAGGTGGGGCTGTGAGCCTGCACAGGTGTGAAAGTGGGGAGGGTAGGACAAAAGCATGAAATGGGCTCTTCCTGAGTCCTAAGACCTTCCTACCAAGGCCCTGTGGGAAGGCGTGAGCCACAGTCACCACCGGGGCTGCTGGAAGCCAGGTGCGGTAGGAACAGTCTCCCCGCTGGCCACACAGGGGTGGACTTTGAGCCCTGAGCTAGAACCCCAGAGGGAGCCGGGAGCCCTGGCCCTGCCTCCCAGTTGCTGTATGACCTTGGACAGCTCAGGCCGCCTCTCGGCCTCCGTTTCCACATTCGCAGAGCTGGTGAAAGCTCTGCCGGAACTCCCGCCTCAGAATACTGGGCCCCACCCTGGGCCTGGAGCCTGGGCTCCCTGGGAATGGGTCCTGCGAATCTCCCAGGGGGTCCCAAGGCAATCGAGTTGGACCCCACAGCTCAAGGGCCACAAAGATGGTGATGCCCCATTGAGGTCCTCAAGCAATTCAACCCCGTTGGGGAGACACACTTGGACAATAATCACGGAGCGTGGTGAGGCCCACAAGGGTGGCCATGCCAGGGGACCACTGTGGAAAGCTTGTCGGAGGAGGCAACACCTGAGTGGGGTGTTGAGGGCAGCATAGGAGTGTGCCAGGTGGTCAAGGGTGAATGAGGCTGCCCAGCAGGCTGAGCCATCCGAGCAGGGGCGTGGTGGCTGGAGCTCACCGGTGTGTTTGGGCGCTGGGCTGTGGTGGGAGTGGGGAGATGGGGGGTACTGAATGAGTTACAAGGACCCTTCATCCCTGAGTCTTTGACTCGGAATGCAGACAGCAAAGGGCTCCCCGCACTGACCCATAAGACTGGTGGAGCCCACGGCATCAGTAGCCTCCAGGGGAGTGTGATAGGAGGGTGACCCCATGCCAAGGCCACAGGACAGATGCAATAGGAGCCACCGGGCCTCCACCCTCTGCCCCGTAGGGCCCCTTCACACCAAGAGCTCCAGCCAGGCTCAACCACAAGCAGCTCCCCAAACACCACACTCCTCCCCATGCCCGGCCTCAGCACGTGCTGTTCCCCCTGCCTGGACCCCTTCCTCCTTCCTGCAGCTCTTTGCTGGGCTAACCTTTTCTCAGCCTTGAGGTCTCAGGACTGAGGCCAACGCAGTGCCTCCTGCTCTTGCCTTAGGGCAGAAGAGGGGTCAGGGAGACAGCGGGTGGGGCTGCAGAGGTGGGGGCTGCCGTGTGGTTAACCTGATGCAGACCCCCAGCCCTCTGAGGAAGGCTGGGCATGAGCCTGAAGGCCAGGCCTTGTAGAGAGTCCGGGACCCCTGGGTCATTGTCCTGTGGGTTCAAGGGAACGGAGGACTGGCCCAGCCCTGGCAGGTGCCACCGAGGATGGTAAGCAAAGCTCAGCTCAGCTCGCCCTCCCTCCTCACCCACAAAGAACTATGCTCTGCCACCTGCAGCCTTAACATGTTGGGCAAGCATGCCCCTTCATGGGGGCAGGGGACAGGTAACTGTCGCGGGGGCGGGGGAACGGGTGACTGTCGCGGGGCGGGGGAACGGGTGACTGTCGCGGGGCCGGGGGAACGGGCGACTGTCGCGGGGCCGGGGGAACGGGCGACTGTCGCGGGGCCGGGGGAACGGGCGACTGTCGCGGGGGCGGGGGAACGGGCGACTGTCGCGGGGGCGGGGGAACGGGAGACTGTCGCGGGGGCGGGGGAACGGGTGACTGTCGCGGGGCCGGGGGAACGGGAGACTGTCGCGGGGGCGGGGGAACGGGTGACTGTCGCGGAGCCGGGGGAACGGGTGACTGTCGCGGGGGCGGGGGAACGGGAGACTGTCGCGGGGGCGGGGGGAACGGGAGACTGTCGCGGGGGCGGGGGAACGGGAGACTGTCGCGGGGGCGGGGGAACGGGCGACTGTCGCGGGGCCGGGGGAACGGGCGACTGTCGCGGGGGCGGGGGAACGGGTGACTGTCGCGGGGCCGGGGGAACGGGTGACTGTCGCGGGGGCGGGGGAACGGGAGACTGTCGCGGGGGCGGGGGAACGGGTGACTGTCGCGGGGGCGGGGGGAACGGGTGACTGTCGCGGGGGCGGGGGGAACGGGTGACTGTCGCGGGGGCGGGGGAACGGGCGACTGTCGCGGGGGCGGGGGAACGGGTGACTGTCGCGGGGGCGGGGGAACGGGAGACTGTCGCGGGGGCGGGGGGAACGGGTGACTGTCGCGGGGCCGGGGGAACGGGCGACTGTCGCGGGGCCGGGGGAACGGGCGACTGTCGCGGGGCCGGGGGAACGGGTGACTGTCGAGGGGCCGGGGGAACGGGTGACTGTCGCGGGGGCGGGGGAACGGGCGACTGTCGTGGGGACGGGGGAACGGGTGACTGTCGTGGGGGCGGGGAACAGGTAACTGTCACAGGCCAGGGGTAGGTGACAGTGGTCAAGGGTGTCAATTCTGGAGCCGGTCTGCCAAGCCTCAGGGCCAGCCTCTGCTTCTTTCTAGTTATGAGACCTTGGCCATTTGCTTAACCCTTACTGACGTAACACACCCTATTTTACTGTAATAATTATATGTTTATTTCAATGTGCCATAGAGAGACGTAATCAGCACATCAATTCCCATCATTGATATTATTGTTAGGACAAAGCTAACCTGGGTATTTAAGGGATTTTTAAGTAAGTCTGTTTAAAGAAAAGTACTAAGTAAATAATAGTGCAGGTTCCAGTTGGGAAGCTGATTCATAAGTGATGAAAGTTAAGGTAATGCCAGCTGGGGTTTTCCTTAGACCCAGTGGTCTTCGAACTGTTCCCCAGACCCTGGGAGCCCCAGAAGGTTCCAGGCAGGCAGAGATGCACAGATTAGGGGCTGGGAGAGGGGTCAGGGTTGCTCTCCAGGGGAGCATGAGGAAGCTGCTCATGGACCAAGTGCTCCCCCTCGGTGCAATTTAAATTTGTTTATTGTGAGCTTATTTTTATCTGCTTTTTTTAGTGTGGTAAAATAGATATAACCTAAGATATAATACCATTCCAACCATTTTTCTTTTCTTTTCTTTTCCTTTTTTTTTTTTTTTTTTGAGATGGGGTCTTGCTCTGTCACCCAGGCTGGTATACAATGGTGCAGTAATGGCTCACTGCAGTCTCGATCTCCCTAGTTCAAGGGATCCTCCCCACTCCTCCTGAGTAGCTGGGACTATGGGTGCATGCTACCATACCCCACTCCTTTTTTTTTTATTTTTTGTAGTGATGGGGTCTCACTGTGATGCCCAGGCTGGTCTCGAATCCCTGGCCTCAAGCAATCCTCCCACTTTGGCCTCCCAAAGTGCTGGGATTACAGGTGTGAGTCACTGTACTTGGTCTTTTCTTTCTTCTTTCTTTCTTTCCTTTCTTTCTTTCCTTCTTTCTTTCTTTCTTTCTTTCTTTCTTTCTTTCTTTCTTTCTTTCTTTCTTTCTTTCTCTCTTTCTTTCTCTTTCTTCTTTCTTCTTTTTCTCTTTCTTTCTCTTTCTCTTCTTTCTCTTTCTTTCTTTATTTCTTTTCTTTCCTTCCTTCCTTCTTTCTTTCCTTCTTTTTTTTTTGAGACAGGGTCTCACTGTGTTGCCCAGACTGGAGTGCAGTGCTGAGAACATGATTCACTGCAGCCTCAACCTCCTAGGCTCAAGCAATCCTCCCGCCTCAGCCTCCCCAGCAGCTGGGACCACAACCTAGGCTCAAGCAATCCTCCCGCCTCAGCCTCCCCAGCAGCTGGGACCACAGGGTGTGCACCACTGCACCCAGCTAATTTTTAAAAAACATTTTGTAGAGACAGAGTCTCACCATCTTTCCCAGGCTGGTCTCAAACTCCTGGGCTCAAGTGATCCTCTTGCCTTGGCATCCCTGAGGGCTGGGATTACAGGTGTGAACCATTGTGCCAGGCCATTTCAACATTTTTTTTTTTTTTGAGATGAGGTCTCACTTCTGTTGCCCAGGCTGGAGTACAGTGGCGTGATCTTGGCTCACTGCAACCTCCACCTCCCAGGTTCAAGCAATTCTCCTGCCTCAGCCTCCTGAGTAGCTGGGATTATAGGCGACCACCACCACGCCCAGCTAATTTTTGTATTTTTAGTAGAGACGGGGTTTCACCATGTTGGTCAGGCTGGTCATGAACTCCTGACCTCAGGTGATCTGCCCACCTTGGCTTCCCGAAGCGCTGGGATTCCAGGTGTGAGCCACCGTGCCCAGCCCATTTCAACCGCTTTTAAGTGTACAGTTGAGTGGCATTAAGTACAATCACAATGTTGTACAACCATCACCACTATCCATTTCAGAACTCTCTCATCATCTCAAACAGAAAATGCATCTATCAAATAAAAACCCCCTATTCTCTACCCCAAAACCTCTGGCAACCTCTATTCTACTTTCAGTCTCTACGAATTTGCCTATTCTAGGGCTAATTTTTTCCAACAGGCTAATACACATGCGTGGTAAGAATTCACAGAGCAAAAAAGTTTCCCTGTCCTCTAGTGCTCTTCCCAGATGAACTGTGGTTACCAGTTTCCTGTTCATTCTTTCAGAGGTATTCTGCGCATATACATACAAATATGCATGTGTATACATATCTTTTCATTTATTTACAAAGGGAATATGCTTTTTATGCCTCTTGCTTTGTAACAATAAATCTGGGAGATGAAAAGATATTTAGTACATCAGAATATCAATATCTCTTCCATATCAGCACACTCATCTTTGTTAATGATTGTGCAGTATTCTATTGTACAGGTGAGGCATACTGTATTTAGCCAATCCCTTATTGATGGAAGCTCTTCAATTTTTAATCTGTTGCGTTTATCTATTGACAGCACATGCCCACCCTTAGCAGCAGAAATGAAGTAGCACTAGTTAGCAAGGAGAACTAATTAAACATAAAAAAAACCTAGCAGACTAGCAAAAATTCAAGTCTGGCAATACCAAGTGTTGACAAGGACAAGGAGGAACTGGCACTGTTACAGATGGTTGGTGAGAATGGCCGTGGTTCTAACCAGTTTGGGGAGCAGCTAGGCACTCTCTAGTCAAGGTAAAGATATACAGACCCTAGGCCCAGCAAATTTCCTATCCAAGAAACTCTAAAGAAACTCTCCCTGGCCAGGTGTGGTGGCACACGCCTGTAATCCCAGCACTTTGCGAGGCTGAGGTGGGAGGATCACTTGAGCTCAGGAGTTTCAGACTAGCCTGGGCAACCTGGCAAACCCTTTCTCTACAAAAATTATAAAAATTAGCCAGATGTGGTGGTATGCGCCTGCAGTCCCAGCTACTCGGGAGGCTGAGGTGGGAGGACCGCCTGAGCCCAGGGAGGTTGAGGCTGTGGTGAGCCGAGATGGTACGACTGAACTTTAGCCTGGGCAATAGAGTGAGACCCTGTCTCAAAAAAAGAAATCCCATATACAGACCAGGAAACAGGAATAGCCATTGCAGCATGTTGATGATAGCCACGCATAGGAACCAGCTTAAATGTTCAACAATAGGAGAAAAGAGAAATAAATTATGGCGTATTCACATAGTGGAACAGTAGACAGCAATAAAAACAAACTATAGCTAGATGCATCTACAGGAAAAAACTTCACAAATAATAATAAGCCAAAAATGAGTTTAATGAGGTTATGTATAGTATGATGCCATTTTTACAAAGTTTTAAAGCTTGCAAAACAATACCATATATTGTTTATAGGTACACACATTTGTAGTAAATGTAAAACTCAGTTCATGTAAGCCTGGGCAACATAGCAAGACCCATCTTTAAAAAATAAAACATAAAAAGATTAACTGGACGTGGTGGTGCATATCTGTGGTTCTGGCTATTGAGGAGGCTGAGATGGGAGGATCACGTGAGCCCAGGAGTTCAAGACTGCAGTGAGCCATGATCACTCCACGGCATTCCAGCCTGGGTAACAAAGCAAGGTCCAGTCTCTAAAAAAAAAAAAAAAAAAAAAAGGCGGGGGGGTGCCAGGTGTGGTGGTTCACACCTGTAATCCCAGCACTTTGGGAGACTGAGGCGGGCAGATCACCTGAGGTCAGGAATTCAAGACCAGCGTGGCCAACATGGTGAAACCCCATCTCTACTAAAAATACAAAGAACTACGCCCGCCAAACATGGTGGCAGTCACCTGTAGTCCCAGCTACTCAGGAGGCTGAGGCAGGAAAATTGGTTGAACCCGGGAGGTGGAGGTGGCAGTGAACCGAGATCGTGCCATTGCACTTCAGCCTGGGCAACAGAGTGAGACTCTCTCAAACACAAAAAGTGGAACACGTTATCATTGAAAGCTACCACTTGCATTGTTAATTCCTTTGAATTGCATCATGAATTCAAAGCGATTGGAGGGAACATTTGTGGCTGTTGGCCCTGGGTTTCCACCAGCCCTGGGCTAGTTAGAGTTTCTACTCATTCTAATTCATGTATAATGCTGAGATGTTCACTTCAGTCATGAAGACCCTGGGCTCTAGTGGTCCCCAGGCCTGTGGGAGGGAGGCTGATCTGTGCTGTGATGTAAGCCTCAGGCTCTGCCCCTCTTTCTCCCAGAGGTCATTTCTAGAGCTTCCCCAGAGGATTCAGCATTATCCCTCTGTGACATCTAATCTCTTGCCTTAGGCAACCTGATCCTGGGCTAAGTCTCTCCTGGCAGGGGAGCCTCTCACCCGGCCTCTTTCCAATCCCACAGCACAGACCTTGGCAGTGTGGAGGGAGAGAGCCTGGTTCTTCTGCCGAGCCCTGGGCAGCCTTCTGGTGTCCCAGGATAGAAGAAAGACTCACATTTCTTTGCACCATTGAGCCCATCACTGCAGCACCAGAGCATCTGACATCTGCAAAACAACATCATTAGGTAGGTGTTAACTTTTCCCCACTGGTAGGCCTGGTGCTCGTAAATGTACTGTGACGAGTGTAATGTGTTTATGAGAATGCGCATAAATTATCAGAAATAGGCTGCATTTTTAATATCACTTAATATATCAAGTTGGCCTCTAAGCAGCCACACGCTATATTGCAAATGTTGAGCTGACTTGCTGGCATCAGTGCTCCATCATGCTCTCCATGCCGAGGCCATAGCGTATGCCAAGAAGGAGGCAAGGGACCCCTAGAGTGGTGGTTCCTACCTCCCTTCCTGACTTCCCCTCCATCATCTGGAATCTAAAGAAAAATGGGCTTCATTTATCACTGAGCCCCCTACAGATCACAGCTCGGGGCCTGTTACAGGGCAGGTGCACAATAAATATTTGTTGAAATGTGGCTTCATGAATAAATGAATGGACAAGAGACCTTGGAATGCCCCTCTCCATCAACCAGCAACATTGTTTGGATTTCCTCCATCCAAGCACCTCTGTTGGGTTAAAATTTTCTGTTAATACAGAGAACGTTCTATTAGCACAGCAGGACAAGATCTCCTCCGGTTATCAGGGAAGGGTGGAAACGGGGGACACATATTAGGCCTGGGTCAGAGAGGGCCCTTCTTCTCCGGGCACATGGACACCAGCCAAGATGCCAACCAAGGAACATCCAGCCAAGTGCTGCACAGAGGGCATTTCCTCAACAACACACGTTACCTACTCTAAGAAGAGCCATTAACTGGTCCTTCTCTGCCGAGACCAGCTTGGTCGGGGAGACCCTAACCCAGCGGCGCTAGAGGAATTAAAGACACACACACAGAAATATAGAGGTGTGGAGTGGGAAATCAGGGGTCTCACAGCCTTCAGAGCTGAGAGCCCGGAACAGAGATTTACCCACGTATTTACTAACAGCAAGCCAGTCATTGGCATTGTTTCTATAGATGTTAAATCAACTAAAAGTATCCCTTATGGGAAACGAAGGGACGGGCTGAATTAAAGGAATAGGTTGGGCTGGTTAACTGCAGCAGGAGCATGTTCTTAAGGCACAGATCACTCACGGTATTGTTTGTGGCTTAAGAACGCCTTTAAGGGGTTTTCCGTCCTGGGCGGGCCGGGTGTTCCTTGCCCTCATTCCGGTAAACCCACAACCTTCCAGCGGAGCCGTTAGGGCCATTATGAACATGTCACAGTGCTGCAGAGGTTTTGTTTATGGCCAGTTTTGGGGCCAGTTTATGGCTAGATTTTGGGGGGCCTGCTCCCAACACTTCTCCACCGGGAAAGAGGTCAGAATACCCAAACAGGAGGAGATCAGACTCCCCACTGTGGCTTTGCCAAACCTCTCTGGAAATTCCAACACCTGCCTTGGGTTAGTCACTCACTTCCCCAGTGAAGAATCATTAAATATTGAGAGATGTCACTGATGGGCATATGTTACACATGTGAACAGTATAGAGGCAGCCCAGCAGGTTGAAAATCACCGTTAAACCATTAGCACCCTCTAACCCAGCGAGTCTCAACCTTCACTGTGCACCAGAATCATCAGGGGCGCTTGTTAAGATGCATCCTGAGTGTGCACACACATATTCTGAGTCAGTGGGTGTGAGATGGGGGCCTGGAATCTGCATTATTGATAGACATCCTGGGCTGGGTGTGGCAACTCACGCTTGTAATCTCAGCATTTTGAGAGGCCAGGGCAGGAAAATCATTTAAAGCCAGGAGTTTGAGACTAGCCAGGGTAACATGGCAAGACCCCGTCTCTACAAAAATTTTAAAAATTAGCTGGGGATGGTGGTGCATGCATTTGGTCCCAGATACTTGAGAGGCTGAGTTGGGAAGATCACTTGAGCCTCGGGAGGTCGAGGTTGCAGTGAGCCATGATCACACCACTGCACTCCAGCCTCAGTGACAAAGTAAATAGACATGCTAGTGCTACAGATACCTGGACCATTTTTTAAAGAACCCACTGTATCTCACTTGACAGGAGGAGCCTTTGAGAGGGTCTGTGGGGAGTTGGGAGAAAGCTCAGAAGCTTGTTGGGAAAAGCAGAAGGCAGAGAGGCAAGGGCACAGGGCTTCTGAGGACTGTGACCAAGGGCAGACTCCATCCACTTAACTTTGCCAGAGGCTGGTCCAGCTGCCCAGCTGCCCACCTCAGCATGGGGAATGGAAGGCAACATGATTGATGAGCCTTTGGACATATCCAACTGCTTAGAGATGCCCACACATGCCAGCCAGCGCCCAGCCTTGGCAAGTGCATCCATTTCTCACCTGGTCCTGGCAGCAGACAGGGAGCAGCCAACCACATGTCACTGGTAGAGAAATCAAGGCAGGCACTGGGAGCGCAATGACAGTTTGCATCAGGAAGGTTTGCACCAGGACGATTTGCACCAGGAAGTTTTGCACTGGGACGGTTTGCACCAGGAAGGTTTGCACCACGACGATTTGCACCAGGAAGGTTTGCACCACGACGATTTGCACCAGGAAGTTTTGCAATGGGACGGTTTGCACCAGGAAGGCAGGGGCAACAGAATCACAATTCCCTGAGTGCCAGTTGCACACTGGGCACTGTGCTAAGCACTGTATACCCATCCTCACCTTTAACTCACACAAGGTTGTTCTTATTCTCCCCCATTGCAGATGAGACCCAGGGCCTAAGTTAAACAACTTGCCCAAAGTCCGGCACGCTTAGGAGGAGGCACACCTGACTTTTGACTCTACGTCTGCCTACTCCCTGACCTATGCTCTTTCTAGAAAGTGGACACTTGCCCAGATAACACCACTTCTATCCACTTCTATCCCTCGGGGAGGCCCTACCCCATTTCAGCTGGGCTCAGAGCTGGGCAAATTCAGACCTAGAGTGGATTTCAACTCTGCCACCTGCCAAAGGGTAGACCCCAACATGCCATGTGTTTCTCCAGTGGGCATCCTTGGGTTCCCTGGCTCCATGCTTAGGAGGCTGGGCCCTCCACCTGACTTCTTCAAAGCCCTCCCCAAGAGCCAGCTCCTGCAGAGCCAAGAGCCGTGAGCCGATCCTCCAAAAACCAGACCCATAGGACAAGAGGCCAGGAGGGAGCGGCCAGCTCTCGGTGAACACAGGTACAGGGCCTTGGCAGGCTCAGCGGTCAGGACGTCCAGGTCTCATCTCCAGTCTGCCTCTTGCTAGTCACTTGACCTCCCGCAGCCTCAGTTTCCCCATCTGTAAGATGATGACGACACCCTCCAGCTCCTTAGTAAAGGAATGATAAAATGACAGTTCAGCGTCTGTATTTTAATACCTGCGTCATTATGTAATCATTTTGTGATGCAGCCACCTCTGGCACAGAAAAAGTCACCCTGTGCCTATTTAAGGATTAATCCCCTTAAGCATTCCTGGAAATGAGAACCCCTCTGTGCCAGGCTGCCCTTCCAGGCTCTTCTGTCCTTTCCTTGGCCTTTGGCTCTTGGAAGGCTGAATATTTCTCCCACCAGGACCTCAGACTATCTTTAGGGAACCCCGGCTGGTTCATTCCCACTGTAACCCCTGAGGCTCTTGGCCTCCTCCTGTCCTCCTCTTCCTCCTCCTTTTTTTCCCTCCTTCCCCTCCTCCTCAGTTTGGGCTTCCCCTGTCCAAGAAGCCTCAGGATGAGCTTTGGGAACGAGGTTTTACCTGTGTTTCCAACTCTGCTCTGAGCCCCTGAGCTCTGTAGTGGAGGGGAGGAAAGGGAGAAGGGAGGGAAAGTGGAAGCATCGAACAGTCAGGACACTGGGCTCTCATCGCAGCTCTGCCGCCAGCCAGCAGTCACCCTGGACACATCCTTGTGCCTGAGCGCTAATTTCCTCCCCTGTGAAATGGGAACAGCAGGCCCTGCCTACATCGTGGGGTGGTTTAAGGAATCAATGAGATGACAGCTGTGAATGTTCTTGGCGCAGTACAACATATGCCATGTGTTTCTCCAGTGTTTTCAAAGGCCGGTAGTGCCCGCCACCACCCAGTTCAGAACTCACCACAAAACATGAATTTCTCATCACTTCTCACCACGAGTCTTGTCTTTCCAAAGGAAGGGAGAAGGGAAAGCCAGCTGAGCACCTCTTACCTGTCTGTGCTGGATGGGGCCTTGCCACAAGGCTGTGCAGTTGGAAATAGCCTCACTTCATAGATGAGGAAACCGAGGCTCAAAGAGGTCAAATAGCCTGCCAGAACTGTGCAGCTGGAAGCCACAGGCCAAGGCTTTGCCTCTCTTTCCTCTGCTCCCCATCACTCTGCAGGGGTTATGGTGGGGGAACAAGAGAGGCTTGGAGCCCCTCATTCAGATGCACCAAAGGCACCCGCTAAGAAGCTAAGTGTCTTACACATCAGTGGAAACCAGAGGGTAAACAGGATTCCATCCATGCCCAGGGCTTTCCGGGAACACACCTGTCCAAGCAGCAGCAGTTCCCAACAGAGCTCTGGTCCCGGAAAGCCGGACAGCCAGGGCTGGGCCCTCTGGGATTTGTTTAGTGATCTGACCGTGTGGGAGGCCTAGAGTAGGAGTGGGGGTGGGGGGAGCGTGCCGCCCAGCCTTATTGCATCACTCACCGCCCAGGCCCTGCCCTCACCCGCTCCTGACCAGGCCCTGTGCAGGTTCTCAGCCACCCTGCCCCGGGGGGTCCTTCAGACTCTACTCACTGACCAAGTGAGGGACTGACCCGAGGTTAGAGTGCTGTGTTGTATGTGACCTGAGAATATGTGTGCACAGACTGAGCCCCGGTGTCCTTGTGCAGTTGAGCGTGTACATGTCCTGCCCGTGTGTAGGCAACCTGTCCCTACATGCTAGGAGTGTGACTCCACGTCCTGCTAGAGGGGGAGGAGAGAAGGAGTTGTGCCCAGGGTCCCCTGATCACTTCTATGGGCTCATGTTTGTGCATCTTGTTAGGGGTGCTTGGGGGTAGGGAAGCCTGTGCCCTGGGTGCCCTTGATCACCTGTGTGTGTGCTCCATTAGGTGTGCGCGCCTGTGCATTGGGGGTGTACTGTGTCACAGCTTCCTAAACCAACCATGTGCGCATGCAGACGTTTGCGTGTGTGACCTACGGTGTGAGCGAGCGGATGCTTCCACCACGTGTCTCTGCACACGCATGTGTGCACTTGCACACCTGCGTGTGTCCCGAGAGAGCGAGCGGAGCCCAGCGTGGGCTGGCACGCGCGGGAACGTGTGGGTGCGCGTCCTGCGGGTCCCTGCCGGGTTGACTCCCAGCTTGTGCCGCGGGCGTGCATGAGCGGAAGGCGCCCGGCGGCCCTGCCTGGCCGCGAGTGTGCGCGCGCGGGGTCCCGGGCCGGCGTGCACGCCGGTGTGAGTGCGAGTGCGAGTGAGTGTGGCGCCGCGCGGCTCCCTCCGCTCCGCGCCGCCCGCGCAGCCCGCACACTCACCCTGCTTGGTTGCTGCCGGGTGACGCGGGCTGGGCCCGCCCCCTGCCTGCCGGCCTCTGGCACTCGCTCGCGCCGTCCGCAGCGGAGCGGGCAGCGGCCAAGTCAGGGCCGTCCGGGGGCGCGGCCGGCGATGCCCGCAGCCCCCGCCGCGCCCCGCCGGGCCTGCTGAGCCGCCCCCGGGCCGGGGTCGCGCCGGGCCGGGCCGCGCCCGGGGCGGGGCGGCGCTGCCTGCATGACCCTCCGGCGGCGCGGGGAGAAGGCGACCATCAGCATCCAGGAGCATATGGCCATCGACGTGTGCCCCGGCCCCACCCGGCCCATCAAGCAGATCTCCGACTACTTCCCCCGCTTCCCGCGGGGCCTGCCCCCGGACGCCGGGCCCCGAGCCGCTGCACCCCCGGACGCCCCCGCGCGCCCGGCTGTGGCCGGTGCCGGCCGCCGCAGCCCCTCCGACGGCGCCCGCGAGGACGACGAGGATGTGGACCAGCTCTTCGGAGCCTACGGCTCCAGCCCGGGCCCCAGCCCGGGTCCCAGCCCCGCGCGGCCGCCAGCCAAGCCGCCGGAGGACGAGCCGGACGCCGACGGCTACGAGTCGGACGACTGCAGTAAGTTTCCCACGCGCCGACTTCGCGCCCCCTCCCCTGGCTCGGGCTCGGCCCCCCCACGGCCTCGCGGCTTCCCTCCGCCGGTCCCCCTCGCGCGCTCGCGCTCTGCCTCGGTTCACAACCCCGCCGCGGGCTTGCGGGCCCCTGGCGCACTCGGTGCGCTCTCCGCGCCCTGCCCACCGGCCTCGAGCCCTCCCCCGACCCAGGCCGGACAGGAGGGAAGTTCGGGGGCACCCCCTGGGGGTGTCCCATTTCCGGGGCCGGGTTCCTCGGAGCCGGCGCCGCGCCCCCTCCCTGCCAGCCCGCCCTCCCGGAGCTCCGGCGCGGGCGGCTGCTTTTGTTCCCGGGAAGGGCGGAGCTGCGTCCCGGGGAGACACCAGTTGCTGCCGGCCGCGCGGTCGCTCCCCGCTCGCCAGCCGCTCCGGGAGGGCCTCGCGGCCGAGGGTCGGGGCTGGGGCGAGCTGGGGAGGGGCCCGAGGCTGGGAGCGGCCCGGCCTCCCGCGTGGTCCCGGCGGCCCGCAGAGCGCAGCTGCTTTGCTGGCGCGCGAGCAGAGGACCAGGAGGACCGCGGGGCCGCTTGTCCTTTGGAAAAACCTTGGCGTTTCCTCCTCCGGTGTCCATGGACCCCGCCGCAGCCCTCGCCAGGGCCGCGCACCTTCGCCCACCTGTTACGCCCGCGGCCCCCGGGCAGAGAGGGCCCCCCAGCCCGCTCCCCCTCCTCCCGGACTGAGCCCTGAGCCCCCGGGAGCAGGCAAGCGCCGGAGTCCCGGGACCGAGGCCCGGCCGGTGGGCGCTCCTGGCGCCTTTTCCCGTCCCCGAGGGTGCCTGTCCGGCCCGAGCCGGGACTGGCTGGGAAACCGAGGCCGGAAGAGGTCGCAGTCCAGTGAGGAGTCGGTTTGCGCGGGGTGGGGATGGCATGTGAGAACCCCCTCCTAGCTCAGCTGTGGCTCCAGACTTGTCACTGAGACCTGGAAAACCAGCGTCTCGTCAAACCCCAGCCCTTCCCGGGATGTGGCCCTTCTCCAGGGCTGGTGCTGCCCCTCCCCTGCGCAGCAGGGATGTCTGCGCCTGGCCTGGGCACTCACCAGGGCCTGTGGGCTGCGGGCCTGGAGTTTCCCAAGCATCAAATGTGCCACCAGAAGCTGAAGGTAGGGATTACCAGTGCCCCCGGGGCACAGACCCCCCATCGCCCCACCTGGGGAGGCCCATCAGCAGTGGCCGGTTAGAGCAGGGCCCCTGTAGGGGAAACTGCCTGCTTTGCACTTTCTAGAGGCCTGGACCACGGCCCTCGGGCCAGCGCCTGGCACATGAAGGCCCTGCCCTGGGGCGTGGGGGCTGGGGAGCAGTCTTGTCCCTCCACTTTCCTGCCAGCTTGGGGAGATTGGGTCGGAAGAGTTTTTTGCCCTCAGGGCTGTGCCCTAGATCCACCCCCCCTCCCCTCTGCCCCTGGCACCCTGTGCGAAGCTCACCCTGGACTTGGTGATCCCCTGGGTGGGCCCTGAGTGGGACCCAAGTAACTGCTTTGGCTGCCCTGAATCCAAAGCCTCCCCCAGAAGAACGGATGGGAAAGTTGTTCCCATTTCTGGCATCTCTGCTGCTGCACCAAGGAAGTAAGAGGGGAGGGCAGAGCTTCAGGCCACCCTCCTGGTGCCACAGAGGGCCCTCTGCATGGCGAATGGCCAAGAGGCTTTTTCTTTTTCTTTTTTTTTTTTTTTTTGCTGTCTCTGAACCCACAAAGCAAGGAGGGGACCAGGAAGCTAGAAACTCAGGCCAGCCAGCCCCATCTCCAATCCATCAGCTCAGCAGCCCTTCAGGGAGCATGTCCTGGCAGCAGGGCTGGGCCCCTGGCCTGAGATACATGCGGTGCAGGGGCCAGACTCACATGAGGTCAGCAGTGCAGGGCAGAGCTGGATGCAGCTTTGCCAGCTTGAACTGTGGGCTGGCCACACCCGTATTATCAGGACATGCCAAAGAAATGCTGAAGACGGGCTCAGAGGAGCTAAGGAGGACGGTGTGCCACTGAGCTAGGGCCAGCTTGGGCCCCTGTCGCCCCCTTCGAGGGGGGCCCCACCCTAGGCTTGGATCCTATGGGAGGCTGACAAACATCCTAGGCCCAGAAGCCCAGAAATCTTGGCTCTTGTCCATGGTGGGGGAACAGGTTCTGGGGTGGGACTGCCTTCCACCCAGTACCCCAGGCGGTGCCCCCCTCTGGGCTGTGACAACCAGATCCTTAGAATAAGCCTCAATGATTCAAGCCAGATGGTTCATTACGGCTTTAGCCAGGGTTATGCTATTTGCTGCCCTAATTATTGGATTATCTCTGTTCTGACAAAAAGAAATGAGGGCGGTTGCTCTGTTGTCCAAGGCAGAGAGTGAAGTGCTGTTTATTTACTCAGCCTTTTCTCCTGGCTTTTTAAAGCCCTTTCTTTATTAAGTCATGTCAAAGCACAAGCACATAACTCGCATGTTCCCAGCAGATCTCGAAGAGGGGCGATGACAGGGAGGAAAGGCAGTGAATGTCCCAATGAGGAGCAGGACCCAGTGTCGGCCCTGCCAGTTCTCCTAGGGTGGCCTCTGTGGCGTGCTGCCCTCCAGGTGGGCCGTGGGCCACACACCCCACACGCTGCCCCTACCTGAGAGGCTCTCCTGCCCGGCACCCACCTGTGGAAGCCCAGTCCATTCTTCAAAGCTGTAATCACTAGAGTGCCATGGGTTGCAAGTGACAGATAACCAACTCAGAGTGGCTTAAACAATGAGGACAGCTGAGGTCTTGCTGCACCAGGGTGCACCAATGCAGCAGCCCCTCAGCACTGTTGGGGTGATGGTTCTGTCCATCTTTGCTCGTGGCTGTGCGTTTTTCCTTGTAGAGCAAAATCAAGGCCCGTTTCCTATTCCTAAGGGTGTCTGGGTGAGGAAGGTTCAGGTGCAGACCAAAGTCAGAATGACGCTGTCAGTCTCCATCAGCCAAGCAGGACCCTCAGGTCCAAGGTGGCTGCTGCAGGTCCAGGCATCACATGTAACAATAAGGTCCTTGACTGGGTAAGGAATTGGTAAGGACCGATTCCTTTTCTCATGTCTCAGTTTAAGAGCGAGGAAACCTCTCCCAGAAGTCCCCAGGAGACCTGTCCTTTTGTCTCATTGGCCAGAATTGGATCACATGCCCGTGTTAAACCTGCCCTGTGTGGTTCACCCAGGACCGGGTCAGGACCGATGCCTGTGCAGGTCTGGAGCAAGGACAAGGGGTTGAGTCCACCACAAAGGTTCTCCGTGTTAGGGGGCATATTCCAGCCCCCATGGGCTGTGGTGCCCCTTCCTTTGAGCCCAGAACCTCTTTGGCCCCAGTCATGTTCTACCTGGACCTGTGATATTTGTAATGCACTCGATGTTACGGCACCAACTATGTGGCAGGCTCTGTGTTAGGCACAGAGATACAAGAATGCTGAGAGGCAACCTCTGACCTGAGGGTGTTCATCAAAACCAAGACAAACAGGTGACCCTACAGCGAGGGACAGGGAGGCAAGAACCCAGATGGAAAGCTCTGGCAGGCGGAGGTCACTCACAGAGAGGGCTCAGCCCTAAGACTGGGAGGAGGGAGGAGGTGGGCTGACAGAGGGAAAAGAGGAAAGGGAGGTGCTCTTGGCAGAGGGACAGCTGTGTACACAGGTCCTGAAGTGTCAGAAACTCAGCCCAGTGTAGGCAAAACAGTAGAGCCAAGTGGCTCAAAGAAGGGGAAGAGACCTATGAGGAGGCCAAAGCGGTCATATCACACAAGGTCTTGAATGCCACACCAAGGAGGTTGAACTGAGTCCAGGAGTTGATGGAGAACCTTTCAACAATTTAAAGCAGATGAATGAAGATGTTTATAAAAATCTTAACACTCGTCTCTAAGCTCCTGGGAAGCAGGGATGATGGCTCATTTCTCTCTGTCCCCCCTGCAGTGCCGGCCTGGCTGAATGGCTGTTTCCCCAACTATAAAATGCTTTCAACACAAGCTTGATGATTTTCTATGGTCCTTGCCACAATTGTTTTGTTTTTTTTTTAAAGTATTTGAGAGCCTGACATTTTTCTTAAAAAAAAAAAAAAAAAAATCAGGGCAGATTTCCTATTCCCAAGGGTGTCAGGAAAGTCCAGGTGCAAACCAAGGTTATGATGATGCTGTCAGGTCTACATCAGCCAAGCAGGGGGTGCTCGGCCTTAGAGGAGCCAACAGGGGCTTGAGCTTGATTTTCTCTGAATTAGCCCCATTAAAGCTCTGTAATTATCGACAAGCGGGTGACAACTCTCAAAGGCCCATTAGTGACCAACCCTCATTATTTTTCCGAAGATGTAAACTTCAGTGGGGTCATGTGATTGGAGCGCTCCAAGGGCAGGGCACTGTGGGTCACAGAGAAGCACCTTCTCCTGCCCTTAGGGCCCTCCTCACGCCCAGCACAAGCCCAAGGTGCTTTTCCAACTCGGAGGGCTCTCCAGGGCAGCGGCTGAGCCCCCACTCTCCTTCCCCTAGAGCAACTCTGCTTTTCTCTCTTTTTGTTTCTTAGTTGCATCCTCCTAAGATTTCAGCTAAACAAAGTGGCCAAAAAAAAGCTTTTTGGACCAGGGCAGAGTGGCCCGTGTGTGCCTGTAATCCCAGCACTTTGGGAGGTGAAGGCGGGAGGATTGCTTGAGCCCGGGAGTTCAAGACCAGCCTGAGCAACGTAGTGAGACCTACCCCCCCGCACCCCCCGCACCAACACCACTGTCTCTTTTTTTGTAAATATATTTTTTAAGTTAGCCGGGCATGGTGGTGGGCGCCTGTAGTCCCAGCTACTTGGGAGGCTGAGGTGAGAGGATCGTTTGAGCCTGGGAGGCTGAACTGTGATCGCACCACTGTACTCCAGCCTGGGTAACAGAACAAGACCCTGTCTCAAAAAAAAAAAACTTCTTGGGAGCCAGTAGGCTTTAAGGGAGAAACTATCAGGATGGAAGTGAAGAGGCCTAGATTCTGTGCCTGGGTCTGCTGGGCCACGCTGAGCAGCTCCCCTCCCCTCTCTGAGCCTCATTTCTCTAAAGGGAAATGAAGAGTTTGGGCCATGTGCTCCGTAAGAGAGCTTCACCAGCCTCTGAAAACTGTGACCGAGCTTCTATTTATAAACTATCATTTCTTACAGACCTTCCAGTGGAGTTCAAAGAAATTCATCAGTCCCTTCCTGGTGACACACTGGGTGTGCTGTTCCTTCCCAGGAGGTGGTGACGGGTGTCAGTTTTCCCCCCAGGCAGTTGGAGAAGATCGCTGCCCTCCTTGGACAGGGGTTTCTGTAGAGCCAGTGCAGGGGCTTCTCCCCTCCAGGAGCTGGGTGTCCCAGGGGGAGCAGGCAGCCGCTCTGTCTTCTGGCTGTCCTTCTCTGGGGTTGGGAAACAGGCAGAAATCAGAATGTGCATTTTTACACTTGGGTGTCACACCAGATCCCAGCTCCTGGGAGCACCTGGAGGGCAAGTTGGTTTGAATGGACCAGCCATGTGTGTCTGCATCTGCTGTTTGTTGGTCTCACAGGTGTGGCCAAGGCATGGTCCCTGTGCTCAGGGGGCTAATTCGTTGGGGGAACAAACCCCAGGTAGGCCTGACCTGAACAGCAGATCCATTTACTATCATGTAAAGCCAACAGCTTCAGAGAATATTGTTACAAAAGTACAGATTGGTGCATCTCGGGCTGTGGCTGTGTTCATTGCTGCAGGAGCAGTGGGATACACCTCCCTTCCAGCAGCCTCACCTGCCTGGTGTGGAGATGGCAGCTAGCATGCAGGCAGCTGAAGGCCAGCTACAGCTATTGCTGCTGCACACATACCCTGCTCAGGAGAACGTGCCTCAGGCTTCACTCAAGACCTAGTATTTATTTATTTTTTTGAGACAGGATCTCGCTCTGTCGCCTAGGTTGGATGCAGTGGCACAATCACACTCACTGTAGCCTCAACTTCCTGGGCTCAAGCGGTCCTCCCACCTCAGCCTCCCGAGTAGCTGGGACCACAGGCATGCGCCACCATGCCCGGCTATTTTTGTATTTTTTGTAGAAATGGGTGTTTCCATGTTGGCCAGGCCGGTCTTGAAATCCTGGGCTCAAGTGATCCACCCGTCTCAGCCTCCCAAAGTGCTGGGATTATAGGCGTGAGCCACCACACCCGGCCATTTTTGTAGTTTTTGTTGCCATGTTGGCCAGGCTGGTCTCGAACTCCTGAGCTCAAGTGATCCATCTGCTTCGGCCTCCCAAACTGCTGGGATGACAGGCATGAGCCCCACACCAGCCACTCAAGGCCTGTTGGCTCTTAGTTTGCACACACTTCCAACAAGTATCATCACCTGGTCTCATGGGAGAAACAATTATTGAATAGGTGAGAGCTGTCTGCGCCAACACAGACAAGTAATCTAATAGGAGTTTCAGGCTGATGTCAAAGGAAGAGGCAGAAAAATGAAGAAAACCGAAAAGAGGGCCACCCGGGACCCTCTGGTGCAGGGGTTGCTTCGTGTCCCCTTTTGCCTCTGGAACATGACCGTGACATACGGAAGAGTCATCGTGGCCATAGCAATGACTCAGGTTATTCAAAAAATTTAAGTGACTATTTGTATGTTCTGTTCCCAAAGGCAGGGAGGGAAATGAGCCAATTGAGGACAGTTTCATTCCAGAATGGGTCTTAGAGAAGCCAGTACTGTTAGCTAGAAAACCCACCATAGGTATCTGCTCCTTCTATAATGATCTACTGAGCACCTCCTACACCGCAGGCACACTGTGCTGTGAGGTGGATACTATCGTTGTCTCCATTTCACAGATGAGTAAACTGAGGCATAAAGACGTTAGATAAGCTGGCCACACAGCAGGGAAGTGCACGCTGGGATTTGAACCGAGGAGACTGATGTCAGAGGGCAGGTCTTGCACCCCACACTGCTGCGAAGACAGAGACATGTGCCTGACCCGTGTTAGAAGGGGATGATCTAGACAAATGCCACTCCCATCACCAGCTCAGAATAAAGGACACTCCACACTCGTGGCCTTTCATTAGCCAATTTCCCTGCAGACCCAAGAAACTTTGTTATGCCTGGGCCCAGCACTCGCCCAGAGATCTGCAAACTTGTTCTATAAAGAAGGGCTGGATAGTAAATATTTTCAGCTGTGCAGGCCGTAGGGTCTGCTTCTGAAGTAGGAAAGCAGCCGCAGAAGAGATGTAAATGATGGGCCTGGTCAGGTGTGGCCGTAATTGGATCTAGATCCAGGTTGGGAGCCTAGCTCAGAGCCTGAAGAACACAGTCTTTCAAGTTTGGCCTTCCCTTATCCCGGGATCACACCAGCCACTAAGCCCGTACCTGCTGGTTGGCCTGTGGTTGGAATCGTCACCTCCCCCAGCCCCTCTTTGCCATTGGCCAACTCCTACTCATCCCTCATGGCTCAGGTGAAGCATCACCTCCTCCAGGAAGCCTTCCCTGGTGGTCCCAATTCACATGGGCTCCCCATGGCTCCCGGCTCACCAGACTCTACTGCGGCAAATTATTTCCATTTGTTCCTCCCCTTAAGCTGTGCTTTCCTTGGGATAGGGACTCTGCCTCACAGATGTCCATCCCCTAGAGTCTGGCATGTTGTAAACACTTGGTAAATAATGAAGGAATGTGACACCATTTGACCAGCCCTGCAGCCTGGGAGCAGGCTCTGGGCTTCTGAAGCCATCTGTGAATGTGCATCTTGCTGTCTGCGGACTGCCACTAAGCTCTGCCCCCCACCATCATCTCCAAGCTCTGCCCCAACCATCACCTTGGCCTCCATGCTGGGAGCCGCTTCTGCATGGAAAGCCACAGCTGCTATGAGTGATTGCCCCCGGGGAGGGAGGCAGCTGCACCCAATTATGGCTGCAACCTCCCCCAATTATGGCTGCACCCTCCCCCCGGCTTTTGGGAGTTACCACTGCCATTGAGAGACTTGGGGGCAGCAGTATGAGGACCCAGCTGGCTCCTCACGGCCTGCTCGGGGTTCCCAACGGGCCAGAGAGACAGAGGAGCTGCAGTCCTGTGTGTTGGCTGGGGGACTGTTGAGCAAATCAGCTGATCTTCCTGGCCAGGACCTGTTCCTCTCAAAGCCTCGTCTCCTCCGCCTTGTGTGATCCTTGTGACATTTCACAGGTGAGGGAAACTGAGGCACGGGGCCCAGACTGGCAGTTGCACCAGGAGGGCAGGAACTCCTTTGGCTGGGTGCCCAGCTCAGGTGGACCACACACTGGGCCAGACAGGGAACTGGAGTGACCCACCTGACCTCTCTGGGTCTCAGCTCCTCCTCTGGAAAGTGGGGAGATTATTGTGACTTCCCAGGGTTGGGTGGGACTGGGAGGATGGGTGAGGGGCTGGCATAGAGCAGGTGCTTGGTTGGTG
The DNA here is from genome assembly GCF_000001405.40 of Homo sapiens. Taxonomy (NCBI): domain Eukaryota; kingdom Metazoa; phylum Chordata; class Mammalia; order Primates; family Hominidae; genus Homo; species Homo sapiens. The sequence goes on along the minus strand of NW_003315952.3, from coordinate 111,655 downwards.
GCAGCCGCCATGGAACGGTGGCACCTGCCCAGGCCAGGCTCATCTGGTCTCACAGGGGCAGGCGAAGCCTCTCCAAGATGCGGCCAGGGTGGGACCTGTGCCCTCCTCTGTCCGCAGCTGCCCTGGGCACGCTGGACTTCAGCCTGCTGTATGACCAGGAGAACAACGCCCTCCACTGCACCATCACCAAGGCCAAGGTAGGCCCCGCCAGCCTGCACCCAAATTCCCTGCCCCGGGGTCCTCAAGAGGGCCTAGGTCAGGGAGGCCAGACCACACCACTCCCCAGGTTCCTGTCCAGGCTTTTGGATGTCTGCGCTGTGTGGGGTGCGGGACCAGGAAGGAATTCTTCTTTAAACCTTCTTGAATACCCAACCCCAAGAAATGCCTTGGACAGTCAGGCATTGCGGGGAGCAAAGAAACAGATGAGAATGGGAAGATGAAGGCCTGGACCGAGGACCCTCGAGCCTGGGGAGGGGCTGCTGAGAGGGAAAGAGAGGGGCAGGGTGATGTCTGTCCTGCAGGCCAAGGGAGGGCGGGTTGGGTACTGGTGCCTCCAGGCCTCCCAGACGCCCTGAGGAGTGGGGACGCCACTTTGCACCCTGGAAGCCGAGCCACTGTAGGAGGCCGATGCCACTCCAGGCAGGGTGTCCACGGCCTGAGCCCAGAGGCCCTCTGAGCCTCACTACGTGGGCTGGGGTTGTGGGTGCCTGTGGACCCCTCTGCAGCCTGGCCCGGCCGCTGGTGCTCCCCTCTGCAGCCTGGCCCGGCCCCTGGTGCTCCCCTCTGCAGCCTGGCCCGGCCCCTGGTGCTCCCCTCTGCAGCCTGGCCCGGCCCCTGGTGCTCCCCTCTGCAGCCTGGCCCGGTCCCTGGTGTTGCCCTCTGCAGCCTGGCCTGGTCCCTGGTGCTCCCCTCTGCAGCCTGGCCCGGCCCCTGGTGCTCTCCCCTCTGCAGCCTGGCCTGGTCCCTGGTGCTCCCCTCTGCAGCCTGGCCCGGCCCCTGGTGCTGCCCTCTGCAGCCTGGCCCGGCCCCTGGTGCTCTCCCCTCTGCAGCCTGGCCCGGTCCCTGGTGCTCTCCCCTCTGCAGCCTGGCCCGGTCCCTGGTGCTCCCCTCTGCAGCCTGGCCCGGCCCCTGGTGCTCTCCCCTCTGCAGCCTGGCCCGGCCCCTGGTGCTGCCCTCTGCAGCCTGGCCCGGCCCCTGGTGCTCTCCCCTCTGCAGCCTGGCCCGGCCCCTGGTGCTCCCCTCTGCAGCCTGGCCCGGTCCCTGGTGCTCCCCTCTGCAGCCTGGCCCGGCCCCTGGTGCTCCCCTCTGCAGCCTGGCCCGGCCCCTGTTGCTCCCCTCTGCAGCCTGGCCCGATCCCTGGTGCTCCCCTCTGCAGCCTGGCCCGGCCCCTGTTGCTCCCCTCTGCAGCCTGGCCTGATCCCTGGTGCTCCCCTCTGCAGCCTGGCCCGGCCCCTGGTGCTCTCCCCTCTGCAGCCTGGCCCGGCCCCTGGTGCTCCCCTCTGCAGCCTGGCCCGGCCCCTGGTGCTCCCCTCTGCAGCCTGGCCCGGCCCCTGGTGCTCCCCTCTGCAGCCTGGCCCGGCCCCTGGTGCTCCCCTCTGCAGCCTGGCCCGGCCCCTGGTGCTCCCCTCTGCAGCCTGGCCCGGCCCCTGGTGCTCCCCTCTGCAGCCTGGCCCGGCCCCTGGTGCTGCCCTCTGCAGCCTGGCCCGGCCCCTGGTGCTCCCCTCTGCAGCCTGGCCCGGCCCCTGGTGCTCCCCTCTGCAGCCTGGCCCGGCCCCTGGTGCTCCCCTCTGCAGCCTGGCCTGGTCCCTGGTGCTGCCCTCTGGCTCTGCCACTCAAGCATGTGTCAGCTCCATGTTCTCAACTGTCCTGTTCCCTTCCCCTCACCCCATTGCTCCCTGTGGGAGGAAGGTGCCAAAATTGATGTTCTCTCGCAAGGTAAGGGCCTGCATGGCCAGTAGAGTCTCCCTAGTAGTGCCATGTAAGGGCCTGAGCCAGCCCAGCTCAGATCCAGCGGCTTCCCACAGAGCTGCCTGGGCCCAGGCCCCACCCAGCCTCCCAACCTGCAGGCCCCCTGCCCCTCCTCCCAGCCTGGCAGCAAGGGCTGCCCTTGGCAGCATGCTCACCCAGCAGGACAGGCTACTGCGTGCCACCCCAGGCTGTCCCCCAGCCCAGCCTGGGCCACATGTGGACTGCCGTGGGTAGGTGTGAGTGCCATCCACGCAAGCCTCAGGGCCCTGGTAGGGCACTGAGAGGCCTGCACGCTCCATCCCACCCCTGCCCTCTCTAGAACCACCCATGCTATGACTCAGGGCATGTCCAGCCCTGCCTGGCGGGGGCTCCAGCCCACCCCTAGGAGCAGAACTGAGCATTTGTCAAACCCCAGCTGTGCCAAGGTAGAGACCAAGCTAGACCCTTCCTCCTTTCCCTCTGTCCAACTTTGTAGAGGTGGTCCAGGCCTGGGGACTGGAGAGGTGCCGGCTGCCAGGCCACTCTGGCCAAAGCCCACCCCTTCCTCTCTCCATGCCAGACACCAGGGCCTTCCCTTCCCAGCTCCAGGTGCGTTTGTGTGTATGCACATACATGGCTGTATGTGTGTCTCTGTGTGTACATGTGTGGTACCGTGCGTGCACACATGTAAGTGTGTGTCCACTTTGGGCTGTATCCCTCAGGTATCAGAAGTGGGGGTGGGAGGCCCAGTTCCTTCTCTGTGTAAATCCAGTTCTGTAGGGAAGGGGTGGTGCAGGCTGGGGAAGAGCTGGGGCTCTGGGCTGGGGTGTGGGGAGGGGCCCAGGGTGGGTGAGCTGAAGCAGGGCTGGCCTCTGGAGGGCCAGGGTGGGGGCTGGACACCCTGGGGTGCACCCTTGCTTGTCCCCCCTTATAAGGGTCAGTCTCAGTTTGCCCATCTGTAAATAGGGTTGGTTGTCCCTGCCCTACATGCCTGTTGTGAGCATTAAATGAGTTAACACGCGGCCCCTGGCACTACCAGTTCTGGGAGACTTTTTATTTTTATTGTGGTAAAATACACAGATATACATTTCCCACCTCAACCACTTTTTTTTACTTCTTCCCTCAGCGCTCAACCATTTTTAGCGTACAGTTCAGTTGTGCTAAGTACCTTCTACCTTCACACTGCTGTGAAACCCATCTCCAGAGCCCTCTTCAGCTTGCAAAACTAAACTGGACCCATTAAACAACAGCTCCCCCTTCCTCCTCCCCTGGCCCCTGGGGAGGCTGCCATTTGGCTTCCTTCTCTATGGATTTGACTATTCTAGGGACCTCATGTAAGTGCAGTCTCCCGGTATCTGTCCTTTTGAGTCTGCAGTCCCCGGGATCTGTCCTTTTGAGTCTGCCTTCTTTCACTCCGCAGAATGTCTTCAGGCTTCATCCCCATTGCAGCACGTGTCAAAACTTCCTTTTCAGGCTGAATGATACTTCAGACTAGGAAGCTCCTCTTCTGAACACTTCACCAGCAACAGCCTCTGAGAGGCCCAGGGCGGGGCAGGGCTAGGTTTTTGGGGAGAGGCTCTCCTCTCAAAGCCAGACCCCCCATCTCTTCCCTCAGTGCCAGTACCAGCCAGGGCCTCCCCCGGGGCCGCTTCCACCCATCCTCCCTGTATTAGTCCATTTTCATGCTGCCGATAAAGACATACCTGAGACTGTGTAATTTATAAAGGAAAGAGGTTTATTGGACTTGCCGTTACACGTGGCTGAGAAGACCTCACAGTTATGGCTGAAAGTGAAAGGCACTTCTCACATGTTTGGTGGCAAGAGAGAGAATGAGAGCCAAGGAAAACGGGTTTCCCCTTATCAGGCCATCAGATCTCGTGAGATGTATTCACTACCCCAAGAACAGTGTCAGACCATGAGATCTCGTGAGACGTATTCACTACCTCAAGAACAGTGTCAGACCATGAGATCTCGTGAGACGTATTCACTACCTCAAGAACAGTGTCAGACCATGAGATCTCGTGAGACGTATTCACTACCTCAAGAACAGTGTCAGACCATGAGATCTCGTGAGACGTATTCACTACCTCAAGAACAGTGTCAGACCATGAGATCTCGTGAGACGTATTCACTACCTCAAGAACAGTGTCAGACCATGAGATCTCGTGAGACGTATTCACTACCTCAAGAACAGTGTCAGACCATGAGATCTCCTGAGACGTATTCACTACCTCAAGAACAGTGTCAGACCATGAGATCTCGTGAGACGTATTCACTACCTCAAGAACAGTGTCAGACCATCAGATCTCGTGAGACGTATTCACTACCTCAAGAACAGTGTCAGACCATGAGATCTCGTGAGACGTATTCACTACCTCAAGAACAGTGTCAGACCATCAGATCTCGTGAGACGTATTCACTACCTCAAGAACAGTGTCAGACCATGAGATCTCGTGAGACGTATTCACTACCTCAAGAACAGTGTCAGACCATGAGATCTCGTGAGACGTATTCACTACCTCAAGAAGAGTGTCAGACCATGAGATCTCGTGAGACGTATTCACTACCTCAAGAACAGTGTCAGACCATGAGATCTCGTGAGACGTATTCACTACCTCAAGAACAGTGTCAGACCATGAGATCTCGTGAGACGTATTCACTACCTCAAGAACAGTGTCAGACCATGAGATCTCGTGAGACGTATTCACTACCTCAAGAACAGTGTCAGACCATGAGATCTCGTGAGACGTATTCACTACCTCAAGAACAGTGTCAGACCATGAGATCTCGTGAGACGTATTCACTACCTCAAGAACAGTGTCAGACCATGAGATCTCGTGAGACGTATTCACTACCTCAAGAACAGTGTCAGACCATGAGATCTCGTGAGACGTATTCACTACCTCAAGAACAGTGTCAGACCATGAGATCTCGTGAGACGTATTCACTACCTCAAGAACAGTGTCAGACCATGAGATCTCGTGAGACGTATTCACTACGTCAAGAAGAGTGTCAGACCATGAGATCTCGTGAGACGTATTCACTACCTCAAGAACAGTGTCAGATCATCAGATCTCGTGAGACGTATTCACTACGTCAAGAACAGTCTGGGAGAAACCTCCCCTTGTGATTCAGTTATCTCCCGCTGGGTCCTTCCCACAACCTGTAGGAATTATGGGAGTACAACTCCAGATGAGACTTGGGTGGGGACACCGCCAAACCACGTCACCTCCCGTGAGGCCCACCCCTAAACCATGGGATCAGTTTATGTCTCTTGCCAACTCCCAAGCTGGGGAGCATGTGCCCAAGGGCCCCACTAGCAGCTCCCTGCCCTGGAAACAGCCTCCCGACCTTCCCCTTCCGTGGACAGAGGTCAGGCTCCGTGGGAGGCCAGCCCCACAGAAGGTGGAGGCACTGGCGGAACCCCGGGTCAGGACCAGGGAAGCTGCCTGTTTGGGCACAGAAGTTGGTGGCAGCACAGTGACAGGGCTTCAGGCAGTGCCTGCTGGTCCTTTTGCTTTTGGCGAAATGTGTGGCTGCCCAGGGTGCTCAGGGAACTGCCGGGTGGAGGAGTAGAGAGCAGCAGCAGGGGCCTCGTCACAGTCCCGGGGTCTGAAGGACAGAGCAGGCGTCACTCCCGTCCCAGCATGACAGCGCCCCTCGACCCAGCCTAGCTCCCACGGGTGTCTCGGGGTACGGAGGTGGGACCACCAGAGCCACTGGAAAGACATACGCCAGAACATGTGGTGGCCCAAAGGTTTGTAAGTGAAACGTGTCAGGAAACGTGGCCCAAATGGAAACATTTTAAGCTACAACAAACAAATGTATAAGGACTGTAAGAATAAGACACAGCAGTCAGGCACCTCCTGGTCAGGCCAGGCCACCAGATTCCCAGAACTCTGCACTTCAGGCACTTGGTGGGAAAGGTGCAAGGCAGGGTGAGGGAGTTGGGTTTGGAAGAGCAGCCTTGTCACCTTGAGCACGTGTTGGGCCACTGAGCCAGGCCCTGTCCCAGAGGCAGCCCCACAGTGCAGGGCACAGCTCAGATGCACCCAGCAGACCTCAACCGCTTCTCCGGCGTCTCACGGGGGCCTGGCGTGCAGGGAAGGGAGCAAACCCTGCCTGCCAGGCCCTGTGTCCACACAGTCTCCCTCCCTCTCACTCCAGCCCTAGGAAGGTGGGAGTATTACACCCCCGCCCTTTTTTTTTTTTTTTTTTTAAACTTGAGACAGGGTCTCACTCTGTCACCCAGGCTGGAGTGCAGTGGTGCGATCACGGTTCACTGCAGCCTCCGTGTCCCAGGTTCAAGCGATCCTCCCACCTCAGCTTCTCTAGTTGCTGGAACCACAGGCACATGCCACCCCACCCAGCTAATTTTTTAGTTTTTTGAAGAGACAGGGTCTTACTGTGTTGCCCAGGCTGGTCTTGAACTCCTGGGCTCAAGCGCTGGGATTACAGGCGTGAGCCACCGTGCCCGGCCAACCCCTTTAACAGATGATAAAGCTGAGGCTTAGCGTGCAAAGTAACTCATCCACTTCCCAGCTGGTGAACAGGAGCTGAGCCTGGAGCCCAAGCCAGCCAGGCCCCCAAACCTCTGCCCTTTGCCAGTGGCAGGGAAGTAGGTGGTTGGAAGCCCCTGCCGCATCCCCCAGAGCTCCGTCAAACCGAGGTGGGGTGGGCCTGGGAGGGAGCCCCAGCCTCCCCTTGGAGATGGGCCTGGTGTGAGCCGCCGAGCTGCCTCCCTGACCCGGCTGGGTAGAAGCCCTTTGAATACTATCCTGGGGTTGCCGGCTGCACCCCCACAGATGCCACAGCTGCCTCCCTGCATCCCTGTGCACCATCCCAGAAGGAAACAAATGCAATTTTCAGAGACAAGAGCCTGCTGAGGTCAGCAAAGCCCCTCTCTGTCCATGCTTCTGTGTGCCTCTGGCTGTGCACGCGTGGCTGGGTTTTCTGAAAGAACCAGAGTGAGAGAGGGGTGCCATCTTGTGGAGGGACCCTCTGTGGCCAGTCTGCTTGTGTGATCTCTGTGGACTGACTGGGAGTTGTGGCAAATATGGCCAGAAATGGGGCCTAGTCTCGGACTGTGTCCCGGGGTTATGTGGATTTAGGGTCAGTGAGGGGCATGGCCACTCAGGAGGCCACGCTTGGTAGATGGGAGACGGGAGTCAGGATGATGGCAGGGCCTGAGCAAAGCAGGGTGGAGAGGGAGGCTCAGAGAAGGGGGAGCCACCTGGCTTCCAGGATGAGGACAAGAGAAAGTCTGTCCTGACAGAGGCCCCATGACAGCTGCCCTGGGCCAGGATGTTTTGGGGAGGGGAGATTGCATCAGCGTTGAGCCATCCTCACTCCCTCCATCTGGAGGTGTGGGGCCCGGGGGCTTCTGTGAAAGGGGCCATGAATGGGCCCAGCCAGGAGACCCAGGGGACAAGGGCATCTGCAGGCCCTGTCAGTTCCATGTCCCCGATTTCCAGTTCACACCGTTTGCTGTTCTCTGCCCAGGGCCTGAAGCCAATGGACCACAATGGGCTGGCAGACCCCTACGTCAAGCTGCACCTGCTGCCAGGAGCCAGTAAGGTGAGGGGTTCCACCCAGGCCTGCCCACCAGCTGCACCCGCCCACCACCTCAGGCAATGCACTCTGGTCCTTTTGCTTTGGGGCCTGGACTGGGCTGCGGGCACCCAGGGAGGCCCACAGCTGCCACTCCCCTCAGAGTCCAAGCAAGCTGATGGGACCTCAGCCATTCAACTGCACACAGAGCACCCAGTCTGCCCCACACCCTGTTGCCTCCTGGGGACCTCACGAGTCAGCGTTACCTACCTGCTGATCTGGGGAAACCCCTGGAGAATTTCCAGGCCAGCATTTTATAAGAAGCATTCTCAGCTGGAAGTTACTATTAGGTGCAAACAAAGGACTCTGTGGTTAAATAACATGGGGAAACATTGTTAAACAGGTTTCTGTACCACAGGACTTCTCAGAGCATCTAACGTGTTGATGGGCTGTTCCCTGACTCTCCGCAAGGGGGATGAAGTGGGCAGAATCTGCCCCTCATTCCTACGCCGGATGACCCAAGCGTCCGACCACACATGTGCTCAGGGCACCAGCACAACAGGTGCATCTCGGACAGGAGAGAGAAAAATTGCTGTTAAATAAAAGCATCAAGGTGACCTTGAGCCATGGAAAGTCAGAACTTAATTAGACTTCCTTCTGTGCATCCTACTCTTCAGTGCTGTTTTATTTTTAATTTCATGGGGCAGAGTCTGAGTTTACGTGGAGGCCTAAATGGGTAGGCCTGGGGCCCACAGCAGCCCAGGAGGACCACCCCAGAAGGGGCCCTTCCCCCTTCTCTAGGGAAGGCAGGACTGTAGGAGAAATGGCAGTGCCCCACCACCTACTCCTGGGGAAGAAATGGGCTCCCCACACCGGGTCTTGATGCCCTTATGCTGCAAGAAGGGCTCAGGGATATGAGGGCCGAGGGCGAGTATGACCAGGGAAGTGTGCTCAGTGACCCTTCATTTGTGGGACTGGAGCCGGCAGTGCATGGCTGCCGAGTTGTAGGAAGTCCCCAGGACTTTCCCTAGTGTTTTATAAAGAGCAGTCTCCTTACAAACAGCTCCTGAAAGCAATGGGAGAGAGGGATTCCTGTGCCCTTTCCACAGTGGGGAACCTGATGCTGCCACAGAGCTGGAATTGGAAGCCCAGGCTGTCTGACCTCCCAGCCTGGGCCGGGTGTGGCAGGCATCAGACCGATTCAGACAAGGAGCTCAGAGCCGCTGGCACAGGAGGAGGGAGTGGCAGCAATATTCCAGCTCGGAGAGGCCACCCCCGAGGCAGACCCAAGGACGGGATGGGTTCCAGGCAGAGGGGACGGTCCACAAAGGCAGGGAATGCCCTGGGAAGGAGACTCCAGTTCCACACAGGCCTCCTGCAGAACCTACCCCGTGGCATCGGGCTGGAGGTGGGGTCCTCCTTGGATGAGCCTCCTACGGCTGCTGCAACAAATGACCACAAACTTCGTGGCTTAAAGCAGCGCGTTTACTCTCGGACTGCTCTGCAGGTTAGAAGTCCAGCAGTGGTCTCTCTCTGGGCTAAAATCAAGGTGTCGGCAAGGCTGCATTCCTTCTGGAGCCCGGGGAGCCCACAGTTTCCTAGCTCCTTCCAGCTTCTAGAGGCCATCGGCCCTCCTGGGCTTGTGGCCCCTTCCTCCACCTTCACAGCGGGCCCCATTGCATCTCTCTGGCCCCCTTCCTTGGTGACGTCCCTGACTGTCTTCTCTGTCCATTCTTCTGCTTTTAAGAACCCTGTGACCACATTGGGCCACCCAACAATCTAGGATAATCTCCCTATTCTAATGTCAGCTCATTACCAACCCTAAGTCCACCTGCAGCCTCAGTCCACTTGGCCATGTTGATAACACATTCACAGGCTCCAAGATGAGCACGTGGCCATCTCTGGGGGCCATTGTTCTGTTTGATACACACTTTGATGCTAATAAGATCATTTTTCTCTTCTCCAGGCAAATAAGCTCAGAACAAAAACTCTCCGTAACACTCTGAACCCCACATGGAACGAGACCCTCACTTACTACGGGATCACAGATGAAGACATGATCCGCAAGACCCTGCGGTGGGTGAGGGTCCCAGGCCGCCTGCTCCCTCCCCAACCCCCACTCCCACCCGGCTTTTCCTAATGAAGGCAGGACTGGAGGGTCAGATGGTCCCCTGTGGGTTCAACCTCATGCCAGCAACTCCAGCCTGGGGGCTTGAAGAAAGGCAGAAAGGTCTGCCCACGCCAATGGAGCCTGGTGGGTGGAAAAGGGTCACCCTGGCCCCAGTCCCCTGAAGGTGCTTCCTGGGGCCTCTCAGGGTGCTGGAGGTGGTTCCCTCCAGAGAACCGGCTCTCCCAGCCTCCTGGCTACTCCTGGCACTGGTTCTGCCTTCTCCTGTCCCCTCTTCCAACCTGAGGACACTTGTCCATGAGGACAGTGCCTGATATCGTGCCACACTCTGCCCCTGTCAGGGCCCAGGCATCTTGTGCGTCTCCCACCCCAGACCAGGGCAGGGCTTGGGGCAGGAGAAGCCAGGGCTGGCCCTACCTGCGCACACCTCCACCATGCCCAGTGCGTCTGAGGCACTGGCTGTGCCCCTCACCACCGCCCCCTCTAGGATCTCTGTGTGTGACGAGGACAAATTCCGGCACAATGAGTTCATCGGGGAGACACGTGTGCCCCTGAAGAAGCTGAAACCCAACCACACCAAGACCTTCAGCATCTGCCTGGAGAAGCAGCTGCCGGTGAGAGGATTGATTGAGCACCTGCTGTGTACCTGGCTCGGTGGCAGGTGCTGGGAAGGCAGAACTTCCTGCCTGTGATGGGACTCATGAGGGGCAGAGTGAGAGGGGAGGGGAGACCGGGGAGGTGAGCATGGAGAGTCAAGGGGGTGGAGGTGAGGAAGGACCCTGGCTTTCACTCTGAGTGGCCACGGGAGGGTGCTAAGCTGAGGGATCATGGGGGATGACATTTTACCAGGCTCGCTGGCCTGGGCTCAGGATGGCTTGAAGAAGAGGGAGGAGAGGGCAGGAGGCCTGGGGAGATGGGGAGAGATGGGCACAACCCTGGCCTGACCTTGGCAGCGGTAGGAGGGCTTGATTCTGAACCGGATGTGCAGGCAGCAGATAGGACGTCCTTGGGTGAGGGAAGGGCAGATCCGAGGTTTGGGGCCTGAGCCACTGAAGCCTGAGGGGCTGTTTGCTGCACTCAGAGGACTCAGCAGGGACCACGGGTGGACAGGACGCGCAAGGAGCACGCTTGGAACATGTTAGACCTGAGTGCCTGTGAGATACGCAGAGGAGACAGCAGAGTATCCTTTCCTAGAAATGGCATTTGTCTCAACGTTATGTCAGAACAGATTTGCCCTCGGCCTGCTCCAGCAGCTACGCCCTCTGAGTCTTGGTCTCTATGTCCCTCTTCCCTCCCCCATCCTCCCTTGTCTATGGCCTCACCTTCACCTGGTTCATAGGGCTGGTGAAGCCAGGAGTCCCCCGTGCCACTGGGGTCAAGAGAAATCCTGGGGCCTCAGCCTCCCAGCGTTCAGGACACAGGCGGAGGCATGGTCCCCTCGATGGCACGTTGTCCCCCTAAGAGGACTGGGCAAGGGGCAAGTTTGGGAGGACAGAGCCCGGCGGCTGTCCCCAGTGTACCCAGCCCCAGTGGGGCCCGGGGACGTGGACTCACCTCGAGCTTAGCCCAAGTCAAGCCCCGGGGGCGAGTCAGCCTGAGGCCACGGCTTCTTCCCAGAATCCCAGTTACTTTTGCAGAATTTGATCCAATTTTATTCCTTGTCACATTCTCTCCCCCTCAGACATTTGTGTGATGGATATAACCTTTCCTGTTTTATTGTTAGTCACTAACCACAGGTAACCTGGTTTTTCCACATGGTCTATGTCACTTAAGAAAGGCAACATCTTAGGAGGCCAAGGCAGGTGGGTCATGAGGTCAAGAGTTCGAGAGAGCCTGGCCAACATGGCGAAACCCCGTCTCTGCTAAAAATAAAAAAATTAGCCGGGTGTGGGGGTGCATGCCTGTAATCCCAGCTACTCAGGAGGCTGAGGCAGGAGAATCGCTTGAACCTGAGAGGCGGAGGTTGCAGTGAGCCGAGATTGCACCGTTGCACTCCAGCCTGGGTGACAAGAGCAAGAGCAAGACTCTGTCTCAAAAAAAAAAAAAAAAGCAACACCAGCCCTGCCTTAGTGTTCCTGAGTTTTCATCACTGGCATAAACAAACAACCACGTGGGTATGTACGTGGGGTGTCAGCGTGTGTGTGTGTGTGCTCGTGTGTGAATTGTGTGTAAGAGCATATGTCAGTACGTGTCTGTGTGCGACAGTGTGTGTGTCCACATGTGTGGTGTGCGTTCGTGAAAGCATGTGCGTCCCTGTGCGTGGCCATGATCAGGGCGTTGCTGGATGCGCTACCGGCCCATTGGTGCCGTTCAGGGACTCACAGTGACCGCAGGAGTGCAGCTGGGGATGCACCCCTGACAGTACAGCCACATTCTGGTGGTACTTTTATTATTATTATTTTTTGAGACTGAGTCTTGCTCTGTCATCCAGGCTGGAGTTCAGTGGCAAAATCTCTGTTCACTGCAACCTCTACCTCCTGAGTTCAAACAATTCTCATGCCTCAGCCTCCTGAGTAGCTGGGACTACAGGCGTGTGCCGCCACGCCTGGTTAATTTTTGTATATTTGGTAGAGATGGGGTTTCACCATATTGTCCAGGTGTCTCAAACTCCTGACCTTGAATGATCCACCTGCCTCAGCCTCCCAAAGTGCTGGGATTACAGGTGTGCGCCACCACGCCTGGCTAATTTTGGTATTTTTAGTAGAGACGGGGGTTCGCCATGTTGGCCAGGCAAGTCTCAAACTCCTGACCTCCAGTGATCCTCCTGCCTCGGCCTCCCAAAGTGCTGGGATTACAGGCATGAGCCCCTGTGCCAGGCCTCTGGCGGTAGGTTTTAGAATTTACAGTCTGCGAACATTATCTGTTTTAAGTCAATACTGAGCAAGACCCAGTGGTCTTCATATGAAACAACCCGAAGTACAATGTCCCACCCCTGAAAAAAGAGCTAAAAATATGCCTGCTGGTTGGTTGTTTTTTTTTTTTTTTTTATGAGATGGAGTCTATGTCGCCCAGGCTGGAGTGCAGTGGCGCAATGTCGGCTTACTTCAACCTCCGCCTCCCGGGTTCAAGTGATTCTTCTGCCTCAGCCTCCCAATAGCTGGGATTACAGGCATGCGCCACCACACCCGGCTAATTTTTGTATTTTTAGTAGAGATGGGGTTTCACCATGTTGGCCAGGCTGGTCCTGAGCTGCTGACCTCAGGTGATCTGCCCGCCTTGGCCTCCCAAAGTGCTGGGGTTACAGGCATGAGTCACTGTGCCTGGCCCCTGCTGGTTTATATTGTTTAATTTTCACACCACACACACTGACACAAGCAGCACAGGGCATCAAGGCCCTCACACACAAAGCTCTGCCTGAGCGGCAGATAGCGAGATCTCGCAGGCCTGGCCTGATCCACCAGGAATGGCTGCCTGAGCACTGTGTTGAAAAGGATTCTGAGGTGGCATTGGAGCCTAGGGCAAATGCTAGGATCGATTAGCCATGTCTGCTCTGGGCGTGGGAGGTGGCGAAGGTGGCTGGTGGGGCATGTATGTCTTCCCTGCTCAACATCCCTGCTCACCTCACAGGAGTCTCATCTCCAGAAAGGGTTAGATGTAGCCAGAGGGACTCACTTTGGTGTTAGGCAGGGCACGGTTGTGGGCAAAAGGAGGTGGCTGGGGCTGCTTGGGAGAGGAGCCTGGTAGAGTCCTAAGGGGATCCAGGGGGACACAGGGCTCAAGCTGGGCGTGTGTGGGTGGGCTCAAGCTGGGTTTGTCTGGGGGGGCTGAGGGCCTAGGAGAGAGGGTTTGGGGTGTGCAGCAGCCAGAAGGAAGAAGCCGGGTAGTCTCGGGAGGGCAAGGAATGGAGAAGCATCAGGCTGGCTGGGGATGGGGAGGCCTGGAGCTGAGATCTGCCTTGAGAGGCAGGCACTGGCAGCTGCTGAGGCAGGGAAGGCACTGGATGGGCTCCCTACTTGGCTCCCAGCTTCTCCAGGGTGAGGAATGTACCAGAACTCTGTCTTCGGGGTTCTCCTGAGGGAGCCACATCCAGCACCCTGAGAGGCTCCAGGTAGCACCTTCAGGGAACTGGGGCCACGGTGACCCTTTTCCATCCACCAGGCTCCATTGTCATGGGCAGACCTTTCTGCCTTTCTTTGAACCTCCAGGCTGGAGTTGCTTGTATGAGGTTGAACGCACAGGGGACCATCTGTCCCTCCATTCCTGCCTTCACTAGTACAAGCCTCCAGTGGGCCCTTAGTGCCAGGGCCTTGCCCAGCCCTGAGGTATTAAAGATGACGCAGGTATTATCTGGATGCGGTGGCTCATACCTGTAATCCCAGCACTTCAGGAGGCTGAGGTGGGTGGATCACTTGAGGTCAGGAATTCGAGACCAGCCTGGCAGACATGGCAAAACCCTGTCTCTACCAAAAAATAGAAAAATTAGACTGTAGTCCCAGCTACTCAGAAGGCTGAGGCAGGAGAATCGCTTAAACCCGGGAGGCAGAGGTTGTAGTGAGCCAAGATCATGCCACTGCACTCCAGCCTGGGTGACAAGAGTCAGACTCTGTCAAAATCAAAATTTACAGGTAGAGTTCCAACTTCAAGGAACTTAGAGGCTGGGGCAGAGCCCTGAGGAAGCAGGGGGCCACACCAGGCCATGACAGGATAAACCCGAGGCAGTGGGCGCGCAGAGGGGACGGCCAACCCACCCTGAGGGTCAGAAAAGCCCCCCAGGCCCAGAAGGACCAGGAATTTATCAACGGTGAACACTGAGGAGGTCAGAGGAGGGTGCTGGAGCTGTGGATTAAGGGTGCGCAAAGGTGTGGAGGTGGGACCCGGCTTCAAAGCCAAGGGAAAGTCCGGGCGGGCTGTGAGGAGGACCTGGTGGAAGACCGTCCGCGGAAGCCGAGCGCGCCAGGCCGGGGGCTGCAGACCCGTGAAGGGCCGCTTAGCGCTAATGTTAGGCTCTGTGTGCCTCGCAATCTGTGGCCACCATGCAGCTCTGTCCTTAGGGCAAAAGCAGCCATAGAGAAGCATCACGGAGCTGGCAAGGCTGCGTTCCAACAACACGGTGTTAATGGAAGCTGAAGTGTGAATTTCATGTCATTTTCATGTGTCACAAAATATTTTTCATTTCATTTTTCTTTCTGCTATTCCAAAAAGTAAGAACCAGCTGGGCACGGTGGCTCATGTCTGTAATCCCAGCACTTTGGGAGGCCAAGGTGGGAAGATCCCTTGAGCCCAGGAGTTTGAGATCAGCCTGGGCAAAATAGTGAGACCCCTGTCTCTATTTTTTTGAAAAAGAAATTGTTTAAGATAAGGGTAAGAGCCATGCTTAGCTCACATCCCACACAGAGCCAGGCGTCGGGCCTGATCTGGCCCCCGGGCTGCAGTTGCCAACCCCTGGGCTGGCCCTTGCTGGGCTGTGAAGGCCACCGTAGGCCACATGCAGCCAAGAACAGGGAGGGTGTGGGTCAGATCCAGCCCTGGAAGAGCCCTTGGGAGGGAAGAGATGACAGAAGGGCTGTGAGTTCACAGTGAGGCCACTCACCAGGGACCGTGACCAGGCCCGGCTGCAGCAGCCGGATGGGCGGGCTCAGGAAGAGGAGGCCAAGGACGGCCAAGAGAGGGGTGGGAGCAGGTGAGGACTGAGTGACCGTCCCGTCCAACAGGTGGACAAGACTGAAGACAAGTCCCTGGAGGAGCGGGGCCGCATCCTCATCTCCCTCAAGTACAGCTCACAGAAGCAAGGCCTGCTGGTAGGCATCGTGCGGTGCGCCCACCTGGCCGCCATGGACGCCAACGGCTACTCGGACCCCTACGTGAAAACGTGAGTGTGCCGTGCGCGTGACCACCTGCCACGTCTTCACCTCCAAGGACGGGGGTCCGTGTGCCGGCTCCGTGGTCCCAGGTGGCAGGCACCCAGGGAGTGCCTGAGGTACAGGGGCGCTGTGTTCCCTGATGGGCTACCTTGGCAACTCCAGGGGTTAAGCATGGCCAGCCCATTTCACAGATGGGGAAACTGAGGGACAGAGAAGCTGAGTGGCTTCCCAGGGTCATGCAGGTATTAGTTATCACCTGATGCTATGTCCAGGCCTCTCTGTGACTGAGGGGCCCAGGAGGGGCCATGAGTTGCAGGAGGGGACAGAAGGCGGGGCCAGTGCCGGGGGTAGCCAGGAGGCTGGGGGAGGATGCAGAGGAACTCTGCCAGGCCTTTGCAACTGCCCACATTTGCCCAGCCCTATAATGGTGCTACAGATGCGGATAAGAGTCCACCCAGCTCTACCAACAGGGCTGATGGTGGGCCTGGGGAGAGACACTAACTCAGGGGGCCATGCCAGGTGGCCTGGGCCGCAGAGCTGTGGAGCTGTGAGCCTGGTCAGGAGAGGCTGTGTAGCTCTGAGAGCCAGGCAGGAGCTGGCGACCCTTTGGAGAGGGTGCTACAGGTGCCACAGTGACTACCGTCAGTGCTCGGGGCTCTTCAGAAACTAGGTAGGTATGAGTGTGAGCTCACAGGGAGACTCTGGAAAACTGAGACTTGGGGAGGAATTTAGTTCAGCAGAAAGGAGGGGCAGGTGCTTCAGGGAGGGGGAATGACAGAGGGATGGCCCTGACCTAGGGGACACCAAGGACCCAGGTGACTAAGGCCTCAGGGACATCTTGGCACCATGAAGAGGCCAGTACTCCTCGTGGCACAGCTCTAGGGGCACCATTCCCATGGCCATGATCATATTTCTGTCACTTTAAAAATTGTATGTGGCAGGTGCAGTGAGTTACACTTACATTCTGAACACTTTGGGAGGCCAAGGCAGGAGGATTGCTTGAGGCTAGGAGTTTGAGACCATCCTGGGCAACATAGTGAGACCTCCATCTCTACAAAAAAATTAAAAATTAGCCTGGTGTAGTGGCATGTCCCTGTAGTCCTAACTACTTGAGAGGATTGCTTGAACCCAGGAATTTGAGACCAGCCTTGGCAACATACTGAGACCTTGTCTCTACAGTTAAAAATAGTAATAAATTAGGCTGAGTGCAGTGGCTCGTGCTTGTAATCCCAGTACTTTGGGAGGCCGAGGCGCACGGATCACCTGAGGTCAGGAGTTTGAGACCAGCTTGGCCAATATGGGGAAACCCGTCTCTACTAAAAATAAAAAAATTAGCTGGGTGTGGTGGCGGGCGCCTGTAATCGCAGCTACTTGGGAGGCTGAGGCAGGAAAATCACTTCAACCTGGGAGGTGGAGATTGCAGTGAGCCGAGATCACACCACTGCACTCCAGCCAGGGTGACAGAGCGAGACACTCTCAAAATATAATAAACAAATAAAAATAATATGAGAATAATGGGATGGCCACTTTGGGAAGCAGCTGATAGTTCCTCAGGAAGTTAAACACAGAATCACCATTTGATCTGGCAATTCCACTCCTTGTTATATACCCAAGAGATAAGAAAAACATGTCCATCCTAAAACTTGTGCAGGAATGTTCATAGCAGCACTATCCACAACAGCCAAAAGTGGAAACACCCCAAGTGTCCATCCACTGATGAATGGATACACAAATGAAGTCTGTCCCTGCAGTGGAATATCAGCCCTAAGAAGGAGTGTAGCAGGTGCGTGGAATATCAGTCATAAGAAGGAGTGTAGCAGGTGCGTGGAATATCAGCCCTAAGAAGGAGTGTAGCAGGTGCGTGGAATATCAGCCCTAAGAAGGAGTGTAGCAGGTGCGTGGAATATCAGCCCTAAGAAGGAGTGTAGCAGGTGCGTGGAATATCAGCCCTAAGAAGGAGTGTAGCGGGTGCGTGGAATATCAGCCCTAAGAAGGAGTGTAGCGGGTGTGTGGAATATCAGCCCTAAGAAGGAGTGTAGCAGGTGCGTGGAATATCAGCCATAAGAAGGAGTGTAGCAGGTGCGTGGAATATCAGCCCTAAGAAGGAGTGTAGCAGGTGCATGCTACACTGTGGGAGGACCTTGGAAACAAGATGCTAAGCGAGAGAAGCCAGACACAGACGGCCACGTGTTGCAGGACTCTATTTCTATGACGTGTCCAGAATAGGTCAACCCACAGAGGCAGAGAGTAGATTTGTGGTTGCAGGAGCCAGGGGAAGCTTGAGGGGACATGGGCAGTGTGTAGAATGTGGTACTATGAAGTTAAAAATGAATAAATTTGAACTAGAGGAATTATTATAACACGGACAGCTGTCGAAAACACAACAAACGACACACACAGTAGGATACTGGTTTGCGTATATATATGTTTTTTCTTCTGATTTGTCATTGACTTGAATTTCACGCGTATATATCCTTGCAGGAGGATATGCAATCTGAAGCCAAAATGGTGTGATTTTTTTTTTTTTTGAGACAGAGTCTTACTCTGTTGCCCAGGCTGGAGTGCAGTGGCGTGATCTCAGCTCACTGCAACGTCTGCCTCCCAGGTTCAAGCAGTTCTCATCCCTCAGCTTCCCAAGTAGCTGGGATTACAGGCATGCGCCACCACGCCAGGCTAATTTTTGTATTTTTAGTAGACGGGGTTTCACCATGTTGGCCAGGCTGGTCTTGAACTCCTGACCTCAAGTGATCCACCCACCCTGGCCTCCCAAAGGGCTGGGATTACAGGCGTGAGCCACTGTGCCCGGCCTATGGTGTGACATTTTTAAACCAGTTTCAATGCCCACCTGCCAGATGGACAGGAATTCCAGGGTCACCTGCTGGGTTGCCCAGAAAGCAGAGTCTTACCTGCTGTGACAGATGGTCTGGTCAACTTCCACAGGCAGGCGGGGGGCCATCTGGGCAGGGCCTGTCCACTGTACCACAAGCTCCTCCCTGCCACAGGTGGCTGCTGTGGGTGCTGCTGGACCCCTGCAGCTGGGTCCCACCTGCCAGCCGTGGGCCAGGTCACGTGGCCTTTCAAAGACAGGCCGAGCTGTGGGCCACTCCCTGTATCTGAGCCACGCCTCACCCGAGACCTCCACATCTGTTTCAGACACCCTGGGTGAGACACGACGGCTGCTGCTCGGGGCTCCTCAGGGGTCCCCGTCTCTGAAAGGCCCCTTCATGGACCAGGGGCCTCTTCCTCACTAAAGCAGAGGAAATAAGGGCACAGATTAGATGGTAAGAGGGGCACCCCTCAGCTGCATCCTAGACCTGGAAGAGAGTGTGACCTGTGCCCCAGAAGAAAGGGAGGGACGTATCTAGCGGTTGATGCTGAGGGCCAAAGCTAGATGGGTCAAGGCCTTTTGTCTGCACTATTATTTTTATTTGTTTTCTTTATTTCTTCCTTTCTTTTTTGAGACAGTGACTCACTCTGTCACCGGGCTGGAATGCAGTGATGCGATCACAGCTCACAGCAGCCTCAAACTCCTGGGCTCAAGCAGTCCTTCCCCCTCAGCCTCCTGAGTAGCTGGGACTACAGGTGTGCACCACCACGCCTGGCTAGTTGTTTTTTGTATTTTTTGTAGAGACTGGGTTTTGCCGTATTGGCCAGGCTGGTCTCAAACTGCTGGACTCAAACGATCCTCCTAGCTCGGCCTCCCAAAGTGCTGGGATTACAGGTGCAAGCCACCATGCCCAGCTAGCACCATTATTTTTATAAAGCTCATCTCTGGTGATACTTGCCCCAGTTTCCCCAGGCTGGAAGTTGACCCCAGGCCCAGCTCTTGAGGGTTTGATGGAAAACCCCAGGAGTAGCAGTGCCTGTGACAATCGCTGACATGTCGAGTTACACGTAATATCCCTGAGCTGCGCGATGGCTGCGTGTGACGCGCTCAGCAGCCTGTGCGGTCGCTCCTGTTGTTATCTCCATTTCATGCCTGTGAAAATGGCAGTAACTGGCAGCAACGTGCTGTGCCACCCTGGGCAACTCCCTTCTCTGGCTGTCTTATGTATAACCAGAAGGGGTTTCTTCTCAAAGCCACAGGCAAGCAGAAGGCACTGTGCAGAGGGCTCAGAGGTACACGGCACAGGGCGGCTCCATGAGCCCCGGTGGCCAGGACCACTGTCCTGACAGCAAGGGAGGGAGAGACGCCACAGGGCGGGCCTCAGGGGCTTTGCAGGGTGGGCTTGTGCCAGAGTAGGGTATGCTCAGGGAGGGTGCTGAGGGATTTCCCCAGAGTGGTCAGGTGAGGAGGGAAGGGCACTTCTGGTAGAGAAAACAGCAGAACAGAGGGCAACGCTGGCGGAACTGTCCATGGCTGAAGGTGCCGAGGCTGGAGCCTGTCGTGGAAGTCTGGTGGCTGAGTGAGGGGTCACCAGATGGGCACAAGTTGTCCAGGCTGAGGGTGCAGAGATCCCAAAACAACTTTCCTTCCAGGGGCTTGTGAAGGCAGGGCACGCAGGACCCTTCTGTCCCTGCTCCTCACCCGTCACCAAACAGGCCAAGGACAGTTCACAGCAGACACAATATACCAATACCTAGAGAAATGGCCAAGGAGCATAGTAAGTAACTAAGGAAATCCGCTGTCTCCGGGTGGCGGGCTTAGGGGAATCCCCCCAAACTTTTTTAAAATCAGGTTTATTGAGGTACAGGTTGAGCGTCCCAAAGCTGTAAATCCAAAACCCCAAACATTCCAAGCACCGACATGACGCTCAAAGGGAATGCTTATTGGCGCGTTTGGGATTTCAGATTTTTGAATTTTTGAGTTAGGGATGCTGAACTGGTAAATATACTGCAAAGATTACAAAATATGAAAAAATCCAAAATTCAAAACATCTGGTCCAAGCATTTCAGATAATGGATCCTCAACCTGTATCATTCATATCCAGTGAGTTTTTCTTTTCTTTTCTTTTTTTAGAGACAGGGTTTTGCTCTGTTGTCCAGGCCAAAGTGCAGTGGCGCAATCATAGCTCATTGCAGCCTTGAACTCCTGGGCTCAAGCATCTTCCCACCTCAGCACTGTGAATAGCTGGGACTACAGGCATGCACCACCATGCCCAGCTAATTTTTAATTTTTTGGTAGAGATGGGGTCTCGCTGTATCACCCAGGCTGGGACAGTCTTGTTTCCACCACCAGAATCAACATAGAGAATATGACCCCAGAAAGTTCCCTGGCCCCAGGCAACCACTCACCTGTTTTCTGTCTCAATGGTGTTGCCGTTTCCAGACTTTCCCATGAAACAGTCAGATAGTGTGTTGCCCTGTGAGTCCGGCTTCTTTCACACGGAGGAATGCGTTTGAGATTCATCTGTCAGTTGCATGTACCAGGAGTTTGGTCCTTTTTGTTGCTAAGTGGTCTTCCATTGTGTGGGTAAACCACAAGTTTGTTGTTGATGAGTTCCCCAGTTGAAGGGCGTGTGGTTGTTTGCAATTTTTGGTGATGGTAGAAAGCTGCAATGAACAGGTTTTTGTGTGGACATATGTCTTCATTTCTCTCTCCTAATCCCAACTTTTGTCCACATGCATTTTCTAGTGCTTCTGTAATAAACCAGTATTATTTATGCCATGAAAGTCACAATTTTAAAATATGCAAAGTAAAGCAACTATGAGATATCATTTTCTGCCTCTCAAACCAGCAAGGAGTTTTTAAATGATAGCATTCAGCTTTGTCGCAGGCTACTGTGTGTCAACCATGCAGCCTTTCTGGAGAGGAACTGGGCAGAATAAGCTGGACATGGGCGTGTCTTTGGGCGGTGCCTTCACTTCTAGGGATGCAGGTTAAGCTGGACATGGGCGTGTCTTTGGGCGGTGGCTTCACTTCTAGGGATGCAGGTATTCGCTGGACAGATGTTTGTTAAGCTCCCTGGTGCCAGGCCCAGGGAGTTGGTCGTGGGTGAGACCCCAGAGACCCCAGAGCACATTCAGCAGGGACAAGGCAATTGTCATGCAATTATCTATGCAGGAACAGGGTGAGAAGCTTTGCAAAGAAGTTGGGGACCTCTTGTCCCCTTCTCCAGCCTGCACATGACCTCCCTGTCATAGAGAAAGGAGTCTGAGCCTGGCTTTCAAGCACCACGCTTGTGCTTGCAGGCTGTGTGACCTTGGGCAAGTCACTCCCCCTCTCTGAGCCTCAGAGGAAGACAGCTGTTCTGCATCAGAGCCTAAGGCCTTAGTGGCTGTGGAGGGAAGAACATCTAGGTGGCCTCCGTGTGACTGCACAAAAGGTCTTGTCCTTCCTCAAAGCTCCAATGGAGGTAGTGGTGATGGATGTACAACTCTGGGAGTCTACTAAAGGCTACTGCGTTTTACACTTCAGAAGGATGGATTTTATGGTATGTGAATTATATCTCAATAAATCTGCTATTTTATAAAAGAAGCTTGAGGCCGGGGGTGGTGGCTCACGCCTGTAATCCCAGCACTTTGGGAGGCCGAGGCAGGTGGATCACCTGAGGTCAGGAGCTAGAGACCAGCCTGGCCAACATGGTGAAACCCTGTCTCTACTGAAAATACAAAAATTACCTGCGCATGGCGGCACATGCCTGTAGTCCCAGCTACTCTGGAGGCTGAGGCAGGAGAATCACTTGAACCCGGGAGGCAGAGGTTGCAGTCAGCCATCTGAAAAAAAAAAAGAAGTTTGAACAAGAGACCAACTCTGCTAAAAACTCTGTTCTGGTGGGAAATGTGAGCTTTATGAAAATTAGACTTCCAGAAATGAGGAAAAACCCCTTTCCTAGGGGGATGGAGGGCGCCCCCCAGGGTTAACTTCAGGAATGTGTGTGTGAACAGAAGTGCGGTGGATGAAGGGACCACTTGCTTCTCGAAAACAACGTCTCGCCTTTGCCACAAAATAGCGTTGGGAAAATCCAATGATTAGGACAAAAGAAGGGCCCAGGAATCTCTCTCCAGGGACAGAAAGCTCTTTGAATACCTGCTGGCTTGATCTATACCCCATAGCATGTCCCCATCCTCTGCCTGTCCGTTGGATGTAATTCCAGATACCTGAGGCCAGATGTGGACAAGAAATCCAAACATAAGACAGCGGTGAAGAAAAAAACCCTGAACCCGGAGTTTAATGAGGTATGAGGGGCTGGTGAAGCTTCATGAAGGCCATTCCTCTGCCCCACAGCAGTGGGGGTGTGGCTGGGTTTTCAAAAGGTCATGGCGGGATGGGGAGGGTGGTCAGAGACGGTGGGGAGGGGCCGCACCAAGCCACAGACACAGGGGAGCTGGGGGACCCCTGGAAAGCTCTTGGCAGGACTTGTCGGATGTAGGGCTGGGGGGAGGGAAGTGTTGAGGGGAGTCCTCGGTTCCTCATGGAGGCAACAGGGCAAAGAGGGGGTGAGGAAGATGGGGAGAAACTCTGTGTGGGGCAAGGGGACTCGAGACACCCTGGGGCCCCAGGAAGTCTTCCGCCCAAGGCGGCAAGTACGGCTGGAAATGCGGATTCCCCCCAAGGAACAAGAAGGAAAGAAGAGCAGAGGGGCCTTGGGTAGAGCCCACACCACACCAGTGATCCAGAGGCAGGCAGGGGAGGTCAAGATGCTTCCAGAGAGTGAGGGGAACCCCGGATGGAAGGGAGGGTCCCACAGAGAAGGGAGGGGTCAGCAAAGCCAGGCCCCAGAGAGGCCCAGGATGACAAGGACTGTGGGGCGTGCAGTGCCTCTGCAGTCAGGAGGCTCCCGGGGTGTGGGGAGAGCAGGCTCAGGGACAAGGAGCAAGCGGGCGAGGGGACAGGGGCCCTGAAGACCCCAGTGGAGCTCAGGGGGAAGTGGGCGAGACATGTGAGCATCCACCCATCATCCACTCTGAGCACTGATCACCCCCATCCCTCCTCTGTCCCTACACCTCATACCCCTCCTGGCCCCCGGCGGAGGCCCAGGCCCAGGCATCAGCCCTAACACTCCCTTCTTGCCAGCAGGAGTTCTGTTACGAGATCAAGCATGGGGACCTGGCCAAGAAGTCCCTGGAGGTCACCGTTTGGGATTACGACATTGGAAAATCCAACGATTTCATTGGTAAGGGGGCATAGTGGGAACACCGTCTCACTGTGTGCCTGTCCTGGATCAGGCCACAGCCCCTCTTTCCTGGTCCATGGGGAAAGCTGGAGCCACGGACCACCTGCCCCTAGGTCAGGGGCCTCAGACCTTCTCCAGCCTGACCCTTGTGCCCCAGGAAGAGACAGGCCCAGGGATGGAAGGAGTTCTGGGAGGGTCACACAGCACTCTGTGGTGGAGCACAGACAAGAGACAATGATGGGCAGTGCCTCGGGCTGGACTCTGAGCCCTAGAGGCCCCAAATTCCCAGTGGGCCTGGTGGCTGCGCATAGTGGGGCTGCCCGGCCCTTTCTCCCCTCTTCAGGCCCCCATTCCTTGACCCCTGATGCTGCCTCTGCACCCTGCCCCTATCCCTGCCCTGGTGGAAGAGAGACAGGATGGCTGGGCCCTGACGGGGCCAGAGTGTGGCATGGAGGTCAGGTCCTGTTCATGCTCAGAACCCAGCGGGCAGTGGGAGAGGCTGGCCTTCGAGCACAGAACCTGGGAGGGGGCATGGGCCCCACGCCTGGGAGTTGGGGGTCCCTGTGCCCCAGCTGCCCCTCCTGTCCTCCTGCAGGTGGTGTGGTTCTGGGCATCCACGCCAAGGGGGAGCGCCTGAAGCACTGGTTTGACTGCCTGAAGAACAAGGACAAGCGCATCGAGCGCTGGCACACGCTCACCAGCGAGCTCCCAGGGGCTGTGCTCAGCGACTGACGCCCACCCGCCACTGCTACCCCTGCCGCCACCTGCGCCCAGCACGGCCGGCCCCGGGCTTCCCCAGCAGCCACCAAGGCCTGTGGCCCCCACACTGGGGGAGATCCAGAACCCCTGCTTGGACACAGAGCCACTGCAGTCCCCGCTCGGAGGATGTGGAGGGCTCAGCCACTCTGGGACGGGGAGGGCAAGGAGCTGGGGTGGGGGGCTCTCAGCTCTCTGGGGCCCAAGAGGCCGGTGGTGGAAAGAGACCTCAGCACCTGCCCAGGGGAAGGGGACACGCCCATCTGGGAGCAAAGACCCTTCTAGAGGCCAGCCCCGGCTGAGAGGACAGGAGTGTGGGGGCGCCTTGGCGGACAGTGGGAACAGAGGAGGGAGGTGGTGAGCAGACAGACAGGTGGAGGATGGGACCTTGAAGACTGGCTGCTCCAGCCCAAGAAAGCCTAACTGCATCCCTCATCTCCTTCGCTGCTGGACAGATGGAAGAAGCGGGCCTGCCGGCCGAAAGTCTGCCAGAGTTCCCGGAGGCTCCTGATGATGGGTAAATTGGCACATGCTTCACTCAATGATTCCACAAGCCCTGGGGGTGAATGAGACACAGGGCCTGCCCTCAGGGAGTTCCCATCTAGTCAGGAAGCTGGGAACAAACCATTCCAACTGGGGTGAGAAATACCAAGACCAGCTTGGCCAGTCTGCAAGTACCGTGGGCTCTGCTGACTCTGCCGGGAGGTCAGGGACGGCTTCCTGGAGGAGGCGGTGCTTCCGTAAGGCCTTGGAGGGTGAGTGAGGGCTTCTAAAAGCAGTCCAGGCAGTGGGAGTGGTCTAAAACGCCTGGAGAGAGAAAGCCAATGGGGCCGGGGTGCTGTGGACCCAGGGTCTCCTCTCCAGGGGAGGGTTTGTTAGGAAGGTGTGAGGCTCGAGGCAGGAGGTGGGGGACGTGATGGAAACACCATGGAGAAACTGGTGTAGGCTCAAGTTCAGACCTCAGACCCAAGTCTCCCACTCTGATCTCTTTCTACTCCTGAGGGACCTCAAGGACGGAGCCCGCCCCTCCTCCTTCCTGGCATAAGCATCAGGTCAGCTGCAGTGGAGAAAAGGGTCCCTTGTGCTTGGGAAAAAAAGCAAGCATTCCTACACGTCCTGACTCTGCCCTTTCCCCTCCCCTCCACTCCATGGCTCACACTGGGGGCCTCCGGGTGCTTGCTCGTGGCATCTTGGTCCCACTACCGCCACAGATGTCCCTTTTGGGAGTAATCAGTGGCCGTCCAGGGCCTTGTCTCTGGGGAGGCCTGTGGGGCCAGCTCCACCCTCCAGGAGCTGAGCAAGAATCACCCTGGCTGGTGGGCCTGTCTGCTCCCCTGAGTGAGACTCCCCAGGAGGCTTGAGAGTATCTGAATCTTGGGGCCCATGCCTGAAGCCCACAAACTTTCTCTGCCTACCAAGGGCCCCTCAGGAACGCTGGGTGAACAAATGCAGAGCCAAGGAGTTGCACAGCCAGAGTCCCAGTGTGCTCAGCCCATCAGTGTGTGATGGAAACAGGCCCAGAGAGGTCAGGTGACCTGCCCAGGGCCTTCCAGGCCCCACACAGCTGGAACCAGGATCCACAGCCCCCAGCCCAGAGTGCTGGACACCACGCTTCAGGGGAATTGGCGTGCTGAGCTCACACCAGAGAGGTCCTGCTAGCTGCCAGCCTGGGGCTCCCCCGCCTGCTGCCCACCCCTTCAACACCGATAGAGGGACTCACAGGCACGACGGTGGGACCTTCCACTGCAGACACAAAGCACACCACCACCTGAGGTCCAGGGTTATGATTTGAATCCTACCAAGTGCCCATCAGGCCTTTCCCAGGTTGCGGGGAAAACAGGACCCCAGCCCCCACACAGTCCCTGGCCACCTGCTGCTCCTGGAGACTTGTCTCCCTGCCTTTAGGAAGGGTTTTTGTGTGAAGGTTTTTGCATGCACTGGTCTGAACGCATGTTCACAGCCCTGCAAGGTGGGTTTGATTCTCATCCCCATCTTGCAGGTGAAACAGGTTCCCAGAGTCTGAGTAGTTTGCCAAGGCCACACAGCCAGGAAGGGGTGAACCAGGACTCAAACCCAGGTCCTCTGACTGCCGCTTTCTCTCTCTGGGGGTCGGTACCCCCAGTCCCTTCCCTCTTGGTCTGTCGGAGACTCAGCAGAGACACCAGGTGAAGGCTCAGTAAGCTCAGGTGCATGATGGAGACCTGGGGTCTTGTCACTGTCCTGCCACCTCATCCGCTGGCTTTGAAACCATCCGTGCTACTTCAGGCTTCCCCAGAGGTGTCTAACCTGGCCCCAAAACTCAGCCACCCCACCCTAGCCTCTGGGGGCTGAGGCAAGGGCTCCTCTTTTCTCCACACAGAATGGGCACCCTCTGGGGGCCTAAGGTAAGAGGTGGTCTATTTCTAAAAGGCCTGGTGTCTAGTTAAGCTCTGGGTATCTTCTTAGCTTTGCTTTTTTGGGGGTCTCATTCAGAGAGGAGATTTGACAGCCTCTCTGAAGACACAGAAGTGAATGGCAAAGCGAGAAGAGGCTGTACCCCCCACCTACCATGACTTCCTTATTAGGCACATGGGGAATGTGAGGCCCAGTGGGTGAAAGGGGCCTGAAGGGGCACAGCTGGGACAAGAACCCAGAACTCCAGCCCCCCAGTCCAGGGCCCTCTACTGCCCAGGCTGTGCAAATGGGGCTGGGACCGAAAGATGGGGACAGTCAGGCTGGGAGGCGGGCTTACTGGCCAGCCAGCCCAGGGGCAGCACAGGCACTCGGGCAGGAACTCCCCAGGAAGTTTGGATCCTTCCTTCCCTAGGATCTCAGCACCCTTTTAGATCCCGTGCAGATTGTCTTTCTGTTAAAGCGTTTTGAGGCACGATGGCTCACGCCTGTAATTGCAGCACTTTGGGAGGCCGAGGCTGGCGGATCACCTGAGGTCAGGAGTTCGAAACCCGCCTGGCCAACAGGGCGAAACCCCATCTCTACTAAAAATACAAAAATTAGCCGGGTGTGGTGGCGCACGCCTGTAGTCCCAGCTACTCAGGGAGGCTGAGGCACGAGAATCGCTTGAACCCGGGAGGTGAAGGCTGCAGTGAGCCAAGATCGCGGCACTGCACTCCAGCCTGGGCGACAGAGCAAGACTCCGTCTCAGAAAAAAAACAAACAAACAACGCTTTGAGAAGCTGCAGAAGCGGCTCTGCCTTTGACCCCGAATGGGCATCTTTACTCGGGTCCATCATCCCCACAAAGACAGGAAATCTGATGCCAAAAAAAAAAAGTCATTCCAGGTGTCAGTAACCAGGCGCTGCCTCCAGCGCCGCCCCGCCCGCCGCCCCGCCCGCCGCCCCGCCCGCCGCCTGCGCCAATCCCCGACGGGCCCGTCTTCCAGCCCCGAAGCGGTCACCTCCTGACCTCTAGTGGCGAGCGCGGGGAACTGCGCCCCGGCCCGTCCGCCCGCCGAGCCCGGGCCGTGCATGCCGAGCCCGTTGTTCCTTCGCAAACCGAGTGAACCTCCCGATGCATGGACTCTGGCTGTCGTCGACGCAGACTCTCGTGCACTGCTTAACCCCGTTTTGCTGCCATGTGACGGCTGCAGACACTGTCCTCAAACTGCAGTCCCACAGACAAGTTTTGTATTTTGGTCTGACCTACCCGAAGGTGTCCTTTTTAAGTCTTATTTGTTAATATTTATAATGACATATAATCCAAAGTAAATGGAAACGTCATATTGCGATCTCATTGCCTTGGCGAGACTCTCACCTTTTAATAGATTTGAAGGGGTGGGGGCGGTGGCTCACGCCTGTAAGTCCTAGCACTTTTGGAGGTCGAGGTGGGAGAATTGCTTGAGGCCTGGAGTTCGAGACCAGCCTGGTCAACATGGAGAAACCACGCCTCTACACACACAGAGACACACACAATGACAATTAGCCTAGCGTGGTGGCACACACCTGTAGCCCCAGCTTTTCAGGAGGCTGAGGTAGGAGGAGGAGGATCGCTTGAGCCTGGAAAGTGGGGATTGCAGTGAGCCGAGATCACGCCACCGCACTCCAGCCTGGGCAACAGAGGGAGACCTTGTCAAAAAAAAAAAAAAAAGATTTGGAAGGGTAGGAGGGGAGGGTGGAAAGACGGAGGAAAAGGCAACTGAAACCTACTCCGGATATAGTCTTGTTACTCTTCACCAGGGACCCATTTGAGGTAGGCCCTCAAGTTACAGATGGGGAAACTAAGGCCCAGAGAGGTTAAAATACTTTTACAGAATCACACGGCTGGTCGATGGCAGAAGCAGGATTCAAACTGAGGCAGCCCAAGACATTTTGCACCAGGACCTGTCGACCATGCTGTTGTCCACTCATCCAACAAACAGCCGTGGAGTATTGACTAACGCCAGCCCGTCTGAGGCTCCAAGAGTCTTACGTTTTGGAAGGTAATTTAAGACATGTACTGCTTAGGTTTGGAGGGAAAAAAATAAACCTTCCTAACCACAGATTAGTGTATTAGGACTAGTAGCAATCCCCACACTTTATATTTTCATTCCACCTTGTTAGAAAATGTTGATCAATTGTTGAATACAGTTTATTGTACATCATTCTTTAGGTCAGAAATTTCTCGAGATAAAAGCCTTTGCTTTCTAACATCGACTAACGAAGAAAATGTATGTCATTGAATATGCAAACCTCTCAATCTCTTTCCTCTATGTCCCCCTTCAGGGTCAGGGTCAGGGTTTAGGGTCGGGGTTAGGGTCTAGGATCAGGATTAGGGGTTAGGGGTTAGGGTTCAGGCTTGGGTTCGTACTAGGTCCAGGTCCAGGTCCGGGTCAGCGTTTCGCATTTAGTCAGGGTTGGGTGTTCGGTTTTGGCCGGGTTAGGGTGGGTTAGGACTCGGGTCATAGTTTTGGGTTGGTGCGGTCGGCATCCATGCTGGAATTTCCTTTCCGGCTGTCACCGTGACCGTAACCTGAATTCTGGTTCCACTGCTCTCCCCTGTCTAGTTATCAGGGCTCTTTTCACCGCTGGCTCCATTCATTGCTCGCTCCTCCTGCTTATCTCTCCTGTCCAATCTGCAGAGCTCGCCACCTTCTTGTTCCGCCCTCTTTTCCCTAACATCCAATAGCAGCCTTCTCCGCAGTCCTTGCTCCTACCACTCCTGTCTCTTGCCCAATCAGCAGGCTTTACCAATGCTTACTCCGCCCACTTCTCTCTCTTGTCCAATTGGCAGGGTCTCCTCAGTGCTCGCCCCACCTACTTCATGCCCGTCCAATTGCAGGATCTCAGTGCTAGCCCCGCCCGCTTCTCGCTCCTATCCAACCAGTAGAGACTCTACCAGTGCCCACCCTGCCCACTTCTCTTTCTTATCCAATGACAGGATCTCCTAGTGCTCACTCCGCCCACTTCTCTCCCCCATCCAATCAGCGAGCTCTGCCAGTGCGTTGCGTTCCTGTCCTTGGGGGAGGGAGTCCGGGGTCTCTCGGGGAAACGGAAACGCAGGCTCAGATGTGCGGGTCCAGTTAGGGTCAGGGTCAGGGTCAGGGTCAGGGTCAGGGTCAGAGTCAGGGTTAGGGTGGTTAGGGTTAGGGTTAGGCAAAAGGAGCATGGAGAGAAAGGCCTTCCTCTCTCCTCATGGGCTTACAGAATTGGGGAGAGGTCCCCCACTCTAAACTCTAGAATGTGGCTCTGTGGGATGACAGGTTCTAGATTCTGTCTATGTGACCAAGACAATGGCTTCTGCCTTTGATCCCCTCACCAGATCTCACCACCAGGTCCCCCCAACAGGACACCCCTATAAGTCCCCCTGACCATGTTCCCCTCACCGTGTTCCCCTCACCAGGCTCCCCTCACCATGTCCCCTCACCAGGTCCCCTCACCAAGGCTCCCCACCCATGTTCCCCTCACCAGGTCCCCTCACCAAGGTCCCCCCCATGTCCCCTCACCATGTCCCCTCACCAGGTCCCCTCACCAAGGCTCCCCACCCATGTTCCCCTCACCATGCTCCCCTCACCAAGGTCCCCCCCAGGTCCTCCTCACCAGGTCCCCTCACCAAGGTCCCCCCCATGTCCCCTCACCAGGTCCCCTCACCAAGGTCCCCCCCATGTCCCCTCACCAGGTCCCCTCACCAAGGTCCCCCCCATGTCCCCTCACCAAGGCCCCCCTATGTCCCCTCACCAGGTCCCCTCACCAAGGTCCCCCCCATGTCCCCTCACCAGGTCCCCTCACCAAGGCTCCCCACCCATGTTCCCCTCACCAGGTCCCCTCACCAAGGTCCCCCCCAGGTCCTCCTCACCAGGTCCCCTCACCAAGGCCCCCCTATGTCCCCTCACCAGGTCCCCTCACCAAGGTCCCCCCCATGTCCCCTCACCAGGTCCCCTCACCAAGGTCCCCCCCATGTCCCCTCACCAGGTCCCCTCACCAAGGTCCCCCCCATGTCCCCTCACCAGGTCCCCTCACCAAGGTCCCCCCCATGTCCCCTCACCAAGGCCCCCCTATGTCCCCTCACCAGGTCCCCTCACCAAGGCCCCCCTATGTCCCCTCACCAGGTCCCCTCACCAAGGCTCCCCACCCATGTTCCCCTCACCAGGTCCCCTCACCAAGGTCCCCCCCAGGTCCTCCTCACCAGGTCCCCTCACCAAGGTCCCCCCTATGTCCCCTCACCAGGTCCCCTCACCAAGGTCCCCCCCATGTCCCCTCACCAGGTCCTCCTCACCAGGTTTCCCTAAGTTCCCTCACCAGACCACCCCTCACCAGGCCCCCTCACCATGTTTCTTTCACCAGGTCCCCTCAACCAGGCACCCACCCATGAAGTCCCCCTCACTGGGTCCCCTCACCAGGTCCCCTGTAACCAAGTCCTCCAGGGCCCCCTCCCTAGGGCTCCCTCAGCCAAATGGAAATCCAGGCAGATACCATGTAGGCAGGTGGGACAGAGCACAGAGCCGACAGCACCGCATGGCCCCCTTGCCAGGCTCAGACAGGACAGAGGTGTGGAGAGGAGGGCCGGGGCAGTGAAGTGTCAGGGCTCAGCACCCAGGGTGGCCAAGGATGGGGCGGTTCCACTCAGCTGTGCCCCCAGAAGAGACCATAGATTGGGCAGCTGAAATGCTGGAAGGTTCTGGCTGTGGGAGAGTCTGGGATCCAGGGTCAGGATCAGGGTCTGTGCTGGTTGTGGTGGGTGTGAGTCAGTGTGGGCGCTGGGGCTGCCCTGGCTGACCTCAGAGGCTGCTCACCTGCGGCTCCCAACCCCCTTGGACATGGGTGTACCTTTTTCTTGGCCTTGTCAGGGGTCCTCTTGGGGCTCGACACCAGCTTTCAGATGCTGAGCACCCCCGCCCTGACCTAGCCCATGGGCGACATGGGGTCTGTGTCCACCCAGTCCTGGACACTTCCTCTTTCTGGGGCTCCCGCCTCATACCGCTGCCTCTGCCGCCCGTCTCCCTCCGGACGCCCCCTCCAGACGCCCCCTCCGGACGACCACGCAGTGTTGTCTGGCTCTGTGCTCTGTCCACCTGCCTGCGTGGCGTCTGCCTGGATTTCCATTTTGGGTCTTGCCTGTGGTGTGCCTGCTCCTGTGTGGACCCTGTGTGTACCTCTGTGGGGACTTTCACACGTGTGTTCCTTGAGTGGGATCCTCTGTATGTGGGTCTGTGTGTGTGGCTGTGGCCCTGTGTTCCTGATGTCCCCACTTGTGTGCCCCTCTGTGGGGACTTTTGCACGTGTGCTCCTTGAGTGGGATCCTCTGTATGTGGGTCTGTGTGTGTGGCTGTGGCCCCGAGTGTGTTCCTGATGTCCCCATTTGTGTGCCCCTCTGTGGGGACTTTCGCACTTGTGCTTCTTGAGTGGGATCCTCTGTATGTGGGTCTGTGTGTGTGGCTGTGGCCCTGAGTGTGTTCCTGATGTCCCCATTTGTGTGCCCCTCTGTGGGGACTTTCGCACGTGTGCTCCTTGAGTGGGATCCTCTGTGTGTGGGTCTGTGTGTGTGGCTGTGGCCCTGTGTTCCTGATGTCCCCACTTGTGTGCCCCTCTGTGGGGACTTTCGCATGTGTGCTCCTTGAGTGGGATCCTCTGTGTGTGGGTCTGTGTGTGTGGCTGTGGCCCTGTGTTCCTGATGTCCCCATTTGTGTGTCCCTCTGTGGGGGACTTTCGCACGTGTGCTCCTTGAGTAGGATCCTCTGTATGTGGGTCTGTGTGTGTGGCTGTGGCCCTGTGTTCCTGATGTCCCCATTTGTGTGTCCCTCTGTGGGGACTTTTGCACGTGTGCTCCTTGAGTGGGATCCTCTGTATGTGGGTCTGTGTGTGTGGCTGTGGCCTCGAGTGTGTTCCTGATGTCCCCATTTGTGTGCCCCTCTGTGGGGGCAGAGACAGGAGCCTGAGCTGCGGAAGAGGCTTTATTGATTAAACGGTTTGAGGATACATTTCCATGTGGGAGGTGGTAGTGGGCGTTGTGTCCACGGCTGCTTGTGTGGCAGGTCCTATGGCTGAGCCATGTCTGAGGTCCACTTAGGCACCGTCCTGACTGCCCAGCACTTGCACCTGGAAGGCAGACACATGTGGACTAAGAGGGCTGTGCTCAATAAGTGGAGAGCCACAGCTCCATCAGGCAAGCAAGGCCCTCAGTGGGGGGGGGGTCTGGCATATTGCTGCCTATCTCCTCCCAGCAGCTGGGAGGTGTGTGTGCACATGTGATGGTGTGCACACATGTATGTGTGTGCATATCCCAGTGTGAGCATGTGGGTGTGAACGTGTTTATACATGTGTGCACGCAGTGTACATTTCATGTCTGCACCTGTGTTTGGATCTCTGTGTATGTTCACATGTGTGCATGGAGGAGTATCCCACAGACTGGGGAGGAGGTCTATGGAGTCTGGGGGCTGCTCGGTGGACAGGAGGTCTGGGGTGTCCACCTGAGCTGGCTGATGCGGGTGCAATGTCTGTGGGTGGTGGATGTCTGTGGGTGGGGTAGGCTGTGTGGGTGCTGTGTTGGGTGGTCTTGGTAAGGCTGCAGATCTTTAGAAAATGGGGTGCCCGCCGCCCTCATACCAGCAGCTTGACCAGCTCCGCCTTGTGCATTGGCTGCAGGCCATCTCTGCAGGACTTGAGTTCAGTCATTGCTGCCTTGGCATCTTCGTTGACATTGTACTTGCCCAAGGTCCCCTCATAGAGCTCCTCTGGGGTCCCCACCAGTAGTGTTTGCAGGAAGTCCATGAAAAACTCATCGTTGTCCTCCCCCGTGGCCATCCCTGCATCACGAGCGAGATGATGCCAGGACAGGACAGGGTGACTCTGGTGCAACCACAGCCCTGGACCTGCCCCAGGGCTCTAACCTCCATGGTCTCCAGACCTTCCCCTTCAATGCTCACCTCTCCTCCCCAGGGCTTCCTCCACAACACCTCCAACTCCACCTTGCCCGAAGACCCCTCCACATCCCCCTTAATCTTAGCTGCTCCAATTTCCACTCAGCATTCCCTGGGATCACCAGGGAAGGAAAGTTAAGCTCCTGGTGTGGGGGAAATTTCCCCTGATGAGAGGCTATTATGACCAGAGGCTTGAAGGGTCAGGTCAGGCTGGACTGGGCTGGGGTAGGAGACACTGGGCTGGTGTTGGGTCAGCTGGGCTTTGTCCTTGGTTGGGGTGGAGTAGGGTGGGCGCGGGTTCTGCAGGGTCCTTGCCCACTTCTGTGACAGAAGCAGGTGGAGTGTTCACTGCAGAGGCCCGATGCCAGGATTTTACCTTCTCAGGTACCCCCCACTCCCCCCCGCCCCTGAATGTTCTGGAAACCCCAGTGGCACAGACTCACGGCAGATGCAGAACAGGGTGAGGGCCACCAGCAGGAGGGCACGGCTCCCCTTCATGCCGGCAGTCTCAGGAGCTGCCTCCAGCCAGAATCCCGGGATTTTATGCCTCACCGGACAGCACCTCTCCTAGAGGGCGGACCGGACCTGCCCATTAGGACCCGGCAGCCAGCTTAGATGAGGTTTGTTCACATCCCTGGCCCCCAGTGGGTGCCAAGCAGCAACAGGCATGGAGTGGCTGTGTGACAGGTGGTTGGCAAGCGGCTTTAGGGTGTGTGAGAGAGAGAACAGGTGTGTTAGGAGGGAACACTGGTGAGAGGCCATGCCAACTGATCGGTGAAGAAGGCAGTGGGTCCTGGCCACCAAGGGCCTCTAGTCATGCCTGCCCTTGAGGCCGAGAGTGGTGGGATCTGGGGTTGGTCCCACGCCTTTCTTTTAAGGTGGGAATCCCTCCTCTTATCAGTGTGCTGTGTGATCTGGGTCTGCATCTGGGGGTCTCCAATCAGGCAGGGGCCCCTTACTACTCAGATGGGGTGGCCGAGTAGGGGAAGGGGGTGCAGGCTGCACGAGTGGACACAGCTGTAGGACTACCTGGGGGCTGTGGATCTATGGGGTGGGGAGAAGCCCAGTGACAGTGCCTAGAAGAGAGAAGGTGGCCTGAGAGGGTCTGAGGAACATAGAGCTGGCCATGTTGGGGCCAGGTCTCAGCAGGAAGTGAGGAATGGGACAGGCTTGAGGTACATCTTCCATCAGTAGCCAGGATAGCAAGGAGAGGTTGAAGGCCCTGGGGGAGATGGTCCCAGGACATATTACAATGGACACAGGAGGTTGGGACACCTGGAGTCACCAAACAAAACCATGCCAAGAGAGACCATGAGTAGGGGTGTCCCAGTCCAGCCCTCTGACTGAGCTGCATTGTTCAAATCCAAAGGGCCCCTGCTGCCACCTAGTGGCTGATGGCATCCACATGACCCTGGGCCACACGCGTTTAGGGTCTCTGTGAAGACCAAGATCCTTGTTACATTGAACGACTCCTAAATGAGCAGAGATTTCCACCTATTCGAAACAATCACATAAAATCCCATCCTGGAAAAAGCCTGGGGGATGGCACTAAGGCTAGGGATAGGGTGGGATGAAGATTATAGTTACAGTAAGGGGTTTAGGGTTAGGGATCAATGTTGGTTAGGAGTCAGGGATACAGTAGGGTCACCGGTAAGGGTTAGGGGTTAGGGGTAGGGGTTAGGGTTAGGGTTAGGGTTAGGGTTAGGGTTAGGGGTTAGGGGTTAGGGTTAGGGTTAGGGTTAGGGTTAGGGTTAGGGGTTAGGGGTTAGGGTTAGGGTTAGGGTTAGGGTTGGTTAGGGGTTAGGGGTTAGGGTTAGGGTTAGGTTTTGGGGTGGCGTATTTTGGTCTTATATGCTGTGTTCCACTGGCAATGAAAAGAGTTCTTGTTTTTCCTTCAGCAATTTGTCATTTTTAAAAGAGTTTAGCAATTCTAACAGATATAGACCAGCTGTGCTATCTCATTGTGGTTTTCAATTGTAACCACATTGTGGTTTCAATGTGTTTACTTGCCATCTGTAGATCTTCTTTGGTGAGGTGTCTGTTCAGATGTGTGTGCATTTTTAGTTGGGCTGTTTAACTTATTGTTTAGTTTTAATAATTTTTTATATATTTTGAAGACAAATTCTTTCTCAGATGTGTATTTTGCAAATATTTTCTTCAATATGTGGCTTGTCTTTTTGTTCTCTTAACAAGGTCTCTTCCAGAGTATAAACTTTAAATATTAAGAAATCCACACTGTCACTTCTTTTGTGTATATCTACCTTTTGTGTCATTTGTTAAAATTCATTACCAAACCCAAAGGCAGATAGCTTTTCTTCTATTGTTTCTTCTAGAAATTGTATAGTTTTGCATTTTTAGTGTAAGGATGATTTTGAGTGATTATTTGTGTAAGTTGTAAAGTTTTCGTCTATATCCATATCATTTCTTATGGTTTCCAATTAATCGTTCCCTCACTATTTTTGGGAAAGACACAGGATAGTGGGCTTTGTTAGAGTAGATAGGTAGCTAGACATGAACAGGAGGGGGCCTCCTGGAAAAGGGAAAGTCTGGGAAGGCTCACCTGGAGGGACCACCAAAAATTCACATATTAGTAGCATCTCTAGTGCTGGAGTGGATGGGCACTTGTCAATTGTGGGTAGGAGGGAAAAGAGGTACCTATGCAGAAAGAAACACTCTAGAACTCCTCTGAAGATGCCCCAATCATTCACTCTGCAATAAAAATGTCAGAATATTGCTAGCTACATGCTGATAAGGCCAAAGGGGACATTCTTAAGAGAAACCTGGCACCATAAGTACAGATTAGGGCAGAGAAGGACATTCAAAAGAGGCAGGCGCAGTAGGTACAAACGTGATCGCTGTCAGCGTGCCTGGGATGGCGGGATGGAGGCTGCTGCCAGAGTGGATTCGTATTGATCACCACACATGTACCTCAACCAACAGTGAGGAGGTCCCACAAGCCTAAGTGGGGCAAGTTGGGGAGCTAAGGCAGTAGCAGGAAAACCAGACAAAGAAAACAGGTGGAGACTTGAGACAGAGGCAGGAATGTGAAGAAATCCAAAATAAAATTCCCTGCACAGGACTCTTAGGCTGTTTTAATGCACGCTCAGCCCACTCCTCCCTATTTTTCTACAATAAACTCTTTACACTGTGTTTCTTTTCAATGAAGTTATCTGCCATCTTTGTACTGCCTCTTGGTGAAAATGTTTCTTCCAAGTTAAACAAGAACTGGGACATCAGCTCTCCCCAGTAATAGCTCCGTTTCAGTTTGAATTTACAGAACTGATGGGGCTTAATAACTGGCGCTCTGACTTTAGTGGTGCAGGAGGCCGTCACACCGGGACCAAGAGTGCCCTGCCTAGTCCCCATCTGCCCGCAGGTGGCGTGCTGCCACGACACCGACAGCAATAGGGTCCGGCAGTGTCCCCAGCTGCCAGCAGGGGGCGTACGACGACTACACTGTGAGCAAGAGGGCCCTGCAGTGTCCTCAGCTGCCAGCAGGCGGCGTACGGGCACCACACCATGAGCAAGAGGACCATGCAGTGCCCTGGTTGCCAGCAGGGGTCGTGCTGCCACTACACTGTGAGCAAGAGGATCCTGTCGTGCCCCCAGCGGCCAGAAGAGGGCGTGCCCCGACTACACTGCAAGCAAGAGGGCCTGGCAGTGTCCCCATCTGCCAGCAGGCGGGCGTGCGGCCACTACACTGTGAGCAAGAGGGCCCTGCAACGTCCCTAGCTGCCTGCAGGCGGCGTGCCGCCACTATATTGCGAGCAAGAGAGCCCTGCAGTGCCCCGGCGCCAGCAGGGGGCGCTGGCCACCACTGTAAGCAAGAGGGCCCTGCAGTTGCCCTAGTCGCTAGCAGGGGGCGCACTGGGACAGCACCGCGGGCAAGCGGGTCCTGTAGTGCCCGGCTGCAAGCAGGGGGCGCCCGAGCCCGGCTTTTTGGATTACTGAGGTTCAACCCGTCTCTGCGCCGCGCCCCCGGGGACGTGAGTCTGTGCGCCTACAACGCTCCACCCCCGCGCTCTCATCCCGGTGGCGCGTGACTCTGCGTCTGCACCACCCACCTCCCCCCAAACCCACAGCCTAACGACGTGCGTCTCTGCGCCTGCGCCGCGCCTCCCCCCGCCCCCCAGGGGACGCGCCACTGTGCGCCGGCGCCCGCGCGCCGCGCCTCTGTGCGCCTGCGCCGGCGCGCCGCGTCTCTGTCAATTTAGAAAGCTTATTTTGCCCAGATTAAGGACACGACCATGACACAGCCTCAGGAGGTCCTGACGACGTGTGTCCAAGGTGGCCAGGGTAGAGCTTGCTTTTGTACATTTTAGGGATACATGAGACGTGTAAGATGTACAGTCATTTGGCCCAGTAAGGCGGGACAACTGGAAGCAGGAAGTGGGGGTGCTTCCAGGTCAGAAGTAGGTTAGAGACAAAAGGTTGCATTCTTTTGAATCCTTCATCAGCCTTCCACTGAATACACAATTTAGTCTGGCTCAATGAATCTGCATTTTTACATAAATAATAGGGCAGAGGAAGCAATCAGATATGCATCTGTCTCAGGTGAGGGATGACTTTGAGTGCTGTCTGTCCTTTGTCCAAAAGGAAATTCTTTGTGGGCAAATTGTGAGTGAGGTATGTAGCTTTTTATCTTTGTAGCTATCTTAGTTAGGAATAGAATGAGGGCAGGTTTGCCTGACATAGCTCCCAGCTTGACTTTTCCCTTGGCTTAGTGATTTGGGGGTCCTGAGATTTATTTTCCTTTCATGGTATCAGAACAGAGAAAAGGTAATGCGTTGAGCCATGAGCTTATGACAAGATGGCTAGGAAGGAATTTTTCAGCTCCATTTTTATCTCATGGGACCACCATCATATGTATGCAATGCACGAGTGTAAAATCACATTTAGTTAAGTCAGCTTACACTAAGCTATGGACCCAGATGGTCCTGGGGCCTTTTTCCACTGGGAGATCTTTAAGGACCTTTCTTAGCTTTTCTATGCTAATTGGTATATTCATAGTTGCCTTATTTCAGGGCCCATTTTGTTAATGTGTATTTTTACTAGGAAATCACCCATTTTTTCTAGGTTTCCAGTTTGATGTAATTATTTGACTTTTAATTTCTCCTCTGTTTTTAGTTTTGTACATAATTTTCCTATCTACTTTTGCACTCTTTTTTCCATCAACAATATTTTTAAAATATACTTTTTAGCTTTTTTTGAAGAATTGTTATGTTTGACAATTTTTTATGACCTAATCATGACCGTAAATGATTTTTAATTAATTTCAGCTTAATGTCTTTTGTAGGGCACAACTGTTAAAATACAGAATTACAACAAATGTGGGTTTGCAGATCTTAATTGGCTTTTTTTTGTGGTTCTAGAATCAGGCAGCAGTCCAGACCAAAAATGGTTCAGAATGATCTGCCACACAACATGTGCGGGTTATATTTATAGCCAGAGGAAAAAGGTGACATACAGAAAACAGAAGTGAGGTATAGAGGTGGCTGGATTGGTTACAGACCTGGTTACAGCCCGGATTTGCCTTCTTGGAACTTGTTTTGAACAGCTGGCTGCCGGCCATTGACTGACACTCGGCTGATGTGATTGGCTGAACCGCCGCTATTTGTTACCATGATACATTCCCAAGTCAGATTTTCAGTTTGTTTCTATACTAAATTAGGTTGCGATTCTTCTTGTTCTTCTTCTTTTTTCTTTTTTGAGGCGGAGTCTCGCTCTGTCGCCCAGGCTGGAGTGCAGTGGCGCGATCTCAGCTCACAGCAAGCTCCGCCTCCCGGGTTCATGCCATTCTCCTGTCCCGGCCTCCCAAGTAGCTGGGACTGCAGGCTGCCGCCACCAAGCCCTGCTAATTTTTTTGTATTTTTTTTTTTTAGTAGAGACTGGGTTTCACCTTGTAAGCCATGATGGACTCGATTTCCTGACCTCATGAGCCACCCGTCTCGGCCTCCCAAAGTGCCGGGATTACAGGCGTGAGCCACGGCGCCCGGCCGCGACTCTTTACAAGGACTCCTCGGGAGGCTTCCAGAGCCCAAATGTTGTTTGATGTAAGAATTCCTCCCTTTTGGTCAGCCTCTCAATTTTGAGATATTGATCAAAACTTTGGGCATTGGTGTCACTCTTTGTTATCGTTGTAAGTTGAGTTATTAGGACTTATTTGCTTTCAGTGTGGCATTTTCAAGTTTTATTTGGTCTCAGTGCCCTCTGGGCAATAGCAGAACACTGTGTTGTGTAAGGCGGAAATAGAGCAATAGAAAATAACAACTGATTTGTTAATATCAGATTACTTCAAGTTACTTGTTTTGGTAAGAATTAAAGCAGAGGGGACTTCTTTATGCTGACTCAGGTAGACTGGAATCTCTTCAGGGAAAAAGGGAGCTCTTTTGGGATCTATCTACTTCCTTAGAGTTTCAGCTTCGTTGTGTGTCATTCAGCGTGAGTGTCTCCATTCTGGTTTTGCCTGCTCAGTGTGGCCTAGTGCGGGAGTGGTGACCGAAACAATGACCTCCCGTAGTTTGTTCCACAGTTCTCCCCTTTTGATTGGGTTCCTGCCTAGGTGAGGGTGTGACTAAAACCTTAGGGCATTAGCGGTATTCTCAGTAACTATCATTTTAGGGTTCCGGTCTTAGGGCATTAGCAGTATTCTCAGTAACTATCATTTTAGGGTTCCGGTCTTAGGGCATTAGCAGTATTCTCAGTGACTATCATTTTAGGGTTCCGGTCTTAGGGCATTAGCACTATTCTCAGTGACTATCATTTTAGGGTTCCGGTCTTAGGGCATTAGCAGTATTCTCAGTGACTATCATTTTAGGGTTCCGGTCTTAGGGCATTAGCGGTATTCTCAGTGACTATCATTTTAGGGTTCCGGTCTTAGGGCATTAGCACTATTCTCAGTAACTATCATTTTAGGGTTCCGGTCTTAGGGCATTAGCACTATTCTCAGTAACTATCATTTTAGGGTTCCGGTCTTAGGGCATTAGCAGTATTCTCAGTAACTATCATTTTAGGGTTCCGGTCTTAGGGCATTAGCACTATTCTCAGTAACTATCATTTTAGGGTTCCGGTCTTAGGGCATTAGCAGTATTCTCAGTGACTATCATTTTAGGGTTCCAGTCTTAGGGCATTAGCACTATTCTCAGTAACTATCATTTTAGGTTTCCGGTCTCAACACATCATTTAAGAAGTCAGTAAAGCTTTCTTCTACTGTGACAGCATATTTAATACTGAGAAAGAAAAGAAAATTTTTATCTTGCGAATGTGAGCTTCCTCTAAATTATCAGGTCCAGAGAGGCGTGGGAATGAGGCAGCAGTCACGTCCCATTTCCCGCTTAGCTAAGTAATCATATCTTGAAGCTGCTTGCTATGTAGACTAGACTGACTGTCATCAGCTATAGATTAACCTAAGAGTGTCTTTGAATATTTTTTCCAGTGGCAAATATTTGCTTCTGTTGTATCGTAGCTGAAAGGAATGCTGGGAAACAAAATAAAGACAAGCATTCATTAGAATAAGTGATCCAGTCACAATGAATCAATTTGAACTTTTTTTTTTTTCACAAAGTCATACTTTGAAAATGTCCAGCCATAAATTGAAATAGTCTCCAAAATGTGAATTTTTTTCCCTGGTTCTAAGATGACCAGCTTTCTTAGAGAGTGAACTACACCATAAGAAAAATGATATGACCATGTTTACACATATATGTTATCTTAACATAAAACATGTAAAAGGGGCATTTCTTTGAAAGTATATATTAGTCTGTATAATTTACTTTGCAGTATCATGAATGCTCTTATTTTTAAAAGTAGGAGTAGTTACTGTCAATTACTAATTTTTAGTACAAATAATTTAGCAGATATCTGAAAAAATTACAATTTTTAAATAGAGGTTTTATTTTAAATTAGTTTTAGATTCATACAGAAATTGGGAAGAAAATGCAGATTTCCCATGTAGACGCAACCTAGTTTCCCCTCTTTTTAACATATCAACATGTATCAGATAGGTTTAACATCTTTTTTTTTTTTTCTTTTTTCCAGACCAGTTTTTTTTTTTTTTCAACCAGGCTGGAGTGCAGTGGCATGATCTCGGCTCACTGCAACCTCCGCCTCCCAGGTTCAAGCGATTCTCCTGCCTCAGCCTCCTGAGTAGCTGGTATTACAGGCGCCTGCCATCGTGCCCGGCTAATTTTTGTATTTTTAGTAGAGATGAGGTTTCACCACGTTGGCCAGGCTGGTCTCGAACTCCTGATCTCAGGTGATCTGCCCGCCTCAGCCTCCCAAAGTGCTGGGATTACAGGCATGAGCCACCACTCCTGACCAACATCTTACATCATTTCTTGTCATACTTAATGACTGGATATTACTATATTATTAAATAAGCTCACATCTTATTTGGTTTCCCTTAGTTCTGCCTTTTTCTCTCCCAGGATCCTATCTAGGATCCCATAGGACATTTAGTCATCATGTCAGGCTCTTCTTGGCTGTGACAGTCTCTCAGACTTTACTTCTGAGGACCTGGAACAGTGTTAGGAGGATTGGTCAGGTATTGTGTAGAATGTCCTCCATTGTGGTTTACTTGGGGTTTTTCTCATAATCAGCCTGGGTTTAGGGGTTTGGGGGAAGCAGAGCAGATGTGTAGTGTGTCCACAAAAAGAGTCAAAGACTGTAAAATATTTGAAGAGATGTATTCTGAGCCAAATATGAGTGACCATGGCCCTTGACACAGCCCTCAGGAGACCCTGAGAACATGTGCCCAAGGTCGTTGGGGTGCAGGTTGGTTCTATACATTTTAGGGAGGTAGGAGACATCAATCAAGTGTATTTAAGATATATATTGGTTCGGTCCAGAAAGGTGGGACAACCCAGTGGATTAGGGTGGGGTGGGGCTTCCAGGTTATAGGTACACTTAAAATTTTTCTGATTGGCAGTTTGTTGAAAGACTTACTATCAATAGAAAGGAGTGTCTGGGTTATGATAAGGGGTTAAGGAGGCCAAGGTTTTATCATGGAGATGAAGCTTCCAGGTAGCAGGCTTCAGAGAGAATAGATTGTAAATGTTTCTTATCAGATTTAAGGTTGTGTTGATGTTAAATGCTGATTGGCTTTTCCTGAATTCCAAAAGGGAGGAGGGCATAATGAGGCATGTCTGACCACCTCTTTCCCATCATAGCCTGAACCAGTCTTCCAGGTTAACTTTGGTGTCCCCTGGTGGAGAGGTGGTTGTGGGAAAGATCTTTGAATTTTATTTTTGGTTTGCAAGTGCTAGTCTAGTCACTTCATGCTCTCAAGATGTGTTATCACCATTAATGTTAACTTTTATCACTTGGGTGAGGCAGTGTTTTCAGGTTTTTCACTGTGAAGTTACTTTTTTCCCATGTCTATATTGTATGTATGCTTTTGGAGGAAGTCATCATGCAGAGCTCATACTTAAAGGAGTGGGGAGTTAGCCCCACCTCCTTGATGGCTGTCTATATCAGGTATTTGGAATTCTTCTGTGTAAGAGATTTCTATTCAGTCCATTTGCATATCTGTTTAATCATTTATTTATACCAGTATGGGTCCACAGATAGTTACTTTAATCTTTTGGTTGTTATCTAATTGTACAGTATTTTGTTGCTCTTTGTTCATACCTGTGGCCATTGGTAGCTCTTTCCACTGGCTCCTTTTACATAATTTCATGTTTTTTTTTTATAATTTATTTCTGTTACTTCAAAAGTACCCTGGCTCATATATTTTCTGTCCCAGTCCTAGTTTCAGCTATTTCTTCTAATAGCCCTGATTTCTTTTGTTAGAGAATGGTATGAAAAACTTACATCTGGCCACTAAATGTGGTCATTGCATCATGACACTTACAGCTGACAGTGCAAAGAAATATATGTGTGTCTTCTAACTTATATGTACCCACGTAATTATAAAGGTTTCTATGTGGAACCATCTATGTATATGTTAAGCTAAATGTGAGTTTATACTTACGTTGTATATATATATTCTGACTCATTATGACAGAGATCATTCTAGGCTTCCCTATTTTTTATCTGTAACTTCTTGCTGTAATAGTGAGGAACCTGAATGTGAGTTTATACTTACGTTGTATATATATATTCTGACTCATTATGACCGAGATCATTCTAGGCTTCCCTATTTTTTATCTGTAACTTCTCGCTGTAATAGTGAGGAACCTGAATGTGAGTTTATACTTACGTTGTATATATATATTCTGACTCATTATGACAGAGATCATTCTAGGCTTCCCTATTTTTTATCTGTAACTTCTCGCTGTAATAGTGAGGAACCTGAATGTGAGTTTATACTTACGTTGTATATATATATTCTGACTCATTATGACAGAGATCATTCTAGGCTTCCCTATTTTTTATCTGTAACTTCTCGCTGTAATAGTGAGGAACCTGAATGTGAGTTTATACTTACGTTGTATATATATATTCTGACTCATTATGACAGAGATCATTCTAGGCTTCCCTATTTTTTATCTGTAACTTCTCGCTGTAATAGTGAGGAACCTGAATGTGAGTTTATACTTACGTTGCATATATATATTCTGACTCATTATGACAGAGATCATTCTAGGCTTCCCTATTTTTTATCTGTAACTTCTCGCTGTAATAGTGAGGAACCTGAATGTGAGTTTATACTTACGTTGTATATATATATTCTGACTCATTATGACAGAGATCATTCTAGGCTTCCCTATTTTTTATCTGTAACTTCTCGCTGTAATAGTGAGGAACCTGAATGTGAGTTTATACTTACGTTGTATATATATATTCTGACTCATTATGACAGAGATCATTCTAGGCTTCCCTATTTTTTATCTGTAACTTCTCGCTGTAATAGTGAGGAACCTGAATGTGAGTTTATACTTATGTTGTATATATATATTCTGACTCATTATGACAGAGATCATTCTAGGCTTCCCTATTTTTTATCTGTAACTTCTCGCTGTAATAGTGAGGAACCTGAATGTGAGTTTATACTTACGTTGTATATATATATTCTGACTCATTATGACCGAGATCATTCTAG
Source organism: Homo sapiens (assembly GCF_000001405.40). Lineage (NCBI taxonomy): Eukaryota > Metazoa > Chordata > Mammalia > Primates > Hominidae > Homo > Homo sapiens. The sequence goes on along the minus strand of NW_003315952.3, from coordinate 67,047 downwards.
GCTTCCCTATTTTTTATCTGTAACTTCTCGCTGTAATAGTGAGGAGCCTGAATGTGAGTTTATACTCACGTTGTATATATATATTCTGACTCATTATGACAGAGATCATTCTAGGCTTCCCTATTTTTTATCTGTAACTTCTCGCTGTAATAGTGAGGAACCTGAATGTGAGTTTATACTTACGTTGTATATATATATTCTGACTCATTATGACAGAGATCATTCTAGGCTTCCCTATTTTTTATCTGTAACTTCTCGCTGTAATAGTGAGGAACCTGAATGTGAGTTTATACTTACGTTGTATATATATATTCTGACTCATTATGACCGAGATCATTCTAGGCTTCCCTATTTTTTATGTGTAACTTCTCGCTGTAATAGTGAGGAACCTGAATGTGAGTTTATACTTACGTTGTATATATATATTCTGACTCATTATGACAGAGATCATTCTAGGCTTCCCTATTTTTTATCTGTAACTTCTCGCTGTAATAGTGAGGAACCTGAATGTGAGTTTATACTTACGTTGTATATATATATTCTGACTCATTATGACAGAGATCATTCTAGGCTTCCCTATTTTTTATCTGTAACTTCTCGCTGTAATAGTGAGGAACCTGAATGTGAGTTTATACTTACGTTGCATATATATATTCTGACTCATTATGACAGAGATCATTCTAGGCTTCCCTATTTTTTATCTGTAACTTCTCGCTGTAATAGTGAGGAACCTGAATGTGAGTTTATACTTACGTTGTTTATATATATTCTGACTCATTATGACAGAGATCATTCTAGGCTTCCCTATTTTTTATCTGTAACTTCTCGCTGTAATAGTGAGGAACCTGAATGTGAGTTTATACTTACGTTGTATATATATATTCTGACTCATTATGACAGAGATCATTCTAGGCTACCCTATTTTTTATCTGTAACTTCTCGCTGTAATAGTGAGGAACCTGAATGTGAGTTTATACTTACGTTGTGTATATATATTCTGACTCATTATGACAGAGATCATTCTAGGCTTCCCTATTTTTTATCTGTAACTTCTCGCTGTAATAGTGAGGAACCTGAATGTGAGTTTATACTTACGTTGTATATATATATTCTGACTCATTATGACAGAGACCATTCTAGGCTTCCCTATTTTTTATCTGTAACTTCTCGCTGTAATAGTGAGGAACCTGAATGTGAGTTTATACTTACGTTGTATATATATATTCTGACTCATTATGACAGAGATCATTCTAGGCTTCCCTATTTTTTATCTGTAACTTCTCGCTGTAATAATGAGGAACCTGAATGTGAGTTTATACTTACGTTGTATATATACATTCTGACTCATTATGACCGAGATCATTCTAGGCTTCCCTATTTTTTATCTGTAACTTCTCACTGTAATAGTGAGGAACCTGAATGTGAGTTTATACTTACGTTGTATATATATATTCTGACTCATTATGACCGAGATCATTCTAGGCTTCCCTATTTTTTATCTGTAACTTCTCGCTGTAATAGTGAGGAACCTGAATGTGAGTTTATACTTACGTTGTATATATATATTCTGACTCATTATGACAGAGATCATTCTAGGCTTCCCTATTTTTTATCTGTAACTTCTCGCTGTAATAGTGAGGAACCTGAATGTGAGTTTATACTTACGTTGTATATATATATTCTGACTCATTATGACCGAGATCATTCTAGGCTTCCCTATTTTTTATCTGTAACTTCTCGCTGTAATAGTGAGGAACCTGAATGTGAGTTTATACTTACGTTGTATATATATATTCTGACTCATTATGACAGAGATCATTCTAGGCTTCCCTATTTTTTATCTGTAACTTCTCGCTGTAATAGTGAGGAACCTGAATGTGAGTTTATACTTACGTTGTATATATATATTCTGACTCATTATGACCGAGATCATTCTAGGCTTCCCTATTTTTTATCTGTAACTTCTCGCTGTAATAGTGAGGAACCTGAATGTGAGTTTATACTCACGTTGTATATATATATTCTGACTCATTATGACCGAGATCATTCTAGGCTTCCCTATTTTTTATCTGTAACTTCTCGCTGTAATAGTGAGGAACCTGAATGTGAGTTTATACTTACGTTGTATATATATATTCTGACTCATTATGACCGAGATCATTCTAGGCTTCCCTATTTTTTATCTGTAACTTCTCGCTGTAATAGTGAGGAACCTGAATGTGAGTTTATACTTACGTTGTATATATATATTCTGACTCATTATGACAGAGACCATTCTAGGCTTCCCTATTTTTTATCTGTAACTTCTCGCTGTAATAGTGAGGAACCTGAATGTGAGTTTATACTTACGTTGTATATATATATTCTGACTCATTATGACAGAGATCATTCTAGGCTTCCCTATTTTTTATCTCTAACTTCTCGCTCTAATAATGAGGAACCTGAATATGAGTTTATACTTACGTTGTATATATACATTCTGACTCATTATGACCGAGATCATTCTAGGCTTCCCTATTTTTTATCTGTAACTTCTCGCTGTAATAGTGAGGAACCTGAATGGGAGTTTATACTTACGTTGTATATATATATTCTGACTCATTATGACAGAGACCATTCTAGGCTTCCCTATTTTTTAGCTGTAACTTCTCGCTGTAATAGTGAGGAACCTGAATGTGAGTTTATACTTACGTTGTATATATATATTCTGACTCATTATGACAGAGATCATTCTAGGCTTCCCTATTTTTTATCTGTAACTTCTCGCTGTAATAATGAGGAACCTGAATGTGAGTTTATACTTACGTTGTATATATACATTCTGACTCATTATGACCGAGATCATTCTAGGCTTCCCTATTTTTTATCTGTAACTTCTCACTGTAATAGTGAGGAACCTGAATGTGAGTTTATACTTACGTTGTATATATATATTCTGACTCATTATGACCGAGATCATTCTAGGCTTCCCTATTTTTTATCTGTAACTTCTCGCTGTAATAGTGAGGAACCTGAATGTGAGTTTATACTTACGTTGTATATATATATTCTGACTCATTATGACCGAGATCATTCTAGGCTTCCCTATTTTTTATCTGTAACTTCTCGCTGTAATAGTGAGGAACCTGAATGTGAGTTTATACTTACGTTGTATATATATATTCTGACTCATTATGACAGAGACCATTCTAGGCTTCCCTATTTTTTATCTGTAACTTCTCGCTGTAATAGTGAGGAACCTGAATGTGAGTTTATACTTACGTTGTATATATATATTCTGACTCATTATGACAGAGATCATTCTAGGCTTCCCTATTTTTTATCTCTAACTTCTCGCTGTAATAATGAGGAACCTGAATATGAGTTTATACTTACGTTGTATATATACATTCTGACTCATTATGACCGAGATCATTCTAGGCTTCCCTATTTTTTATCTGTAACTTCTCGCTGTAATAGTGAGGAACCTGAATGGGAGTTTATACTTACGTTGTATATATATATTCTGACTCATTATGACAGAGACCATTCTAGGCTTCCCTATTTTTTAGCTGTAACTTCTCGCTGTAATAGTGAGGAACCTGAATGTGAGTTTATACTTACGTTGTATATATATATTCTGACTCATTATGACAGAGATCATTCTAGGCTTCCCTATTTTTTATCTGTAACTTCTCGCTGTAATAATGAGGAACCTGAATGTGAGTTTATACTTACGTTGTATATATACATTCTGACTCATTATGACCGAGATCATTCTAGGCTTCCCTATTTTTTATCTGTAACTTCTCACTGTAATAGTGAGGAACCTGAATGTGAGTTTATACTTACGTTGTATATATATATTCTGACTCATTATGACAGAGATCATTCTAGGCTTCCCTATTTTTTATCTGTAACTTCTCACTGTAATAGTGAGGAACCTGAATGTGAGTTTATACTTACGTTGTATATATATATTCTGACTCATTATGACCGAGATCATTCTAGGCTTCCCTATTTTTTATCTGTAACTTCTCACTGTAATAGTGAGGAACCTGAATGTGAGTTTATACTTACGTTGTATATATATATTCTGACTCATTATGACAGAGATCATTCTAGGCTTCCCTATTTTTTATCTGTAACTTCTCGCTGTAATAGTGAGGAACCTGAATGTGAGTTTATACTTACGTTGTATATATATATTCTGACTCATTATGACAGAGATCATTCTAGGCTTCCCTATATTTTATCTGTAACTTCTCACTGTAATAGTGAGGAACCTGAATGTGAGTTTATACTTACGTTGTATATATATATTCTGACTCATTATGACAGAGATCATTCTAGGCTTCCCTATTTTTTATCTGTAACTTCTCGCTGTAATAGTGAGGAACCTGAATGTGAGTTTATACTTACGTTGTATATATATATTCTGACTCATTATGACAGAGATCATTCTAGGCTTCCCTATTTTTTATCTGTAACTTCTCACTGTAATAGTGAGGAACCTGAATGTGAGTTTATACTTACGTTGTCTATATATATTCTGACTCATTATGACAGAGATCATTCTAGGCTTCCCTATTTTTTATCTGTAACTTCTCACTGTAATAATGAGGAACCTGAATTTTTTTATCTGTAACTTCTCGCTGTAATAGTGAGGAACCTGAATGTGAGTTTATACTTACGTTGTATATATATATTCTGACTCATTATGACAGAGATCATTCTAGGCTTCCCTATTTTTTATCTGTAACTTCTCGCTGTAATAGTGAGGAACCTGAATGTGAGTTTATACTTACGTTGTATATATATATTCTGACTCATTATGACAGAGATCATTCTAGGCTTCCCTATTTTTTATCTGTAACTTCTCGCTGTAATAGTGAGGAACCTGAATGTGAGTTTATACTTACGTTGTATATATATATTCTGACTCATTATGACAGAGATCATTCTAGGCTTCCCTATTTTTTATCTGTAACTTCTCGCTGTAATAGTGAGGAACCTGAATGTGAGTTTATACTTACGTTGTATATATATATTCTGACTCATTATGACAGAGATCATTCTAGGCTTCCCTATATTTTATCTGTAACTTCTCACTGTAATAGTGAGGAACCTGAATGTGAGTTTATACTTACGTTGTATATATATATTCTGACTCATTATGACAGAGATCATTCTAGGCTTCCCTATTTTTTATCTGTAACTTCTCGCTGTAATAGTGAGGAACCTGAATGTGAGTTTATACTTACGTTGTATATATATATTCTGACTCATTATGACAGAGATCATTCTAGGCTTCCCTATTTTTTATCTGTAACTTCTCACTGTAATAGTGAGGAACCTGAATGTGAGTTTATACTTACGTTGTCTATATATATTCTGACTCATTATGACAGAGATCATTCTAGGCTTCCCTATTTTTTATCTGTAACTTCTCACTGTAATAATGAGGAACCTGAATGTGAGTTTATACTTACGTTGTATATATATATTCTGACTCATTATGACCGAGATCATTCTAGGCTTCCCTATTTTTTATCTGTAACTTCTCGCTGTAATAGTGAGGAACCTGGCTCCTACTATCTGCCTTTCATTTCATCCCTTGTACCACTGGGAAGAAGGAATTCATTCTTGATCGAGATTCCAGGTTGGGACTTAATAAGAAATATATGTTTGGTCTGTGTCTGCAGTTCCTGGTACAGAGCTTGTAAAACTATTATAATTTCCTGAACAGTAGGGCTGCTAGGAGCTCTTGTGTTCTAATATTTGGTCTTTGGCCCTGGTTCCTGACGCAGAGTTCCTAAATCTCTTGGAATCTCCTGGATAATAGGAATGGCTTCTGTTCTAATAAGGACACTCTGTGGGTTCCTGGATGGTTTCAGGATGGGGATGGTCACCAGAAAGACCAAGCCATGATAAGAAGGTTGTAACTTTTAGCTTAACATGCAATCCTTTGAGGGTGTGAAGGGACTGGAAATTGAGTTAATAATCCGTCATGTCTACATGATGAAGCTTCCATAAAAATTCCTAAAATATGGAATTTGGTAAGTTCCAGATCAAGGCTGACAGATTTGATGTCTAGTGAGGGCTCATCTATCATAGATAGTGCCTTCTAGCATGTCATGACATGGCAGAATGGGGAAACGGGCTCCTAGATGCTTTTATAAGGGCACTGGTTTCATTCATGAGGACAGCACTCTCATGATCCGATCACCTCTCGGTTACCTCTGAATACCATCCCTTTGGGGATTACATTTCAAAATAGGAATTTGGGGTGGGGGTGTACACACATTGAGACCATAATAACTAGTAAACATAAGTAAGTATTTCCTAGTTCCATAAGCCATCATAGCAAATTGTCAAACCTGAAGAGGGGGTGTAGGAATGCCTAGTTTCTAGCCAAGTCATATAGAAGTTTGGGTAAACTGGGGATTCACAACTTGTGATTGGCATCTGAGGTTGTGGACAGTCTGGTGTTACTAAGCCCTTAACCTGTAGGGTGTAGACTAACTCCAGGTAATCAGTGTCACAGTTGAATTACAGGATACCCAATTGTTTTCCAGAGAGTTGGAATATTGGTTGGTATGGGAAACACCCCCCACCCCCCACAATTTGCTGTTAAAAGTGGAGTGTTGATAGTATAGAGGAAAATCATGGTTATTTTTCTTTTTACAGATATAGTAGTTTCAAAATTAACTATTATCCCTATGGGAAATAACTTTATAGAGTCCACTGTTCGTGTATATAGTACGTTTTGTTTTTAGTCTATGGATTCTACTCATTTCCAGCTCAGCACCTTTGGCCCACCACTTGCAACATACATTGGTAATACAGTTAGATTCTTGGTTTCACTCTGTATTTTGTCCTTAGATACTTCCACATCCTAAATAATTTAATTTGTGTAGATTGTGATTTGTTCTTTGTGCATTAAAATTCTGTGGGTTTTATCAAATGAATAGTGTCAGATATCCACTACTGAAGTAGCATACAGAATACTTCAAATCCCCACCCCAGACAGTCACTGATCTGACTATCATCTCTTTGGTTGTGCTTTTTCCAGAATGTTATATGAATGGAGTCATATAATGTATAGCATCTTCATACTGCCACCCTTTACTTAGCAACATAGATGCAAGATTCATTCATTTGTTTTCATGGATTGACAGTTCATTCCTTTCTGTTGGTGAATGGTATTCCATTGCATGGTTGTACTTCAAATTGATTATGCATTCAGCTATTGAAGAACGTTCTGATTACTTCAAGTTTTGGCCATGATGAGTAGAGTGGCTCATATATAATTACATGCTAGTTTTTGTTTGAACATAATTTTTCAAAGCAGCTGTCTAAACATACACAATTTAGGGGTGCATTTGTTGGATTGTAAGGTAAGACTTGTTTATCTTTGGGAAAAACTGTCAAACTATTTCCCAAAGTGGCTGTACCCATTCATGCATTCTGCCATTAATGAATGGCCGTACCTATTGTTCTTCAACTTCCAATTGTTACTGTTGAGCTTTTTTAAGAGTCCCACAGTTGTACTAGGTGTGCAGTGATATCTCAGCATTATTTTAATTTGCAGTCTCCTAATGAGATATATTGAGCATCCTTTTGTGTGATTATGTGCTATCTGTATATTTTCTTTTTTTTCTTTTTTCTTTTTTTTTTATTGAGATAGAGTCTCATTCTGTCACTCAGGCTGGAGTGCAGTGGTGTGATCCTGGGTCACTGCAACCTCCACCTCCGATGTTCAAGCAATTCTCTTGCATCAGCCTCCCAAGTAGCTGGGATTACAGGCACTCACCACCATGCCTGGCTAATTTTTTTGTATTTTTAGTAGAGAGGGGGTATCACTATGTTGGCCAGGCTGATCTCAAATTCCTGACCTCAGGTGACTCACCCACCTCAGCCTCCCAAAGTGCTGGGGTTATAGGCATGAGCCACCACACCTGGCCTGCTATCTATATATTTTATTTGGCTGGATGTCTGTTCAGATATTTACCCAGTTTTATGTGGGTTTTTAGTTTTCTTAGTGTTCGTTTGAAGAGTTCTTTGTGTATTTTCAATACAGTTTTTAAAATCATGTTTGTATTTTGTAAATATCTTCTCACAGTGTGTCTTGTCTTTTTGTTCTCTGAATAGGGTTTTTCATAGTAGAAAATTTAGTTTTATAAAGTCTGTTCTCAGTATTTTCACGAATTGGCACTTGATGCTGTGTGTTAAAACTCAACACCAGATCGAATGTCTCTTAGGTTTTCTTTTAGATTATTTATAGTTTTGCATTTGAAGTTGTAGTCTCTGGACTATTTTGAGTAGGTTTTTGTGTTTTAATTTGTGTATAGAGTCATTTCATTCTATATGGCTTCCAAATAATTCTTCCATCACCATTTATGGGAAGGATATGGATATAGTGGCCTTTATTTCGGTTTGAATTTCCAAAATTATGACACTGAATAAACTGAATATTGAATTTTATAGGTATTTCAGGACAGCCAGGAGGGGGCGCACATCCGCCGAGAAACTGTGAGCAAGAGCGTCTGTGCTGAACCATGGCGCCACCAGAGGGCGCGCGATCCCGCCGCAACCAACTTCCCGCTGAGGTGCCAGAAGCAGCGAGGAGCTTCGACTTCCTCAGGGCAGCACGGGGGTCGCGTTAACTTGGTGTTCTTCATTGGTGAGTAAAAAGCTCCTGTCCACGGCCCTGAGTGCCAAGGAGTGAGTCTTTAGAGCACTCAGCAGAGGAAGAAATTCATCTAGAAAAATAAAACCCCCAAATCTCACTGTTTGGACTACACCCTAATATCATTGTCAACGTCCAAGACACAGTGGCTGTTAATATATATTCTTACAGTGGCCTCTAATATAATAATCACACTGTGCCCTACATTACTATGATATCCACATCGTGTCCTAACACCTATATAATATTCACACCATGCGCTAACACTGATGTAATCCACAACATCGCTTCCAATACTAATGTAATAATATCCACACCATGCCCTATCACTGATCTAGTCCACACCATCGCTTCCAATACTAATGTAATAATATCCACACCATGCCCTATCACTGATCTAGTCCACACCATCGCTTCCAATACTAATGTAATAATATCCACACCATGCCCTATCACTGATCTAATCCACACCATCGCTTCCAATACTAATGTAATAATATCCACACCATGCCCTATCACTGATCTAGTCCACACCATCGCTTCCAATACTAATGTAATAATATCCACACCATGCCCTATCACTGATGTAATCCACACCATCGCTTCCAATACTAATGTAATAATATCCACACCATGCCCTATCACTGATGTAGTCCACACCATCGCTTCCAATACTAATGTAATAATATCCACACCATGCCCTATCACTGATCTAATCCACACCATCGCTTCCAATACTAATGTAATAATATCCACACCATGCCCTATCACTGATCTAGTCCACACCATCGCTTCCAATACTAATGTAATAATATCCACACCATGCCCTATCACTGATCTAATCCACACCATCGCTTCCAATACTAATGTAATAATATCCACACCATGCCCTATCACTGATCTAATCCACACCATCGCTTCCAATACTAATGTAATAATATCCACACCATGCCCTATCACTGATCTAATCCACACCATCGCTTCCAATACTAATGTAATAATATCCACACCATGCCCTAACACTGATGTAATCCACACCATCGCTTCCAATACTAATGTAATAATATCCACACCATGCCCTATCACTGATCTAGTCCACACCATCGCTTCCAATACTAATGTAATAATATCCACACCATGCCCTATCACTGATCTAGTCCACACCATCGCTTCCAATACTAATGTAATAATATCCACACCATGCCCTAACACTGATCTAATCCACACCATCGCTTTCAATACTAATGTAATAATATCCACACCATGCCCTATCACTGATCTAGTCCACACCATCGCTTCCAATACTAATGTAATAATATCCACACCATGCCCTAACACTGATCTAATCCACACCATCGCTTTCAATACTAATGTAATAATATCCACACCATGCCCTATCACTGATCTAGTCCACACCATCGCTTCCAATACTAATGTAATAATATCCACACCATGCCCTATCACTGATCTAGTCCACACCATCGCTTCCAATACTAATGTAATAATATCCACACCATGCCCTAAGACTAATGTAATATCTGCACCATTCCCTAACACCAATACAATATCCACACCATTCCCTAACACTAATCTAGACACCCATACCATGCCCTAACACTAATATATTGACACAATGGCCTCTAATACTAATAAATATAATAATATCTACTACGTGGACTCTGTTGACATTGAGACTTTTTTAAGGGTTTTACAGCTTTGGCTGAACTATAGCCTCTGCAATGGATTTTGATGATGTGTCTGCTTTCCTGGCATGGTATTGACATGGTTGTTTTAAAAAGTAACTTATTTTCCAATAATGTCATATTTCTAGGCAACTTCCAGTAGTAGTACAAAGTACAACTTGTTTCTTCCCTTAGATTCCCCAACAGTTATTGCTGTACCAGATTTGCAGTGTCCCACAAAATACTCCGGTATATTGTACTGAAAACATGGACACTCTCCCAGGTAACTACCACATAACCCCTAGATCAGGAAATCAGCATTGTTCCTACATGATAATTCGGTCCACAAACTCACTTCACTTTTACCTCATGCCACACTTGGGAGTATAATGTGTTTTTTTTTTTTTCATTAGGATCCAGTTTTCTTTTCCTGGAACTGTTCCCCAGACTTTCCTGCATATTTATGACCTTGACACATTTAAAGAGCATACAGGTTTTTGTTTGAACAGTTGTTTTCAGGTCTTTGGGGTATATACCTAGGAATGGAATCATTGACTCATATGGTAAATCTATTTGTAACTTCATGAGGAAACATCAAATTATTTTACACGTAGGCTGCACCATTTCATATTGTCACAAGCAGTGTTTAAGAGTTCAAGTTTCTGCACATCTTTGTCAACACTTGTTATTTTTTAGTATAACTATTCTTGTGTGAGTTAAGGGTTATCTCTTTATGGTTTTAATTATGGTAATGATGTTAAGCATCTTTTCATGTGCTTGTTGGTGAAGTGTGTATTAAAGTCTTTTGTCAATTTTTAGATTGGGTTGTCTTTGCTATGGAGTTGTAAAAGTTCTTTATACATTCTGGATAACAGACACTGATGAAGTATCTAATGTGCAGACATTTTCTTCCATTTTATAGGTTGTTGGAACGTAATAAGAGTTAATGTGTGGTCTCTGCTGCAGTGTCCTGAAACAGAGCGCTAAGCCTTGGGAATGTACGAAGTAATGTGTGTTTCGTATGCTAATGAAATGATTGATGGCTGGGGGCACCTGGACACCCTCAGTGGGGCTGGCTGCCAAGGGAAGCAACCTTGTCATGAGAGAATTTGAAATTTCTTCCCCCGTCCCGTCTCTGTGAAGGGGAGAGGTGCTGATGGTTGAGTTGATCACCTATGGCCACAGACGTAACCAATCTGCCTGTGTAATAAAGGACAGGGTTGGGAGAGCATCTGTGTTGCTCTCCCAACACAGGAGATACTGGGAGGATCATATCTGGCGAGGGCATGGGAGGCCTGCATTCCTTCCATGTACCTCACCTTGTGCCTCTCTTCATCTGGCTTTTCATTTGTAGTGTTTAAAAGATCCTTGGTAATGAGTCAGGAATAGTAAGTACACTGCTTTCATGGGTTGTGTAATGTGATGTAGCAAATTGCTGAACCCAATAAGGGTGTTGTGGGAGCCTCCAATCTGTAGCAAAGTCAGACAGAAGGTAACCTGGGAACCTACTGTTTCTGGTTGGCATCTTAAGTGGTTACAGTCTTGTAACTGAGTACCCATATTTTCTTAAAGAAGAAATGAATTAGTTTTACCATTTTGCTGTTCCTGCATTTAGCTCTTTAGGAATGCAATTATAAGCTTTACTGTCTCTCCACCAGACACTTCCTATACTGCAAACTTTTCCAACTGTGTGATTACTTGTAAGTTCCAGGGACCAAACCTTGAAACAAACTGGCACTTCCATATCTCTCCCCCACCAGGAGATTGGCAGCAGACAACAGTCAATTTACAACCTGGCTCTGCCCGTGATGGTGCTAGCAAGACCACCTAATGGAGAAAACATCAGAGCATGTCCCATAGACCCCGCACCTCCTCACCTCATCCCCTGCATGCCATTCTGGCAAGTCCGAAGGCCCCGCTTTCTGCCCAGAAAGTGGAAGCGCTTCCCTTAAGGCAAGAGCCTGTACGTTCCCTTCAGCTAAGCTCTGGCATAAAGTCACTTTCTTTTTACCATCCTTGTGTTTGTCATTTAAATTTGCAAGCAACAAGGGGCATGATGTGTATTCCTAGGACTGAGCCCTTAGCCTATGGGGTCTGATGCTTTCTCCATTTACTGTCACAATTGGATTGCACTGTAGGACACCCAGCTGGTACCCAAGATTTGGTCTGTGTGGGGAAAAAACCCATGTATCTGGTAACAGAAGTGTTCTGTGTTGAGTGTTGAGAGTATACTATAAGACAGTTGTTTTTCCTATTATAACATTTTGTCTTTCAACTTTTTTCTTCATGTCTTCTGAGACGTAAAAGTTGTAAATTTTGAGGAAATAAATTGATTTATTTTTCCTTTTGTGGTCTGTGCTTTTGGTGTCAGATGTAAGAAACTATTGCTACATGTAAGGTCATGAATGCTTAACTGTATGTTTTCTTCCAGAGTTTTTAGTTTTCACCTGTTTTGGTCTTCGATCCATTGTAAGTTAATTTTTTATGTGGTATGAGGTAAGGATACAATTTCATTTCCCTTTATGTGGATAGCAAGTTGCCTTACATCACTTGTTGAGGACAGGATTCTTTCCCCAATTTACTGGTAATGGACCTTGTCTAAAATCAGTTGAGCATAGAGGTATTGTTTTCTGTCTGGACTCCCAATTCAATTCAGTTGATCTTTCTGTTTATTCCTGTGCAAGGATCCCACTGTTTTTATTACTGTTCCTTTGTAATAAAATTTGAAATTGGGATGTGATCAGGATCAGCTTATCCACTTCTGTCCCAAGGCCTTTGGGATTTTTGTAGGAATAACATCGAATCCACGGATTGCTTTGTGTACTTTGGGAAACTTAACAATGTGGTCTACAAATCCACAAATAAGATACATTTTTACATTTATTGGAAGTTTAATTTCCTTAAGTAATGTCTTATAATTTCCCTCATCTAAGTCTTGTCGTTTCATTCCATTTATTCCTAAGTATAATATTGCTATTGGTATTGTTTAAGGTAGAATTTTCATAATTTGGTTTAGAGATTATTCATTCCTAGCATATACATATAAAATGGAATGTTTGGCCAGGCACCCGGGCTCATACCTGTAACCCAAGCAGGTTGAGAGGCTGAGGAAGGGTTAGGGTTAGGGTTGGGGTTGGGGTTGGGGTTGGGGTTAGGCTTAGGGCTTAGGGCTTAGGGCTAGGGCTAGGGCTAGGGCTAGAGTTAGGGTTGGGTTAGGGTTGGGTTAGGGTAGGGTTAGGGTTAGGGGTTAGGGGTTAGGGTTCGGGTTTGGGTTATGGTTAGGGTTCGGGTTCGGGTTCGGGTTTAGGGTTCAGGTTTATGGTTCGGGTTAGGGTTCAGGTTAGGGTTTTAGGGTTAGGGTTTTAGGGTTAGGGTTAGGGTTAGGGTTAGGGTTAGGGTTAGGGTTAGGGTTAGGGTTTTAGGGTTAGGGTTAGGGTTAGGGTTAGGAGCTAGGGTTAGGGTTGGGTTAGGGTTAGGGTTAGGGTTAGGGTTAGGATTAGGAGCTAGGGTTAGGGTTGGGTTAGGGTTAGGGTTAGGGTTAGGGTTTGGGTTAGGATTAGGGTTAGGGGTTAGGGTTAGGATTAGGGGTTAGGGTTAGGGTACTGTAAATAATTTCACATTATTACTAATAATAAATTATTATTTGTATTACACTATTACATAATGTAAAGGCTATTAAGACATGTTTGTCTTCAAAGAATGGCCTTGGTTTCTGTGGGCAGTGCCTCCTCATGGAAGGGTAATGCATTCCTGCTAAATCATGGACTAAACGGGCTTCCAGGAGCTACAGGCTGCAGCAGCAGCTTCTCCTCTACGTCCTTCACTGCCTCAAACTTTTGTTGACTTTGAAAGCTTCTTTCAGTCTAGTTTTATCAACAGAGCTAGTATTTCATGAGGTTCTACTACATACCAGGTTCCAGAAAGCTAAATGCCTTTTGTTTGTTATTATTCTCTAAATACAAATCACAACTCTCTCCTCATTACTCACACAACAAAATTTAGCTGCGGGAGATTGAGTGACTTTCCCAGGGTCACATAGCTACTAAGAGCAGAGTCGTGTTTAGATTCATGTGGGAATATTGAACACAGAAATGAACCAGTGGAAACATCCTACGTTCCAAAAGCCTACTCAAGCTATTTGTTCTTATTTTAAGGAAAATCTTTATGCTAATTTTAAACTCCAAATACTTACGAATGGCAGAGATCTACAGATTTGATTCTGATGTAAGAAATGATGGTCACCAGCTGGTTACTGCTACCACCCCACAACCCTGAGCATACTGGACGAATGTCTAAGCCTTGTGGTTAGTGGGGACAATGCTGGTGGAGTCTGAAGTTGTCATGCAGTGACTCATGCAAGCTTAGGCAGATTTGGTGATATATGACACAGAGATGCAAAGAAATGTTGTAGCTGACACACACAGGCTGGCTCTGGGAGATGCAGAAGGAGCACGTCACCCAAAATAGAGCCAGACAGACATCCTTAAGGAAGGAGCAAAGGGGCTGCATCTTAAAGAATGTAGAAAGGATTTGTCATGAGAGATGGGGCAGGAAGTTCTTGAGAGGCAGAGGGAGAGCATGAGAATGTTGGGAAGGGAGGAGAGATTCTTGCACATCTGGGAAGCTGACAATCCATCAGCATGGCCAGAAGGAAAATAAGGAGGAGGAGCAGAAATAGATGAGGCTGGATATAGAAGCAGGGCTGAAGCTGTGTCAATTGTGGTAAAGAGTTGTGATTCTATCCAGAACGCAATAGGTAGCATTCTAAACAGAGATCTTTTAAAACAAGAGTCAGCAAGTATTTTCTGCAAGGGGCTAAATGTTAAATATTTTAAGTTTTCCAAGCCATATGGTCTCTCTCTCAATGACTCAGCTCTTCCATTATACCATGAAAGTAGCCAGAGACATTATGTAACACATGTATTGGTTGTGTCCCATTACAACTTTACTTACAAACGCAGACTGTGTCAGACATGGTCCATGCATGGTAGTTTGCCACACTCTGTTTTAGAAAGCTCAGGTTTATGATGTGATGGAGAATGCCCACAAGAGCTCTTGTTTTAAACGGTAGAGTGAACATACACTGGAATTCTATCCTGCTTGACACAAGCTCTTGATAGCAAAAGGTAGAAAAGATAGATGGTAAATAGATAGATAGATGATAGATAAAGAAAATACATAGCTGTTCCAGAAAACAGAAATGGATAACTTCATGAACCAAAAGCAGAGTAATATACTTTAGAAAGGAAGCAGGCCGGAAAACCCACAGTTGCAAAACAAATAGAATTTCCAACTGCCTCTTGTAGCCCCTTCCTGGAAGTAGTCACAGCCCGGGGTGTTCAACTTCTTCCTCTGTTTTTTGTTTGTTTGTTGTTTGCTTTTCTGTGGGGTTTTTGTTGTTGTTGTTTGCTTTTAAAAAAAAAATTCCCTTTCCCTGCTTTTTTGTCACAGCAGCCTTTGTCACTTCAAACACCGCAAGTGTTCTTTAAAAAAAATTATATCAACCTTTCAATTCAAATGCAACATGTCTGAAACTTGGTATCTGGAGAGGTGAGTTGGACAAAGGAGCCCTTGTTACTGCACGTTTTCATTCTTCAAATTTCACCTTGCACGCAGTAACAGACAGTGCACAAAGCCACTTCCTTATGGACGGAAATTCTGAAATCCTTTTATGCCTGGCCTTTCCATCCTTCAACTTCCCCTCTCCCACGCTGTGAATGATTGTATTGGACATTTTTGTTTTAATGTCAGTGACAGGGGAACACAGGTAGCTCTAATATAGCTGTGACCCAGATGCTTCTGTTTCTAGCATGTATTTATTTTGTAGCAAACATTTACATCCATGATGTTTCACTGTCTTTTGAAAATAATTAGGCAATATCTCATCTGAGGTAGGATGTTTCTAGGGGTTGTGTTCTGAGGGAGGAAAACTAATCTGTTCTCTTTCCACTGCATTCTAGGAACAGTAAGAGGACCTTGTGCATGAATAATTTGTTTCCACACTACAGAGTGGGTAATAAGCAGATTAGTAAAAACAGTTCTGCTTCACTTCAATAACAGCCTCCTCCAACTCATTTTTTCTCAACAAACTTATTTTTCCAGCAGAAGAATCCCAGACTTCTTAGAGAACCCAGTGACTTTTTGCACCTTAAATCTGTGAAATCCTTATGTTTTCTTCTGCTGTATCCATAGTTCAAACAAAGATGAGGCAAAGCTAGACGCATTCCTGAAGGAACCCAAGAAATTCCTCTCTTTCTTTCTCTGGAATGAAATGAATTCTCTAGACCACCAGTTCTAACCTTCAAAAACCAAACCTGTTTGTGAGATCTCCTTCAAATACTACTGTAGACCCCAGTGTTTATTCATTAAATTTTTTAAATATTTGTTTTATTTGGAATCCATGTATTTGTAATTTTAGTGTTTGTATTAATATCAGGGAGAAATGTTTAAATCTGTCTTATGCCATATGTGCCTCTGGCTTATTGCCCAATTAATTGTAGTCTCAGGCTAAACTTTGGTTTCTGTCTTTAATTTTTGTCAGAAGAAATATAACTGATCTCAAAACATCTGCTTTTATTGTAGGGGCTTGTGCTGCCGTCTCCATTCTTCTCTCTTTTCTTGCAATCTGGGTGGAAGTTCTTTAATATGAACATTTCAACCACCTTCATTCTACCATGTCCACTATCAGCACATTCAAACTGATCCAGCCAAGGCTGTCATCTTAGGCCAGGGATTTTTTAGGAATCTATTTTGCTGTGATGCGGCTGGCACCCCTTTGACTCACTGTATCACCCCAGGGTTCTTTTCATTTCAGAAGCCCAAGAGGGCAGAAAAAGAAGTAGGTGAGCAATTAAACACTCTGAGTCAGGAGTGTCTCCCCTTGCGTTAAGCAATGTTGTAGAACATCGATGTTCTACATCGATGTTGGCAACCTTGGTACCATTTTGTCCACCTGATTGGAAAAGCCAGTCAATAATTTCAGGTCACTGTTGGCCTTAGAAGAAGAGCCCAAAGGCAACAAGCAAAGGCGCTGGTGTCCAGTCGCCTTCTAGAAGCATTTTCACTTTCCCTTAAGGTTTCCCTTGATGAACATAGAAGTACTGTATGTAGAATTGACCCAGTGCTGCCCTGGCAACTTTGTATATTAGGCCAAATTTACATTTCTTACCTTTATGAGAGGCACCCTGGTAGGCTAGTGGAGTTACACACAAAGTCTGATCTCAGCTGCACTGTCCAGAAATGCAACACGGTCCAATCAAATAACATTCTCTGAGCCTGTTTCTTTAGCTGTGAAAGAAGAATAACATACCCATCTAAAAAGGCAGCTTATTGTATTTGATTGGTCTTTTATTTTCTATGAAACTGTGTTTAACACAGTAATTATTTTCATTTGTGTACTACATTTGTGTTGTGTTTTTGGTTTTAGTTTTGTTTTTGAAATGGAGTCTTTTTTTTAGTGGTTTTTTGTTTTGTTTTGTTTTGTTTTGTTTTTGAGATGGAGTCTTTCTATTGTCACCCAGGCTAGAGTGCAGTGGCGTGATCTCTGCTCACTGCAACCTCCACCTCCCAGGTTCAAGTGGTTCTCCTGCCTCAGCCTCCTGAGAAGCTGGGATTACAGGTGCCCACCACCATGCCCAGCTAATTTTTAAAATATATTTTTAGTAGAGATGGGGTTACAACATGTTGCTCGGGCTGGTCTCAAACTACTGACGTCAAGTGATCCACCTGCCTTGGCTTCCCAAAGTGCTGGGATTATAGGCATGAGCCACCGCGCCTGGCTTGTTTTAAAATAAGGGTTTCTTGGCTAGGCATGGTGGCTCACACCTGTAATCCCAGCACTTTGGGAGGCCAAGGTCAGTGGATCACCTGAGGTCAGGAGTTCGAGACCAGCCTGACCAATATGGAGAAACCCTGTCTCAACTGAAAATACAGAATTAGCCAGGCGTGGTGGTGCATGCCTGTAATCCCAGCTACTCAGGAGGCTGAGGAAGGAGAATTGCTTGAACCCAGGGGGCAGAGATTGCAGTGAGCTGAGATCGCACCATTGCACTCCAGCCTGGGCAACGAGCAAAACTCTGTCTCAAAATAAAAAAAAGATTTCTTAAAATGATATTTTCAGTATTTTATAGATGATGTGTAAGCAGCAAGCTTAATAGGATGTTACCCGACACTTTGCGAGACTGGCAGCTGATTTGATCCAGATGTCTCTAATTCTTTTTTCTTTTTCTTTTTCTGTTTTTTTTTTTTTTGACAGAGCCTTGCTCCGTCCCCCATGCTGGAGTGCAGTGGCACGATCTCGGCTCACTGCAACCTCCACCTCCCGGGTTCAAGCGATTCTCCTGCCTCAGGCTCCCGAGTAGCTGGGATTACAGGCGCGCGCCACCATGCCCAGCTAATTTTTTGTATTTTTGGTAGAGACAGCATTTCACCATGTTGGCCAGGCTGGTCTCGAACTCCTGACCTTAGGTGATCTGCCTGCCTCGGCTTCCCAAAGTGTTAGGATTACAGGCGTCAGCCACTGTGCCTGGCCCAGATGTCTCTAATTCTAACATGAGACGTATTGCAGGATCATAGCAGAGTGAGTTGCTGATGTATCCAGAAGGAAACGAGCATGGAACACTCACGACAGCTGTCCTGAGAAGTGTGTGTGTGCTGTGCTTGAATATCTCACTGCTCATTTATACACAGGCTTTCTGGTGACTGAGTTAACAGTATCTGTTTCATAAATAATGTAGCCCTCTTTCTTTCTTTCTCTCTCTCTCTTTTTTTTTTTTTTTTTTTTTTTTTTTGAGACAGGGTCTTGCTCTGCTACCCAGGCTGGAGTGCAATGGTGCAGTCTCAGCTCACCGCAACTTCACCATGCCTGGCTAATTTTTTCTTTTTTTTTTTTTTTGAGACGGAGTTTCGCTGTTTTTGCCCAGGCTGGAGTGCAATGGCACAATCTCGGCTCACCACAATCTTTGCCTTTTGGGTTCAAGGGATTCTCCTGCCTCAGCCTCCCGAGTAGCTGGGATTACAGGCATGTGCCACCACACCCGGCTAATGTTGTAGTTTTAGTAGAGACGGGGTTTCCCTATGTTGGTTAGGCTGGTCTCAAACTCCTGACCTCAGGTGATCTACCCGCCTCGGCCTCTCAAAGTGCTGGGATCACAGGCATGAGCCATCACTCCTGGCCTAATTTTTGTATTTTTAGTAGAGAGAGGGTTTCACTCTGTTGGCCAGGCTGGTCTCGAATTCCTGACCTCAAGTTATCTGCCTGCCTCGGCCTCCCAAACTGTTGGAATTACAGGCGTGAACCACCATGCCTGGCCAGCTCTATTTCTTTAAGCCTACATGTTTTGCACTTGTTAAAAGTATTTGAACATACAATTACTCAGCTTCCCTTGTTTACGCGTGAATTTTGTAGAATCTTAAATATTTTTTCCAATCTAAGCTTTATTTTATCCCGTTTCTTCTATATTTGTATAACTTTAGGCGGCTATCTTCATTGAAAGTTTTTTCTCAAAAGCCTTAAGATAGAACGTAGTTCTTGGCAGCAATTTGAAAGTTATTTGAGGAGAAGGGGAGACTTACAATGATGATTCAAATGAAGGAAACTAAAAAGTAATGAAGCAAGGCAGAGGAAAAAGCAGTACTCACTTGAGCACATCCCAAAAGAAAAACATTTCAAATGTAACTAGAAAAAAATATGCTGAAGTTCGCAATACAGAAATAATTATTAATAAGATAGCTTTAAAGCCCTGCTCAGCTTTTGAATGTTGGGAATTGACCCAGAGGTGGCTGTAACCTAAGATGGTTCCTTCAGTAATGACCATTTTTTCTTTTTCAAGATGATGATTATTCCCCACCTTCTAAGAGACAAAGACCAACGAGCCACCACAGCCACCAGTCCCAGAACCCGCCAATGCTGGGGAACGGAAAATGAGGGAGTTCAACTCTGGTAAGTTCTCAGCGAAATCCATGACCTTTTCCTTTATCTTCTGGACTCTCAGTGTGACTGATGAAAGTTACCACATGCTCTGCAGGGGGAAATGGTTTAGCATGTGTTACTACATCTTAATCACATCTTTGTAAAGCCAGGAGCATTTTACAAGTCACGTTACAGACATTGTTTAAACATAGTCTGTATTTACCAAAGTATAGGACATTGTATCATCTCATATTAATTAGTTAGTTGGCTCAAAATTAGTGCTAATGACTTAGTAATTCAGTGATTTCTGTTAGCTTTAAAACCTTTATTTCAGAACTATTTCACCTCTTGGTTTTCATTTTTGCGGTGTGTCACTGCCTGCTGGCTGCTAATTTATTAACTCCCAGTGAATCATGTCCTGTGAAGGGACTGAATATTAGTGGCAATGTATGTTGATGATTTGTATTTTGAATAAATAGTTTGAATACATAGAACATTAAGCTTGTATACATTTTGAAAATAGTATTTTAATATTCTACTGTGTCATAGTTACAATGATTGGATATATATTGAATTTATATGTACTTTAAGTTGTTCTATGTTTATGGTCTTTAGCATTCTAACGTGCAATTGTATATCTGTTAAGTCTTTTTTTTTTCGAGATTAGACTGATTTATTGAGGCGTCTGTTTGATGCCACATGAAGTGGCCCAGGCTTTGTGTAGGGGTTGAGGTTAAAGCAGGAAGAAGGGTGGTGAGAGGCGGGGCACCAGGGTTAGGTTGGAATACCTGGGGGTGCTCTGAGGCTCCCCAAGTTTCCCTGGTCTTGGCCGGCTGTGCTGCTGGCCTGGGCATCTGATGGGCCTGCAAGGGTGGTCCAGGGGCTAGGGCAGGGACTTTGGAGTCACGCCGTTGGCTTTGAATCCAGACTCCTACACTTGGTAGCTGTGAACTCTCCATGCCTCAGGGACCTGCAGAACTGAGCTCTGTCTGAGCCAGGTTCCATCCAGGCACTGCGCATCCATCCAGAGGGGCACTGCCTCAGGCTGCTCGCTGTTCACTGCCTTCTCAAGCAGACCCTTGTCTCCTTCTAGGCCCTCACAATCCAGTGGAGGAGACGAAACTCATCTGCCTCTGTCCCTCTGGGCACGCCTCATGCCAGGTGCATCTGTGGACAGGGGCCATGCTCCTGGGCTTCCAAAGTTGGAGAAAGCTGCCAGGCTCAGGTGGGTACATCACAGCAGCTGCT
Organism: Homo sapiens; assembly: GCF_000001405.40. Lineage (NCBI taxonomy): Eukaryota > Metazoa > Chordata > Mammalia > Primates > Hominidae > Homo > Homo sapiens. The sequence goes on along the minus strand of NW_003315952.3, from coordinate 45,536 downwards.
GCCCTCTGAACACAGTGACAAAAGAACACTCTGGGCCTGGAGCCCTGGTCTGGGGCATTGGGCAAGGCTGTTGCACTTCTCTGATCCCATTTCCCCATCTGGAAAGTGCGCTGATTGTATCTCCCTGTGGGCACTGAGGGCTCAGTGTTAGTTTGAGAGCCAGCATCTGGGGTTTGGGCTGTAATTCCCCGTCAGCCCCATAGCTGCGGGGAACCAGGGACTTTGTTGGGATTACCCTAGGCATCAGTTTAGCTTCCTGCCCCTGGCTTGGGCTCAGCACCTGAAGTAGTCTAGGGGGTAGGTGGTGCTGGTGGGGGCTGGGGCTTTTACCCAGACTGAGGTCACACCCAGAGCCAGAAGTCTTGGTGCCTGCTCTGGGCAAAGGTGCCAGCCTGTGTGACAAGAGCGAAACTCCGTCTCCAAAACAAAAACAAAAAACCTTGCATCATTTCAAGGGGCTCACACCTCCCTAAGGGCCTGGTAATTGGCGGGCTCTGGCCTGCATCTGGCCCCGAGGGTGTAGGTAACACCCCACCTTACCTGGTTTCTTCCTGCCAGGGCCAATCTTCAGACCTCAGGACTTTACAGCCTATCCCACCTCCCCTCTGGCCAGCCTTGAGCCCTTGTGGGTCCAGCACTTTTTCCAGGCTGTCTCCTGGTTGTCCTTCTGCCTTGAGGCCTGGCTCATGCTGCTCCCCCTCCCACTCTCCAAGACCCACAAGGACCACTCCACACCCAGCTCAGCCCCATCCCCTCAGATAGTCCTTTCTCTTTCCTCAGGTGGCCAGGTGCATATCTTGGTGTGAGGACCTTCGCTGTATCTGGGAATGCCTACTGGTTACCTTGGTAACAGAGAACAAGGCATTTACCTGATATGAGTGTCTTGGTTCACTGTCTACATGGCTAGGGAGGGAATCAATAATAGGCTTTTCACTTGCTGCAAGGGCCGGTTCTCCTGGCCCCATGGCTCTAGGGATGGAGGACGCTGCAGGAGATGCAGCGCTCACTTCCTAGCTGAGGACTGTGGGTCATCTCAGGGCGATTTCACAGTCCCCACATGCCCCACCCCCTCAGCTCTGCAAATACCAAGCAGTGCAGCCTGCCTAGGGGATGATGGGCTCGAGAGTGCCCAGGTAGTGCCCAGAGTGCCCTTGGCAGGCCCCTCACCTGGCTGCTTCCACAGCTCTGTAGCAAGAGTTCTAACCTTTTTTCACCGTGAAGCCTGCTGAGAATAAGAGCTGTGGACTGTTTTCCCAGAAAGGCATGTACATGCTCTCCACACAAAACCTTTCATTGTGGCCAAGCACAGTGGCTGATGTGATCCCAGAACTTTGGGAGGCGGAGCCAGTCGGATCACCTGAGGTCAGGAGTTCAAGACCAGCCTGCCCAACATGGCGAAACCCTGTCTCTACTAAAAATACAAAAAATTAGCCAGGCGTGGTGGCAGCCACCTGTAATCCCAGCTACTCCAGAGGCTGAGGCAGGAGAATCACTTGAACCTGGGAGGCGCAGGTTGTAGTGTGGTGAGATCACGCCACTGCACTCCAGCCTGGGCGACAGGAGTGAAACTCTGTCTCAAAAAACAAAACAAAACAAAACCTTGCATCCTTTCAGGGGGCTCACACCTCCATAAGGGCCCAGTAATTAAACCCTTTGGGCCTGAGGGTGAGAAACTTTGTCCCAGTTCTTCCCCAAGTGATCAGCCCAGGGGTAAGGAAGGAGAAGCCAGAAAGCAGGACCCATGAGAAGGGCCCCCTCCTGGAGTTTGAGGCCCACTCCCTCCTACCCCTGCCTCTCCTCTGTCCAGGACTCCTCCCTGCTCTGCCCCACTCCTGGGGCCATAACCATGGGGAGCTGTGGTTTTCTACAGGCCCCTGGGCACAAAGTGGGCAGGCTCACCTGGAGGCGATCAGAGTAACATGGCAGGAAGTGAGGGGGAAAGCCGCCCTGGAACTGTGCCTCTCTGCCCCCTGACGTCACTGGCGTGCACTCCTCCCTCCCCTCAGGCAGTGGCATGAGTTCCATGTGAGCGCTGTCCTGCTCCCTCTGCTGCCTCTTTTTTTTCTTGGGGCTGCCATAACACTTTCCCTTCCCCAGCCCTGCCAACCTGGTGGGACATTGGGCTTCCCTCTCACAGGGTCCTGGGGACAGGCCCATCCTTTATCATACACACAGAGAGACCGTTTTTTTCTTCAGAACCTGGGGAGCAGCCAGGTTCCATGAGTTAAATGCAGATCTGAACCAAGCTGGGATTGGGGTACACACTCTCCTCTACTGAAAAGTAGCTAGGGATTCCAACTAGGTGAGAAGGAGAGTGGGGCAGAGCCAGACCAGACAAGGACTGATCACCTGGAAAAAGCCTGCCATCAAAGGTCTTGGCAAATGCTGGGTGCAGTGGCTCACTCCTGTAATACCAGCACTTTGCGGGGCTGAGACAGGTGGACTACTTGAGGCGAGTTCGAGTCCAGCCTGGGCAACATGGCAAAACCGCATCTCTACTAGAAATACAAAAATTAGCTAGGCATGCTACACTCCTGTCATCCCAGCTACTCAGGAGACTGAGGCAGGAGAATCACTTGAACTGGGGAGGCAGAGGTCGAAGTGAGCCGAGATTGTGCCCCTGCACTCCAGTCTGGGAGACAGAGTGAAACTGGCCTCAAAAAAAAAAGAATATGGCCTTGGCAGAGAGGGGCCAGCCCAGTAGTGCCTTCCCTTGGGTTTCTCCTGGGTAGGCCTCTGCCATGAGGAGGTGCTTCCTTCTGCCTGTCCATGGCCCACAGCAATGGAATGTCTGTTTCTGGGGGTTGGGTGGGAGAGTGCTGGCAGAACTGGAAACCTTCAGGTGGGGTTTTTTTGTTTTGTTTTGTTTTCGAGATGGAGCGTCGCTCTGTCACCCAGGCTGGAGTGCAGTGGTGGAATCTCAGTTCACTGCAACCTCTGCCCCCCTGGGTTCAAATAATTCTCCTGTCTCAGCCTCCTGAGTAGCTGAGATTACAGGCATGTGCCACCATGCCCGGCTAGTTTTTGTATTTTTTGTATAGATGGCATTTCACCATGTTGGCTGGGCTGGTCTCGAACTCCTGACCTCAAGTGATCCACCCATCTCGGCCTCCCAAAGTGCTGGGATTACAGGCATGAGCCACTGAGCCCAGCCCCTTCAGGGGGGTTTTGAGGCTTCACTACAATACTAGTTTCCTGTGGCTGCTGCAACAAATTACCACACACGTAGTGACTTAAAACAACCAAAATGTATTCCCTTACAGGTCTGAAGGCCAGAATTCTACAGTAAGTCCTACTGAGTCAAGGTGGGAGCAGGGTCGGTAGCTTCCGAGGCTCTGCGGGAGAATCCGTTTCCTGGCCGTAGAGGTGGCCTGCACTCTGCAGCTTGTGCTGCCCGTCTCGAATGACTGGAGTTTCCTGCTTCTGTCACTACACCTCCCACCCTCTCCATCACCTGCTCTGCTCTTACAAGGATCCGAGTGAGTACATCAACCCCAAAAGCCAAAGACCCTTAACTTCATTATATCTGCAAAGCTCCTTTTGCCATATAAGGTCATGTTCACCAGTTCCCGGGATTAGGATATGGGCATCTTGGGGGCATCAGCCTGCTACAGCTAGGCTGCAAAACTGTTACACCCTCCTGGTGTTTCAATGATTGGGAGAAAAGGGGTTGGCATTTTTTGCTTAGGGGTCCCTCTTAAACTTGTATCTGTAAGGTCGGGGGTCCCTCTTAACCTTGTGTTTTTGTTTTTGTTTTTTTTGAGGTGGAGTCTTGCTCTGTCATCCAGGCTGGCAGTGGCGTGATCTTGGCTCACTGCAATGTCTGCCTCCTGGGTTCAGGTGATTCTCCTGCCTCAGCCTCCTGAGTAGCTGGGACTACAGGCGCCCGCCACCATGCCCTGCTGTTTTGTATTTTTGGTAGGGACGGGGTGGGGGTGGGGCTAGGGAGGGGGGTTTTGGCTATGTTGCCCTGAGCTCAAAGTGATCCGCCTGCCTGTGCTGCCAAAGTGCTGGGATTACAGGCCTGCACCACTGCACCCGGCTGCTGTAAAGTCTTATTTCACACAGCTGAGACATGTTTTAGGAAGTTTGCTAAAAGACCCCTGGAGACCGCCTCATTGTGACCTCCCTGTTATTGTGTTTAATTTGATTGAACTTTTCTGCCCTCCTGCTTTTCAGCTTCTCTAATAGTCTCCCATTAAACCAATTCTAAGAACCACCAAGAAGGGGAAATTTTTTCTTGAAAGCAGTAAAATGATATGGACTGTTAGAATGTAAAATATATGAAATCAGTCATTATACGTTAGTGCTGCTCTGACATAGGGACGTGTTATTGAGAAGCAACTTTTGCTTGGTTTTCAGAGAAATGGAATCATCGTATCGCTGATCTACGTAAACAAACTGAAGAATTGTCTGAAAGAAAATATGGTATGTCTAAACTGGAAAAGTCTTGTAATCTTATGTTCATGGGCGTTTACACAGTGGAGTTACTGTTCATCATGGGGGTACCGTGGACAAGCCCAGGGCTGCCGGCGAGTCATGCCATCCTTACATGTTTCTCCTTGTAAGGTGCTTTGTAGTGTCTACACACTTTGTTTCTAGATTGCTGCAAAGCTGAGGAAAAGTTGTATTTCTTTAGTTATTAGTTAGCATTTCTTTTAAACTTTCAGTATGGAGATTGGATATTTATTTACATATTTATTGCAAAGCCCTGGATCTTAGGAATTTCATTGAATTATTTATTTATTTTTTTTGAGACGGAGCCTCACTCTGTCGCCCAGGCTGGAGTGCAGTGGCACGATCTCGGCTCACTGCAACCTCCGCCTCCCGGGTTCAAGCAGTTCTCTGCCTCAGCCTCCCGAGCAGCTAGGATTACAGGCACCAGCCACCACGCCTGGCTGATTTTTGTATTTTTAGTAGAGACGGGGTTTCATGATCTTGGCTAGGCTGGTCTTGAACTGCTGACCTCCTGATCCACTCACCTCAGCCTCCCAAAGTGCTGGGATTATAGGTGTGAGCCACCATGCCTGGCCAAATATTATTTTTTTAAATGAATTGTTTCTCTTAGTCTGCTTTGTTAAATTTGGAATTCATCTGGGCACGGTGGCTCACACCTGTAATCCCAGCACTTTGGGAGGCCAAGGCAGGCAGATATCTAGGTCGGGAGTTCGAGACCAGCCTGACCAACATGGAGAAACCCCGTCTCTACTAAAAATACAAAATTAGACGGGTATGGTGGCACATGTCTGTAATCCCAGCTATTCGGGAGGCCAAGGCAGGAGAATCGCTTGAACCCAGGAGGCAGAGGTTGCAGTGAGGCGAGGTTGGCACCATTGCACTGTAGCCTGGGCAAAAAGAGCAAAACTCCATCTCAAAATAAATAAATAAATAAAATGTTCAGTACTCACCAAGGTGCCCCTGTTGTCTCTACTTTTATCTTGATGCATCACTGAATTGATGTTAGATTTCAAATTCATCATTGCGCTGATACTATTCTATCCTGAAGCCACCTTTATATAGTGATGAAAGAAATTAGCGATTTGTTATTATCCTCTCTCTGTTGATATACATCAAATACTCACCTAAAAAAGAGCAACAACCAGTGGAAAACATGATGTTTTTATTTGGGTGACTATTTACTTGTAACCTACTAGCAAACTACAAAATTGTATGATATGCAGAATTTTAACTGAATTGCTTTAAGTGAACATTTAAACATGATAAACAATATTGATGGTATTTATGTTAATATACTTAAAATGAACATTTTTCTTCATCATGAGTAATATAACCTACTCCTCAATGAAAACCTAGCACTAAATTTGCTAATGAATTCAATAACATTTCCGTAATATTTTTAGTTACATGCTTAAGGTTCTCTTAGTGTTTCTCCCACTTTTTAATAGCTTATGCCTTTTTCACCTTTGGTTTTTTTTTGGTTCATTTTAAAGCAAAAATCTCACAACATGTGATATCTGGAAACACTGTAACCTAGTGGTAAGACCATAGGCCCTGGGGACACAGGCTGGCCACGTCTCTTCTCCTGTCTGAGCTTTAGTATCCTCTTTTGTGGTCATGAGAACTGAAGATCTGTCCCGAAGATTTGATAAGATAGTAAAGTGCTTCACATAATACCAGACATATAAATACACAGTAAATGCTTCCTCCTTATATTTTTATTGATTGATTGATGGAGACAGAATCTTGCTCTCTTGCCCAGGCTGGAATGCAGTGGCATGATAATGGTTTCTGCAACCTCCACCTCCTGGGTTCAGGCAATTCTCCTGCCTCAGCCTCCCGAGTAGCTGGGATTACAGGTGCCTGCCACCATGCCCAGCTAATTATTGTACTTTTAGTACAGACGGGGTTTTACCATGTTGGCCAGGCTGGTCTCGAACTCCTGACCTCATGATCTGCCTGCCTCGGCCTCCCAAACTGCTGGGATTACAGGTGTGAGCCACTGTGCCCAGCCTGTCTTTTCTCTTCACACCCGCAGTTCATGATGAAATATTAAATATGTACTAGTGGATATTACTTTGCTGAATATTGCCTAATGAATATTAAGTATTTATTCTCACCTTTCAGACATGAACTTATGAATTCAACAGGTGAAGATTTACAACTTGATAAATCAACTTTGTCAGGTACGTCTTCAGTCAAGTCAGATTAGAAGATTATGTGAGGTAATTAACACTTAACATTGATTTAATGGTAGCTTCCACATGAAATAGTATGCCTCTAAGTATTAATTATGTCCTAGGACAGGAGAATTCATGTTGTCAAAATTCTCATACTCTCTAGAACAATAAACTCATTTTCTTTTTATTAGTAAATATTGCATTTATGGGTAGACAAAACTGAAAGAACAATATTTGTTCTACTTTTGAGATGCAAGATTCATCTGGCATAATGCATTGAACAGGTTATTATTGAAGTCTACACCAGTCAACTGAATAAGCATTCATCAAATGTCCATGATATGCAGGACATAAGTTTTCTTTTAGAGTATGGAACCATGCATATTATCTTTTAATTAGATGATTTAGTTAGATATGTTTTTAAAGAACTAGAAATATAATTGATTTTCTTGTTTTGGCTCTGGAGTGGAGTGGGGACGAAACAGAATGGATTCACACTTGTTTAGATTTACTAAAATGGAAAGATTGCAGCAAGATCATATCCCTAGTCTCCCTACTCCCTATAGCAAATGTCACCTGCTAGCTGTTTTTTTTTTTTTTTTTTTGGAGGTTGAAGTTTTGTTCTGTCACCCACGCTGGAGTGCAGTGGTATGATCTCAGCTCATGGCAAGCTCACCTCCTGGGTTCAAGCAATTCTCCCTGCCTCAGCCTCCTAAGTAGCTGGGATTACAGGCCTCTGCCACCACGCCTGCCTAATTTTTGTATTTGTAGTAGAGTTGGGGTTTCACCATGTTGGCCAGGCTGGCCTTGAACTCCTGACTTCAGGAGATTCACCCGCCTCAGCCTCCCAAAGTGCTTGGGATTATGGGTGTGTCACTGCACTTGGATTTAATGGGATATTTCACTACAGACTTCGGTAAACAGAATATTAGCATTTTTGGTGTTCTTTTTATTTTACTCATACTGTTTTTCTTTGGACTCAATCACAATAACAGAATTAAAGATCAAAGTGTAAAAGTTAAAGACCAGTACAGATTCAATAATTATTCTTTTCTACATACCGTGTTTAAATGATATCCCTTTTTCTTTTTGTTCTTATAGCTCGAGCTGTAAAAGCCAAAGGTCCGGTGATGATCCCATACCCTTTTTTCCAGTCTCATGTTGAAGATTTTTATGTAGAAGGCCTTCCCAAAGGAATTTTTTTTTTTTTTTTTTTTTTGAGATGGAGTTTTCACTCTTATCGCCCAGGCTGGGGTGCAATGGCGCAACCTTGCTGGTCACTGCAACCTCTGCCTCCTGGGTTCAAGAAATTCTCCTGCCTTAGCCTCCCAAGTCACTGGGATTACAGGTGCCCACCACCACACCAGGCTAATTTTTGTATTTTTAGTGGAGATGCGGTTTCACCATGTTGGCCGGGCCAGTCTCGAACTCCTGACGTCAAGTGATCTTCCCGCCTCGACTCCTGATATCAAGTGATCTTCCCGCCTCGGCCTCCCAGAATGCTGAGATTACAGACGTGAACCCATGCCTGGCCAGGAATTTTGTTTTTTAGGAAGGCTTTCTACTAATGGAATTCCTGGCCTTGAGAGGATGTTACTTTAGAAGGAAAGGATTTTTTTGTTATTAAAAGGTAAGATTCCTGGATTCTTATTGGACTGTTATCTCTGTTATGAGTAATCCATCTTTAGTCATTCACCACTAGGGTTGTATTTAATTAAGTCTGAGTTATTTTATGGTGGTTTTGTTTTGTTTTGTTTTGTTTTTACTGAATTTTGTTCTCATTGCCGTGGCTTGAGGGCAATGACGTGATCTCAGGTCACCACATTCTCTGCCTTCCAGGTTCAAGCAATTCTCCTGCCTCAGCCTCCTTAGTAGCTGGATTTACAGGCATGCGCCACCATGCCTGGCTAATTTTTTGTATTTTTAGTAGAGATGGTGTTTCACCATGTTGACCAGGCTGGTCTAGAACTCCTGACCTTGGGTGATCCACCCGCCTCGGCCTCCCAAAGTGCTGGGATTACAGGCATGAGCCACTGCGCCCAGCCTGGGCCTGCTTCTTTCTCTTTTTCTTTTTTTTTCATTAGCAGCTTAAAATTGGTGCCTTATTCAGACACAAGCAGAAGGACATTAGCCCAGCTTTGGAAATAGGTGAGAGCCCATATATGATTTTCCTAGTTTCTCCTCCCCCTTTGCTTTTTGCTCTCTTGTTAGTATATTAATTGTTTTCACTCTCTGAATCTTTTTTCCCCATTTCTTTGGCAGTCATTTTTACTTGTCTTGGAAGAGTAGGTGAAGAGCTGTTTTTAGGACTCTTTGAAAGGGTACAGTATGGGTGACAGTCTTGGCTAATGGTAACATCCAGGGAGCTGGGGTCAGCGTGAGCTGGAATCAGTTCAAATTAGCAAAGCACTGGCACTCAGTGGCAGGAATACAAGTGACTGCAAAGTGTTAAACACATCTGGAAAGGGATAATGACATCATCCTCAGAATCTGTGGGGAGTTCACATAGCCAGTTAGGACCCATTCTTCTTTGACCCTATAAAGATTCTTTAAAGAATAAATACCCTTAGTGGTTTTCTAGCCAGCTTGCCTGCTCATTTATCTTTGAGGACGACATGCCTTGTGGAGCTCCACAGGCCCCAGAGGGGTATGGATTCTGCATTTAAAAGTGCTGAAGCTGAGAGACTGGGTCTTGGTGGACCCCGAGAGGTCTGTTTCTCCTCTACTCATTGTTCCTTTTTTTCCCAACAGCTGGCATTGCTGTTTAAATGGGTTGTTCTTTGCTGTTTTAAGTTGTTTCATAGTGGTGTGTCAGGATTTGGGTTTTCTTAATACTTTCCAAGCTGGTGACTTGAGTGGTGGTTAGGGAGGAAATGTTTTAGGGCTGTTCTGGAGCTATTGAGGTCAGGTGTCTAGATACTCCCAGCTTGTCTGTTGAGGAGAATGCTGTTCTCATTGTGCTGCCTTTGGTGGTGCTGTGTGTGGCTCTTTAGATGTGCATGGAGGTGAGCTGGGGGAGTTAATGAGATCTTTTTTAGGTGCTTTTGATAAAGTAGCCTGCACTACAGGATTCACTGTGACTTTTTTCCTTAACCTATGCATTTCTCTCTGCTAGCTTTTGCTGTCTTTCTCATGCCTTTGATTTTCCCAGCTCCTCTTAGTTGAATTAACCTAAGTGCTCTGCTGTGGTTTAAATGTGTCCCCCAAAGTTTATGTGCTGGAAACTCAATCCTCAATGCAACAGTTGGGATGTGGGGCCTAATAAAATAGGCTTCATGAATGAGTTAATGTTGTTATTGTGGTAATAGATTAGTAATCACAGAGTGGGCTTATTATAAAACAGAGTTCAGCCCCTTTTGCCCTCTTGCTTTCTTGCACTCTCTTTTCCTTCTGCCTTCTGTAGTGGGATGATGCAGCAAGAAGACCCTTACCAGATGCAGGCCCCTCAACCTTGGACTTCCTAACATCCAGAACTGTTAAGAAATAAAATTTATTCCTTTCCTTTCCTTTTCTTCCTCCTTTCCCTTCTCTTCCCTTTTCTTCCCTTCCCCTCCCTCCCTCTCTCTCTCCCTCCCTCCCTCCTTCCCTCCCTTCCTCCTTCCCTCTTTCTCTCTTTCCCTTCCTTCCTTTCCTTCTTTCCCTTCCTTCCTTTCCTTCCCTCCTTCCCTTTTTCCCTCCTTCCCTCCTCCCTTCCTTTTTTCTTTCCTTCCTTTTTTCCTTTTTATAAATTATGCAGTCTGTGGTATTCTTTTATAGAAGCATGAAATGGACAAAGACTCCATTTTCAAGAGCAAGCACTTTTGTAGTTTCTGAGCGAACTATGACTGCAAAGGAAGTTCTATAGGTAGCCTCAGATCCACTACCTAGGAAGCATGCTACCAAGCAGACCTAGGATCTAGGATTTGATCAAGTGCTGGGCAACATGATACCTCTGCAATTTAGCACTTCCCTATATACCTCCAGTTGGCTCAGCCCATTAGGGCTAAAACTACCCCTCATATCCTAGTGTCTCTTGTAGGCAGAAGCCTTGCCTAAACCCTAAGCTGCTTGGCTCACATTCTGTCTTGTGCTTTTTTTGTAGGGGGTTCAAATATACACAAAAGAAATATGTTGAACCTCCATGCACCCAACCCGCAGATTAAGCAGTTACCTCCATTTTTCCAGATTTGTTTCATCTGCTTCAATCTCCCTAAAAATTTATGTTTGTACAGGAAAGACTGAATAAATAGCTAATTCTCCACCCTACCTCTCATCTTAAGTCACTTTTCAGAGTAGTAAGTTAGTGACCTAGTAACCTTCCCTCTAATGACCAGTAGTTTTTTTTTCTGAATACCATTATGAACTCATAGATTATTGTTTGCATTTGATGTATTTCAGGCCATTGCAGTCTTTACTGTTTTGGATGCTTACATTGTCTCATCTAGGTTAATAATTATCTCTTCAAGTTGACTTTCATGTCTTTTTGACGTGATCCTGTTGGACTTTGATGGCTTCCTTGCTTTCTGGCAAAACAGATGTTCCAGGATCAATATACTGCACCATGCATGGAGTCAGCCGTTTCTCTAGGGAACCTTGATTCCTTTTAGTAGAGAACACAGTTTGAGGTCTTGGACTGAATGACTTTTGTGAACCTCCTCTCCTGAGACTACAGCCTGCATCCCTGCATATAGCCCGTTTGGAGCTCTTGCTGGGCACCAACAGATCTCCTAAAACTGCTATATAGTTCTGCCTCACTCTTACAAAGATTCATCTCTTGAGAGTTTTGTGCTCTACCCCCAGATGTGGTCTTTCTGGTTCTGAAGCTTTTGCTTCAGTCACCCTGAATTTTGCCAGCCCTATGCATGCTATACCTTGGATTGCCAACTTGCCCTCACTGAAGCCAGTTTCTCTGGTTAGAATAGTTGCCCAAACCCATGCCTAATACTCTAGTAAACAAGGTTCTACCTGGGCTTAGGTTAACTTTTGCTCCTTTGGGCCCTGTGTTCTACCAGCATTCCATTTATCTGAAACTCTCCCTCACCTTAAGAACTTATCTGTTCTTTAATGATTTACTGCTGCTTCCTGGGCTCGAAAGAACCCAGTTCAGGAGTTTCTGTTTTAGTTTGAGATCTTATAGGCCTGTCTCATCAGGTTGGTGTCAGCCCAGCTAGGATTAGGCAGAATTGGGTGGGGGCTGTAGTGCATTTTTGGCACAGCATGTACCTGTCTGACTAATTCTCTGTCTTTTCTTTCCTGTTGCAATTCATGGGTCTTAGCATCTTCTGAATGGTGTTTAGTAGGTCATCCTGTTGATTTCCTGCTAGGGAGTAGCATACTCTGGCTCTGTACCATTGGCCAAGGGACTTAAGGATAGATGAAGGGCTGCAGTTTTGTTAAATGGAACAATATGAAGAGATGGCATTGTTAAAAAAAAAAAAAAGGCTTGGCAGCAGGGCCCATTTGAATGGTTGGTCCTTGGCTCCTTTGTTGATATAGGCAGATCCTTGATGGGAATTTGGAATGATCCCAAATATTGTAGATCACTGGTACATCAAGTCATCCTCAAGGTTGTCTGTGTAACAGTCTTGAATGATATTTTGTCAGTCTTTGGAGATTCTCTGTATAGGGTTTAATCATTTAGTTATTTCAGTTGAGCCTGTTTAGTTTCTTTGCAAGGAGATAAGAAATGTGAAAGAGATGCAGACATTAGGGAAAAAAAGTCAGGAGCCTTGTTTCCCCATCCTCTACTTGGGTTCTGGAACTAGACTCATAGGTGAGTAGTGAGGAGCTGGGCCCAAGCACATTAATCCTAGATCTAGCTCTGCTTTGCCCTCGCTCCAGTTCTTGTATCAAATTCACTTCAAGCCACCCAGAGTAGTATGTAGAGGAGTCATTCAGGACCATGCTCATACTTCGTTGTATCAAATGGGAGATCCAGTAATTTATAGCCTATTGTTTCTGGAGCCTGGAGATGGCTCTGCATAAGATTTGCCGAAGCAAATTTTATTACATTAGAAGAGAACCTAGCTGGCTGCATCCTACACTGGAAGCTTTTAGATGCTAATAAGGAGGTCATGTAAAGGTCACAGAATGACTCTGGAATCCATTCCCCGCCAAGAAAGAATAATGACATTCTATGTTGGCCTCTTTTCATTTCCCTTTGGTTTTGAGTAATAAATTCTCTCCTCACTTCCCAGTCGAACTGTTTGGGAGTCTCTATTCCCTAGAAAGACTCTGGTCACATACCCATCAGATTAAATTAGGTGAAAACTCTTTGGCCTTCATGAATGTTGAAGGATTTCAAAGGGCTAATGGAAATTCTTCTAGAAGTAACTGCAACCTCCGCCTTCCGGGTTCAAGCAATTTTCCTGCCTCAGCCTCCCAAGTAGCTGGGATTACAGGTGTCCACCACCATGCCCAACTAATTTTTGTATTTTTAGTAGAGACGGGGTTTCACCATGTTGGCCAGGCTGATCTAGAACTTTTGACCTCAGGTGATCCGCCCGCCTCAGCCTCCCAAAGTGCTGGGATTACAGGCGTGATCCACCGCGCCCAGTTAAACTTCAGTTTTTCATGTTCCATGCATTGGTCAGGGTCTTAGGGAGTGATTCATTCTAGCAGAACTCCCTGGATTTTAAGGCAGATGTTCCATTTATTAATTGACAAAGGAGGCATATTTCTCCCCTGGTAACCCAAAGATTTAGGTCATTTTCCCAGAGACTCCATTTCCACTGTGAGGGTTCTTGGAAAACTAAGCAGAGGATGAGGAAAAGTCTGTGAACAAGCTTGCTGGTCTCTCCCTGTCCTACAAAAGAGCATACCTCTTCTGTAACCAGAAGGCCCTTTTGATTAGTCAAGGCTGGACAGAGTGAGATTGGGTGTGTGTGTGTGTGTGTGTGTTTGTGTGTGTCTTGAGACAGGGTCTCACTCTGTCACCAAGGCTAGAGTGCAGTGGTGAGATCAGAGCTCACTGCAGCTTCCACTTCCTGGGCTCAAGCGATCCTCCTATTTCAGCCTCCAGAGTAGCTGGGACTATACGAATGTTTTACCACACCCAGTTCATTTTCTAATTTTTTGTAGAGATGAGGTTTCACTGTGTTGCTCAGGCTGGTCTTGAACTCCTGGCCTCACGGAATCCTCCTGCCTTAGTCTCCCAGTGGGCTGGGATTATAGGTATGAGCCACCTCACCTGACCTGCGACGATTTTTCAATGATGTAATTTCTCTTTTACAGAGCCACCTAAGCTGAAGATTCCCTTGAGAACAAGTACTGTCCCTAGTTTCCCAGTGCTGGAATATAGAAAATGGATGGACAAGTAAATCCCACTCAGCACCCATAGTCCAGGCATGGGGACCTCAACACACCTGAGCCCCAGACATCACCTTTCATTGCGAGTAGCTCTGAGATGACACTTCTGCTGTTCCCAATTCCAGCATTAATTGGATTAGATAGTTATTTTATGAAGAATTTTCATATGCCACAATCCTGACCATATCTTCAAGTGAACAGAAAAATTCTATTAAAAAGTCAACCTTCTGTCTCACTCTGTTGCCCAGACTGGAGTGCAGTGGTGCAATTATGGCTCACTGCAGCCTCAACCTCCTGGGCTCAAGCAATCCTCCTGCCTCAGCCTCACAAGTAGCTGGGACTACAGGTGCTTGTCACCACACCTCACTAATTTTCCCATTTGTGTTATATGTGGATTCCACAGGACTGACTTCGAAAACTTGAGTATGCGTGGATTTTGGTATACACAGAAATGGGAGAGCTGGAACTAATCCCCCCATATACCAAGGGACAAATTGTATCTGTTTCTACAATTATACAGTAGGAGACATTATGTTCCATGACAATGGTAATTTTTAACGACAGTTTTTAATTGAGTGAAATTACCATAAAAATAATAATAGTAGCAGCTAATATTTACTGAGCTGTTACTAGGTGCCTATAAATAGCATAGATTTTTAAATTCTCCATAATTCTTCCTTATTTCACTTAACCACCCTATCTTAAATTACTCATGCTTGCCTCAGTAGCACACATACTTAAGTTGGAACAATAGAGAGATTGGCACGGCCTCTGTGAAAGAATGACATGCAAATTTGTGAAGCATTCCATATTTTTTAAAAAAAAGAGAAAAAAATTACTCCCAGATTTTCACTGTGTTTGTGCATATGACCTTTTGTTTAGGTTGAATTATATCCAAAGGTGAAATTTCCAGAAGTGAGATTACTGTGAGTCACAGGGCATGAGCATTCTTATTACCCTCAATGTAAATTGCAAAGCTTTCAGGCATGGTGGCTGTCAGCCTGCAATTCCAGCACTTTGGGAGGCTGAGGTGGGAGGATTGCTTGAGGCCAGGAGTTGGAGGAGGCAGTATAATGAGTCACTGTCTGTAGGATTTAAAAAAAATTTCCAAGCTTTATGCTGGAAGGCTTATATACATTTTAAACACCACTAATACTACAAGAAAATGGCCATTTCACTGCACCTTCGCCCACACAGGTATTATAATTTAACAAGTTATTTTCTGTGTGATAAATGAAAGACCTCCTATTATTACTTTGTCACCCATTCTTTTTTCTTTTTTGAGACACAGTCTCGCTCTGTCGACCAGGCTGGAGTGCAGTGGTGTGATCTCGGCTCACTGCAACCTGTGCCTCCCAGGTTCAAGCGATTCTCCTGCCTCAGCCTCCTGAGTAGCTGGGATTACAGGAATATGCCACCATGCCTGATTAATTTTTGTATTTTTAGTAGAAACGTGGTTTCACCATGTTGATCAGGCTGGTCTCGAACTCCTGATCTCGTGATCTACCCGCCTTGGCCTCCCAAAGTGCTTGATTACAGCTGTGAGCCATGTGCCCAGCCTATTTGTCACATATTTTATCTTCCCTTATGTTAGCTTATTAGCTTTATTTCTTTATTGTCCTTTTTTTTTTTTTTTGAGATGAAGTCTCGCTCTGTCTCCTAGGCTTCAGTGTAGTGGCACAGTCTCAACTCACTGCAGCCTTGACCTCCTAGGCTCAGGTGATCCTTCCACCTCAGTAGTTGGGACTATAGGCACATGCCACTATGCCTGGCCAATTATTTTTATTTTTTTATTTTTACTAGAGAGGAGGTCTTGCTTTGTTTCTTAGGCTGGTCTGGAACTCCTAGCCTCAAGCAATCCCCCCACCACCCCCTCCCAAAGTACTGGTATTATAAGCATGAGCCACCATGCCTGGGGTATCTGTGTCTTTTCCATTTATTTATAGAGTTACTTTGTCTTTTACTAATTCAATGATCTGTTTAATCTTTTATTAAATTATAAAAATGATAAATACTTTTAAATAAGTGAAAAATGTCCTTCACTCTTTAGACCCATAATCTTATCTCAGGAAATAATTGCAGTTGAGAAAATGGGCCATATCCTTCAAGATACGTACATGGTGATTGAACATCACTTCATATTTTCATATTTCGTGGACATTTGTGCCAATACCTATTGATCTATCTTAATCCTTTTCATGGTTGCATAATATTTTATTATATGGATGTATCACAATTTACCAGTACCAGTCAACTGCTGGAGGCATTTAGGCTTCTTCTAATATTTGCTTTGAGCTCTTTATATAATTAAAAATTAACCCCCTCAGCCAGGTGTGGCAGCTCACACCTGTAATCCCAGCATTTTGGAAGGCTGAGGTGAGAGAACTGCCTGAGTGTAGGAGATCACCACCAACCTGGTCAACATAGTGACACTTTGTCTCTACTAAAAATTAAAAAAAAAAAATGAGCTACACGTTGCAGTGCACACCTGTAGTCCGAGCTACTGGGGAGGCTAAGACTGGAGGATCACTTGAGTCTAGAAGGTTGAGGCTGCAGTAAGCTATGATCACACCATTGCACTTTAGCTTTGCTAAGAGCAAGACTGCATTTCTTAAACAAAATAAAAATTAGATGGGAATATTGCTCAAGCCCTGGAGGTTGAGGCTGCAGTTAACTGTGATTGCACCACTGCAGTCCAGCCTAGGTGATAGAGCAAGACCCTTTCTCTAAAAATAAAATAAAATAAAAATTAACCTTCTATCATATTTCCCAGTAACACCTTCCCTCCTACATTTCTCCTAGAAGCCCTTAAATTTTGTTTTTCACATATCGTTTAAAACTTTTAAGTGCTGATGTCTGTGTCATCCCTCTTTTTTTTTTTTTAAATGTCTTTTTGTCACTTCTAGCTGGACCTACCATGAAAGACTTCTGAATCCAGGAAGAGAAACTGACTGGGCAACATGTTATTCAAGTACAAAAAGACTTGGACTGTAACTCAAAAATGATCAAATAATAGTGCATGCATCAAGTGCAATCGGAAGCTCTTCTGGAGAGGGAGAGAAGCTTCCAGTTAAGGTGACATTGAAGCCAAGTCCTGTAAGATAAGGAAGAGTTGTATGAGAGTGGGGAGGGAAGGGGGAGGTGGAGGGATGGGGATTGGGCTGGGATGGGATGGAGTGAGCTGCCCAGGCAGGGAAACCAGCACTATACAGACCTGAACAATGAAGATGGCACATTTTGTTCAGGGAATGGTGAATTAAGTGTGGCAGAAATGCTTTGTAGAGACAGTAATTTGCTTGTATGGAATTTTGCCCAAGAGACCTCATTACAGTTTCTAATTTTTTGATGTTATCATGCATCACTGCCCTTGTCAGATAGTATCATGATCACAATAACATCAAGCATAATATTTCATTGATTCTCACAAAAACAGGTGGGTGCCACAGTTATCCCCATTATATGCACAAAATGATGAAGACTTGGGGTTAATGAGCGATTTGCCCAAGCTCACCTGAATATTAGGACTGAGTCAAATGTTAGTCTGGTCTGACTTTAATGCTTGCCTTGTTCATGAGCACCATGCATTGCCTCTCCTATTAAGTTAAGCAGGTAGACAGGTGAGAGAAGAGCCAGTGTGATATCGGGGGAAATTCACCCCTGATATTTCATGTAGGTTCTTTTCTATTTTCCCTGAGTGTCAGCCAGTCTGAGAAATAAAGGGAAAGAGTACAAAAGAGAGAAATTTTAAAGCTGGATGTCCAGGGGAGACATCACACGTCGGCAGGTTCCGTGATGCCCCCCAAGCCGCAAAACCAACAAGTTTTTATTAGTGATTTTCAAAAGGTGAGGGAGTGTACGAATAGGGTGTGGGTCACAGAGATCACATGCTTCACAAGGTAATAAAATATCACAAGGCAAATGGAGGCAGGGCAAGATCACAGGACCACAGGACCGGGGCGAAATTAAAATTGCTAACGAAGTTTCGGGCGCGCATTGTCATTGATAACATCTTATCAGGAGAAAGGGTTTGAGAGCAGACAACCCATCTGACCAACATTTATTAGGCGGGAATTTCCTTGTCCTGATAAGGCTGGGAGCGCCACGCGAACCCAGGGCTTATTTCATCCCTTATCTATGACTGTAAAAGACAGCCGTCCCCAAAGCGGCCATTTCAGAGGCCTCCCCTTAGGGATGCATTCTCTTTCTCAGGGATGTTCTTTGCTGAGAAAAAGAATTCAGCAATACATCTCCTATTTGCTTTTGAAAGAAGAGAAATATGGCTCTGTTCAACCCGGCCCACTGGCAGCCAGAGTTTAAGGTTATCTCCCTTGTTCCCTGAAATTGCTGTTATCCTGTTCTTTTTTCAAGGTGCCCAGGTTTCATATTGTTTAAACAACTTGTGCAGTTAACGCAATTATCACAGGGTCCTGCGGGGACATTCATCCTCAGCTTATGAAGATGACCGGATTAAGAGATTAAAGACAGGCATAGAAAATCACAAGGGTATTGATTGGGGAAGTGATAAGTGTCCATGAAATCTTCACAATTTATGTTCAGAGATTGCAGTAATGACAGGCCTAAGAAATTATAGAAGTATTAATTTGGGGAACTAATAAATGTCCATGAAATCTTCACAATTTATGTTCTTCTGCTGTGGCTTCAGCCAGTCCCTCTGTTTGGGGTCCCTGACTTCCTGCAACACGTTTCTCTCTACTCACAGACTTCTGACCAACTGTGTGTGCAGAGTTTCTACACCAGTTCTCCAACTCTCTGGATACCAACCGCGTATCCCACAATTCCATTCTGACACTACCTAGAGTTAGCACAGAACCCACAGGTTAGGGGCTCAGTCCCACAAGACCACCCTCACTTCAGATGCCAGTTGCAAGTCCTAGGTTGTCACCTGTATTTTGACCAACCAGTTAGAAATCAGGGTTTCCCATGACCCTCTTGTTGAGTTTAATTATTTACTAGAACAACTCACAGAACTTAGAAAAACAAGTTTTTTTTCTTTTTTTTTTAAGAGACAGGGCCTCGCTCTGTTGTCCAAGCTGGTGTGCAGTGGTGCAATCATAGCTCATTGAAGCCTCAACGTCCAGGGCTCAAGTGATTCTCCTGCTTCAGCCTCTCAAGTAGCTGGAATTACAGGGTTCCCACCACCACATTTGGCTAATTTCTTTTATTTTTTGTATAGATGGGGTCTTCTTATGTTGCCCAGGTTGGTCTCAAATTCCTAGGCTCAAGTGATTCCGCCCACCTCTGCCTCCCAAAGTGCTGGGATTACGGGCATGAGCCAGCGCATCTGGCCACCTTATTTTCTATTACTGGCTCAATGTAATGGCTCCATCTCAGGAACAGCCAATGAAAGAGATGCACAGGACAAGGTAAGTGGGGAGGGGCACAGAGCTTCCATGCCCTCTGTTGGGCACACTACCCTCCCAGGACCTCCTTGTGTTTAGCAACACAGAAGCTCTCCAAACCCTGCTGTTTGGGTGTTTATGGAGGCATGATTGATAAAATCACTGGCCATTGGTAGTTAAGTCAATCTCCAGTTCCTTTTGCCTCCTGGAGTTCAGCAGGTGAGGCTGAAAGTTCCAAGCCTCAAAAAATGTTGTTGGGGCCAGGTGCGGTGGCTCACTCCTGTAATCCTAGCAGTTTGGAAGGCTGAGGCACATGGACCACTTGAGGTCAAGAGTTTGAGACCAGCCTGACCAACATGGTGAAACCCCGTTTCTACTAAAAATAACAACAGTTAGCTAGGCGTTGTGGCACATCCCTATAATTTCAGCTACTCGGGAGGCCGAGGCAGGAGAATTGCTTGAACCCGGGAGGTGGAGGTTGTAGTGAGCTGAGATTGTGCCATTGCACTCCAGCCTGGGCTACAAGAGCCAAACTCCGTTTTAAAAAAAAAATGTGGTTGCTTTCTCTGGCAGCTAGCCCTCCTCCTGAAGCAGTCTCGGAGCTTGCAGCCACCCTGTTAGCTCAACAGCATCCCACATGCATTCTTACCATGCTGCAGATCTGAAAGACCTTAGAGGCCCTTGTGTCAGGAACCTGGGACTAAGACTAAATATCAAAACAGAAAATGCTCCTATTACCTCTGTCACGAAGGGCTTTATAAGAGCTTTGGAAGCTCTATGCCAGGAACCAGGGGCAGAGACCAAATGTATATTTCTTTTCTTATATCGGAGACAGAGTCTCACTCTGCCACTGAGGCTGGAGTGCAGTGATGTGATCATAGCTCACTTCAGCCTTGACCTCCTAGGCTAAAGCAATCCTCCCACCTTAGCCTCTCCAGTAGCTGGAACTACAGGCATGCATCACCATGTCCAGCTGATTTTAATTTTGTAAAGGCAGGATCTTCCTATTTTCCCCAGGCTGATCTCTAACTCTTGGCCTCAAGCAATCCTTCCTCTTTGGCCTCCCAAAATGTTGGGATTACAGATGGGAGCCCCCATACCCACCAATCACAAGGATCTTTATAAGAGAATGAGGTAGGAGAGTCAGAATTAGAGAAAGTGATGTGGTAATGGAAGAAGAGGTCAGAGAGGGAGATTTGAAGATGCTGCACTTCTGGCCTTGAATATGGAGTCACGAGGTAAGTCAAGGAATGGAGGTGGCTTCTAGAAGCTGGAAAAGGCAAAGGAGCACATTCTGTCTAGAGCCTCCCCCAGAAGGAATGCAGCCTCTCTGACACCTTGACTTTAGCCTTGATAGACCTAGTTGGGCTTCTGGCCCCCAGAACTGTAAGATGGTAGATTTGTGGTGTTTGATGCCACTAAATGTAGGGTACTTTGTTGTAGCAACAACAAAAAATGAACATGAAGCTGGGACCTCATGTTACAGTTGCTCACGCCTGTAATCCCAGAACTTTAGGAGGCTGAGGTGGGAGGATCGCTTAAGCCCAGGAGCTTAAGACCAGCCTGGGCAACATAATGAGACCTCATGTCTAAAAAAAAATTTTTTTAAAGGCCAGGCGCAGTGGCTCACGCCTGTAATCCCAGCACTTTGGGAGGCCGAGGAGGGTGGATCACGAGGTCAGAAGTTCAAGACCAGCCTAGCCAAGATGGTGAAACCCCATCTCTACTAAAAATACAAACATTAGCCAGGTGTGGTGGTGGGTGCCTGTAATCCCAGCTACTTGGGAGGCAGAGAATCACTTGAACCCAAAAGGCAGACATTGCAGTGAGCCAAGATCGCACCCTTACACTTCAGCCTGGGCGACCAAGACTCCGTCTCAAAAAAAAAAAAAAAAAAAAAGCCATGTGTTGTGGCATGCAGCTGTAGTCTCAGTTCCTAGGGTGGCTGAGGCGGGAGGATTGTTTAAGCCTGGGAGGTTGAAGTTGCTGTGAGCTGTGATTGCACCAGTGTACTCCAGCCTGGGCAATAAAGCAAGACCTTGTTTCAAAAAGAAAGAAATAAATGAGCATGGTGGGAATGGGGACAGATGGCAGTGTTAAGTAGAGTGGTCAGGGTTGGCCTCATAAGTGAATATTGAGCAAAAGTTTGAAGCAGGTGATGGAGCTGGCCAAGGTGCTGAGGGAAGAGCATTGTAGGCTGAGTCAACAGGATAAAGGCATTAGGAGGAAACTCTCTGGTGTGTCTGAGGCTCTGGAAGGAGGCCAGTGGAGCAAAGAGATAGAGGGAGCGAAGTCAGCGAGGAGGCCAGGGAGTTGCTGGGCTGGGATCGGTACAGATCGTGTAAGCCCTGGGACGCTATTGCTGGGGCTTTGGCTTTTACTCTGACTAAAATGGGAACCACCAAGGGCTTCTGAGCAGAGAGGCGACATGATCCGTCTCCTGATTTAAAAGCACGACCTGGCTGCCGAGTTGAGAAAGACTATGGGAAGATTTGGGTGGAAGCATGGGGGCCAAGCTGTGGCAACATCCCGGTGGGAGATGATAGTGATCCTGACGGGGTTCATGGTGGTGGTGAGAGATGGTTAGAGCCTGGATACATGTTGAAGTCAGTCAGTAGGATTTCCTGACAGACTGGATGTGAGCTGTGAGAGAAGGCAGTGGTCAAGGTTGAGTTTGATTCTGATTGAATTATTAAGTAATTTTAAAAAACACTACTGCTTTTCCCAATCCTACCAAGTAAAGGATGCTAGATAAAAGAAATCCCAAGTCAGGCCAGGTACAGTGGCTCACACCTATAGTTCCAACAGTTTGAGAGGCAGAGATGGGAGTATGTTTTAAGGCCATGAGTTTGAGAGCAGCCTGGGCAACACAGCAAGACCTCCTCTCTACAAAAATAAAAAAAATAAATTTAATAAAATAAAATAAATATAGCCAGGCATGATGGTATGTACCTATGGCCCCAGTTACTCATGTGGCTGAGATGGGCAGATCTCTTGATTCTAGGAGTTTGAGGCCAGCTTGGGCAACATAGCAAGTCTTCTCTCTCTACAAAAATGAAAAAAATGCCTGACATGGTGGTACTTGCCTGTATTCCCAGGTATGGGGGCAGCTGAGGCAGGAGCATCTCTTGAGCCCAGTTGGTCAAGGTTGCAGTGAGCTATGATTATACCACTGCACTCCATCCTGGGTGACAGAGTGGGACCCTGTCTCAAAATACAAATACAAATGAAATCTCAAGTCAGACCAGTCCCTTCTAGGCTATGTAGGCCTTGTAACCATACAGTTGCATGATCGGGTTTGTGTGGCTGTGGATGAGGAGACCCCTGTCCAATTGTTGGCTATGTAATCAGTTTATTTTTCAATATAGTAATCAAATATATTTCATCATACTTGATGGTCTCAGATATGTGTGGATTTTGGAATTCCCCTTGGAACAGGTTGTAACATCTTATTGGCTCCATAATTCCATAATTTTTTTAATCTGATCAGTTTTTAATAAGATCGGAATTTATATTAGACTACTTAATCGGTTTTGTTAATGAGAAAATGAAATTGTGTTGTTTGCATTTTATCCAAGATGGGTGTCATATTGGGTAAATCTCATCAATACTTGAACAAATGCAAAATTAGAGCTTCTTTATCATGAAACACGATGTAATTCTTGAAGAAGATGCCATTTCTTTTTTTTCTTTTTTTTTTTAAGATAAGAGTCTTTCTCTTGTCACCCAGGCTGGAGTGCAATGGTGCGATTTTGGCTCACTGCAACCTTCACCTTCTGGGTTCAAGCAATTCTCCTGCCTCAGCCTCCCGAGTAGCTGGGATTACAGGTGCCCGCCACCATACCCAGCTAATTTTTGTATTTTTAGTAGAGATGGGATTTCACCATGTTGGCCAGGCTCCTCTGGAGCTCCTGACCTCAGGCAATCTGCCTGCCTCAGCCTCCCAAAATTCAAGGAGTACAGATGTGAACAACCACGCCCGGCCTCCATTTCTTTTTTGTAGTCTTTAATAAACAGCTGCTATCATTGCAGACTTGCTGTTTAGGCACTTAGGAATTTTTCACTAGAAGGCATGTAAATAAAGACCATGGGCAATTGTAATGAATTTCGCCTTCATTCTTTGACTACATGACTGTCCCCAGAGCTGTAACTTTATTGAATTTTTTAGAAGCCATTTAGCTAGCAACTGAGCCTAACCAGCCACTCACCGTCATTATTCAGTGCTCTTTTATTATTGTCTATTTCTCCTCCAACTTGGCTACACTCACAAAGTGATAAAAACTTGCATTTGTTTTCTTTCCTTTTCAGAGACAGCGTCTTGCTCTGTTGCTTAGGCTACAGTACAGTGACATGATCATGGTTCACTGTAGCCTCAAACTCCTGGGCTCAAGTGGTTCTCTCACTTCAGTCTCCCAAGTAGCTGGGACTACAGACATGTGCCACCATGTCCAGGTAATTTTTTATCATAGAGACGGGATCTTGCCGTGTTGCTCCGACTGGGCTCAAAACTCCTGACCTCAAGTGATCCTCCTGCCTCAGCCTCCCAAAGTGCTGGGATTACAGGCAGGCATGACCACCTGTGCCCAGCCCCCTATTATTATTATTTTAAATAATAGCTTTATTAAAATATTCACATACCATTCACTTTATTTATTGAAATCTGCAATTCAGTAGGTTTTAGAATATTCACAGAGCTGTGCATCGATCACCACAGTCACTTTTAGAACCTTTCATTACTCTATAGAGAAATCCATACCCCTTAGCCACTACCTCCTACTCTCCCCACCTACCTTTGCCCCCAGCCTTAGGCAACCATTGATTAATTTTTTTGTCACTATAGATTTGCCTAATCTGGACAAATAGAATTGTACAATATGTGATCTTTTGTGGCTTTTTTTCCCTCTTACCACAGTGTTTTCAAAGTTCCTTTATGTCATAGTGTGTATCAATATTTCATTCCTTCTATGGCAGTATTCCATGGTAGAGACACACTGCATTTTGTTTATCTGTTCATCAGTTGGTGGATATTTGGGTTGTTTCCATGTATTCCATGTATTGGTCATTATGAATAATGCTGCTATGAAGATTGTTGTACAAGTTTTTGTGTGGACATATATTTTTATTTTTCTGGGATATATGCCTAGGAGTGAAATTGTTGCATTATAGGATGACTGTACATTTAGCCTTTTGAGAAACTGCCAGACTGTTTTCTAACGTGGCTATACCAGTTGGGTGCAATGGCTCACACCTGTAATCCCAGCTACTCAGGAGGCTCAGCTAGGAGGATGGCTTGAGCCCGTGAATTCAAGACCAGCCTGGGCAAGATAGTGAAACCCCGTCTTGATTTTTTAAAAATCCAATTAAAATGACAAGAAAAGAAATACCCAAACAAAATGGTTACACAATTTTATGTTCCCACCAGTAATGTATGTGGGTTCCAATTCCTCCACATCTTCACTGACATTTTTTTTTCTAGATAGGGGCTTGCTCTGTCTCTCAGGCCGCAGTGCAATGATGCCATCACAGTTCACTGCAGCCGTGACCTCCCAGGCACAAGTGATTCTCTCATCTCAGCCTCCTGGGTAGCTGAAAATTACAGGTGTACGCCACCATGCCTGGCTAATTTTTAGATTTTTCTGTAGTGGTGGGATTTTACCATGTTGCCCAGGCTGGTCTCATACTCCTGGCCTCAAGTGATCTGCCCACCTCAGCCTCCCTAAGTTCTGGAATTACAGGCTGCCACCATGCCCGGCCTTCACCAACATTTGCCATTATCTGTTTTTTTTTTCTTCCTTTATACCTTAAAGCAGTATAAGAACAAGTGTCTTCAATTATAGGAAACAGTATAATCCCAGGGCTTTGGGAGGCTAAGACAGGAAGATGTCTTGATGCCAGGAGTTTTTTTTGTTGTTGTTGTTTTTGTTTTTGTTATTGTTGTTGTTGTTTTTGACAGTCTCGCTCTGTCACCCAGGGTGGAGTGCAGTGATGGGGTCCACTGCAACCTCCACCTCCCAGGTTCAAGTGATTCTCCTGCCTCAGCCTCCCGAGTAGGTGAGACTACAGGTACACGCCACTACTGCCCAGCTAATTTTTGTATTTTTGATAGAGTCAGAGTTTCACCGTGTTGGCCAGGCTGGTCTCGAACTCCAGACTTCAGGTGATTTGCCTGCCTTAGCTTCCCAAAGTGCTGCGATTACAAGCATGAGCCACCATGCCCAGCCTGATGCCAGGAGTTTTAGACTAGCCTGGGCAACCTAGCAAGACCTTGTCTCTACAGAATATTTAAAAATTAGCCAAATGTGGTGGTGCCTGTGTATAGTCTCTCTCCCTCTCTCTTTTTTTTTTCTAACTTTTTGTGACATGGTCTGGCTCTGTCACCCAGGCTGAAGTGCAGTGGTGTGATCATGGCTCACTGCAGCCTGAAACTCCTGGGATCAAGTGATCAATCCTCCCACCTCATCCTACCAAGTAGTAGGGACCACAGGTGTATGCCACCCAGGTCTTGCTATGTTGTCCAGGCTGGTCTTGAGCTCCTGGCCTCAAGCAATCCTCTCACCTTGGCCCCCCACAGTGCAAGGATTACAGGTATGAGCCACCATGCCTGGCCCCTACCCTGCCTACTGAGAACCAAAGGAAGGATCCAAATTCTCCTTAGCTCAACTCGAGCCATTTCCTGATTGCTTCATCAGCGAGGAGCTGGTTATTGGGCTGTCCAGGCCTCCCAAGCAGCACAGAAATGAGGTGAGGGAGTTTTCCTGTTGCTCCACTCTGTAAGGAGTTGGAGGGTGATGTTTACTCGTTTGCAGAGAGAGATGCCTTGTAGGCACCTCAGGATGGAGAGGGCCCTGATTCCAATGTCCTTTTTTTCTTCAGAAACAGGACCTTGCCCTGTCACTAGGATGGAGTTCAGTGGTCCTATCATGGCTCATTATAGCCTCAAACTCCCAGGCTCAAGCAATCCTACCATGTCAGCCTTCCCAGTAGCTGGGACTACAGGTAAGCATCGTGACACTCAGTGAATTTTGTTTTTATTTTGTTGTAGAGATGGGACCTCAGTATGTTGCCATGGCTGACCTTGAACTCCTGCACTCAAGGGATTTTCCTACCCTGGCCTCCCAAAGTATTGGTATTACAGGCATGAGCCATTGTGCCCACCGTCTCTGGTTCTTAACCTTCTGCCTCCCTCTTCCAGTTTTAAAGAATGCTTGTAATTACATGGGCTCTCCTAGATACTCCAGGATAATCTTGTTTTAAGGACAGCTGATGAGCAGCATTAATTTTATCTGCACTCTTAATTCCCCCTTCCTATGTAATTGTGCTGTGTAACATAGGACATGAGCAATTGGTGGCGGTGGGGGTTATTACTTTGGCCACCACAGTAACTATTTTATGCCAGGTACTCAGCTAAGCACTGGTGAATGAAGCATGAATAACACACACTCCCTAATCTCCATCCATTCATGGGAGGAGCACTTCACCTGCCATGCTCCTGAGAATCTCGGGAGTCATAGAAGTCTTCTATGAGGAGGTGATGCCAAAGCGGACAAGTGACAGAGGAGTCAAAGCTAGCTAGGAAGAGAGTAGAGGTTTAAGGGGAAGCATATTATAAGCAGAGGATATTACCCACTTCAGAGACTCCCAGAGGAGAAAGAGTGTGCGTTCAAGGGGCAGATGAGGCTCAGTTGGACTCCATAGCAGATGAAATGGAGAGGGGCAAGCAGTGAGGCTGCCTTGCAAGGCAGGGCAGAGCAGGGGCTGTTAAGGAGTTTGGACTTAATCCCTGAGGCAAGGAGAAGTGATGTAAATGGGGGAGTAACATGATGAGATTCATAGATTAGAGACATGGCTCAGGCTGCTGTAGAGAAGGCACCAGGAAGAGCAGATGGCTCAATGTGTGTGCAGAAGACCTCTCCCTGAGTTTAGGGAGAGGTTTTTAAAACAGAAGAAGTTTGAGTAATTTAAATGATGATGGGAAGGAGCTAAAAGTGGGGGATAGGTTAAAGATACAGGAAAGTGGGAGGAAGAACTGACAAGTGAGGTTCCAGAGAGGGCAGGAGAAGAGGAGATTCCCATAGGGGGATTAACACTTTCTTTTCTTTTTTCTTTCTAAGACAGGGTCTCACTCTGTCGCCCAGGCTGGAGTGCAGTGGCACAATCTTGGCTCACTGTAGTGTAGACTTCCCAGGCTCAAGGGATTTCTCCCACCCCAGACTCCCAAGTAGCTGGAACTACGAGTGTGCACCACCACCACACCTGGCTAATGTCTCTTTTTTTTGGTAGACACAGAGTCTCACTATTTAGCACTGATTGGTCTCCAACTCCTGGCCTCAAGCGATCCTCCTGCCTAGGCTTCCCAAATTGCTGGGATTACAGGCATGAGCCACAATGCCTGGCCTCTGCTAGTTCCGTATTCTCTAGAGTTGTCTTTACTTTGTGCTAGTGTGTCCCTCATTGTGCTGATCCTCTGTAAAAATTAATACCTTTTTTTTTTTTTTTTGAGATGGAGTTTCACTCTTGTTGCCCAGGCTGGAGTGCAATGGTGCTATCTCGGCTCAGCGCAACCTCCACCTTCTGGGTTCAAGCAATTCTCCTGCCTCAGCCTCCCGAGTAGTTGGGATTACAGGCATGTGCCACCATGCCCAGCTAATTTTGTATTTTTAGTAGAGATGGGGTTTCTCTGTGCTGGTCAGGCTGGTCTCGAACTCCTGACCTCAGGTGATCTGTCTGCCTTGGCCTCCCAAAGTGCTGGGATTACAGGCATGAGCCATTTTGCCTGGCCAAAATTAATACTTTTTATATTAAATTTACATATATATATATATATATATATATATATATATATATATATATATATATACGTTTTTTCTTTTTGATACCGGGTCTCACACTGTCACCCAGGCTGGAGTACAGTGGCACAACCTCTGCTCACTGCAGCCTCCACCTGCCAGGCTCAAGCAATTCTCCTGCCTCAGCCTCCCGAGTAGCTGGGATTACAGGTAAGTGCCACCACACCCAGCTGATTTTTGTGTTTTTTGTAGAGACGAGGTTTCGCCATGTTTCCCAGACTGTTCTCAAACTCCTGAGCTCAAAGCAGTCCACCCACCTTGGCCTCCCAGAGTTCTGGGGTTACAGGTGTGAGCCATCTTGCTCATTCTAGTTTAAACTTTTGAGTGGTTTGTGTCTCCTGATTGGACTCCTACAAATACAGAATTGATGCTAGGAAGGGTACCAGGAGATAGACGCACACAGATGGGATTTGGGAATAGGTTTGGTTATCCAAGGAGCAGTGCTGAGCTCCTTGCAATGGGATATGGGATGCTGGTGATTTCCAGGAAGTGAGCTCACAATGACTCAAGCTGCCACATACTGTTGATTGTGAAATGCCAGTTGAAGCATATGTCCTGCGAGCTTAGGGGTGCTACAAGTTGACCACTGCAGCAGTAAAGATGACTCTGAAGAATGGCGTGGGATGGTTCCTTTCAAATGCACTTGAGCAGCGGTCTCCAACCACAGGGCCACAGAGCTGGAGGTGAGCAGCAGGCGAGTGAAGGGAAACTTCATCTGTATTTCTAGCCCCTCCCATCACTTGCATGACCACCTGAGCTCCATGTCCTGTCAGATCAGCAGCAGCATTAGATTGTCATAGGAGCACAAACTCTGTTGTGAAGTGTGCATGCGAGGGATCTAGGTTGTGTACTCCTTATGAGAATCTAATGCCTGATATTCTGTTACTGTCTCCCATCACCCCAGGTGGACAGTCTAGTTGCAGGAAAACAAGCTCAGAGATCCCACTGAGTCTACGTTATAGTGAGTTGTAGAATCATTTCATTATATATTACTATGTAGTAATAATAGAAATAAAGTGCACAATATATGTAATGCACTTGAATCATCCTGAAATTATTCCCTCATTCCCAGTCTGTGGAAAAATTGTCTTCCACACATTCACTCTGTTTTTTGGTAGAGGCAGGGTCTTAATATATTGCCCAGTCTGATTTCAAACTCCTGGCCTCAAGTAATATAC
The DNA here is from genome assembly GCF_000001405.40 of Homo sapiens. NCBI lineage: Eukaryota > Metazoa > Chordata > Mammalia > Primates > Hominidae > Homo > Homo sapiens. The sequence continues at coordinate 16,227 of NW_003315952.3, read as the reverse complement.
CTCTCTCAGCCTCCCAAAGTGCTGAGATTACAGGCATAAGCCACCACCCTCAACCAAGACTTTCTTAAACCAAATAAAAATTAAGTGAGATTACTTGAGCCCAGGTGGTCAAGGCTGCAGTGAGCCTGATTGCACCACTGCACTCCAGCCTAGGTGACAGAATGAGACTGTCTCAAAAAATAAAATAAAATACAAATTAACCCTTTATGACATTCCCAGTAACTTCCTAAGTGCTCCCCACAAGTCTTTGAATTCTGTTTAATTTTCACATGACATTTAAGACATTTAAGAACTTATGTCTGTCTGTGTCATCCCTTTATGTCAAAAGATGTCTTTTTGTCACTTCCAGCTGGATCTACCATGAAAGACTTGTGAATCCAGGAAGAGAGACTGACTGGGCAACATGTTATTCAGGTACAAAAAGATTTGGACTGTAACTTAAAAGTGATCAAATTATGTTTCCCATGCATCAGGTGCAATGGGAAGCTCTTCTGGAGAGTGAGAGAAGCTTCCAGTTAAGGTGACATTGAAGCCAAGTCCTGAAAGATGAGGAAGAGTTGTATGAGAGTGGGGAGGGAAGGGGGAGGTGGAGGGATGGGGAATGGGCCGGGATGGGATAGCGCAAACTGCCCGGGAAGGGACACCAGCACTGTACAGACCTGAACAACGAAGATGGCATATTCTGTTCAGGGAATGGTGAATTAAGTGTGGCAGGAATGCTTTGTAGACACAGTAATTTGCTTGTATGGAATTTTGCCTGAGAGACCTCATTGCAGTTTCTGATTTTTTGATGTCTTCATCCATCACTGTCCTTGTCAAATAGTTTGGAACAGGTATAATGATCACAATAACCCCAAGCATAATATTTCGTTAATTCTCACAGAATCACATGTAGGTGCCACAGTTATCCCCATTTTATGAATGGAGTGATGAAAACCTTAGGAATAATGAATGATTTGCGCAGGCTCACCTGGATATTAAGACTGAGTCAAATGTTGGGTCTGGTCTGACTTTAATGTTTGCTTTGTTCATGAGCACCACATATTGCCTCTCCTATGCAGTTAAGCAGGTAGGTGACAGAAAAGCCCATGTTTGTCTCTACTCACACACTTCCGACTGAATGTATGTATGGAGTTTCTACACCAGATTCTTCAGTGCTCTGGATATTAACTGGGTATCCCATGACTTTATTCTGACACTACCTGGAGTTAGCACAGACCCCACAAGTTAGGGGCTCAGTCCCACGAGGCCATCCTCACTTCAGATGACAATGGCAAGTCCTAAGTTGTCACCATACTTTTGACCAACCTGTTACCAATCGGGGGTTCCCGTAACTGTCTTCTTGGGTTTAATAATTTGCTAGAACAGTTTACGGAACTCAGAAAAACAGTTTATTTTCTTTTTTTCTGAGAGAGAGGGTCTTATTTTGTTGCCCAGGCTGGTGTGCAATGGTGCAGTCATAGCTCATTGCAGCCTTGATTGTCTGGGTTCCAGTGGTTCTCCCACCTCAGCCTCCCTAGTAGCTGAGACTACATGCCTGCACCACCACATCTGGCTAGTTTCTTTTATTTTTTGTATAGATGGGGTCTTGTTGTGTTGGCCAGGCTGGCCACAAATTCCTGGTCTCAAGTGATCCTCCCACCTCAGCCTCTGAAAGTGCTGGGATTACAGATGTGAGCCACCACATCTGGCCAGTTCATTTCCTATTACTGGTTCATTGTGAAGGATACATCTCAGAAACAGTCAATGAAAGAGACGTGCATGCTGGATGCAGTGGCTCATGCCTGTAATCTCAGCACTTTGGGAGGCCAAGGTGGGAGGATCGCTTAAACTCAGGAGTTTGAGACCAGCCTGGGCAACATGGTGAAAACTTGTCTCTATAAAAAATTAAAAAATAATAATAATAACTGGTGTGGTGTTGTGCACCTAGAGTTCCAACTACTAGGGAAGCTGAGATGAGAGGATACCTTGAGCTGGGGACTGGGGAGGCTTAGGTTACAGTAAGCTGAGATTGTGCCACTGCACTCCAGCTTGGACAACAGAGCCTGATCCTGTCTCAAAAAAAAGAAAGATACCCAGGGCAAGTTAAGTTCGGAGGGGCACAGAGCTCCCATGCCCTCTGTTGAACATGCGACCCTCCCAGCATCTCCTGTGTCCAGCAACCCTGAAAGCTCTGCAAACCCCTTTCAGGGTGTTTATGGAGGCTTTATTATGCAAGCATGATTGATAAAACCTTTGGCTGTTGGTGATTAAGTCAGTCTCCAGCCCCTCTTCCCCCTGGAGTTCAGTGCATGAGGCTGAAAGTTCCAAGCCTCTTACCATGTGGTTGCATGGTAATCAGCCCTCCTCTTGAAGAAATTTAGGAGCTTGCAGTCACCCAGTCATCTCAACAACATCCCCAAATGCATTCTTACCATGCTGGAGATCCCAAAGTTCTTAGAGGCTCTTGTGTTAGAAACCTGGGACCAAGACCAAATATTAAAACAAAAGATGCTCCTGTCACATCTATCACTGAGGTCTTTGTAAGAGCTTTAGAAGCTCTGTGCCAGGAACCAGGGACAGAGATTAAATATATATTTCTTTTCTTTTTTTTGAGACAGAATCTCCCTGTGCCATCCAGGCTGGAGTGCAGTGATGTGATCATAGCTCACTATAGCTTTGGCCTTCTGAGATCAAGCAATCCTCCCATCTCAACCTCCCAAGTAGCTAGGACTACACATGCATGTCACCCATGCCCAGATCATTTTTGTAGAGTCAGAGTTTCACCGTGGTGGCCAGGTTGGCCATGTTGGCCAGATGGGGTCTTCTTTTGTTGCCCAGGCTGGCCACAAATTCCTGGGCTCAAGTGATCCTCCCACCTCGTCCTTGTAGAGATGAGATTTAGTTATGTCGTCCAGGCTGATCTCAAACTCCTGGGCTAAATTGATTGTCTCACCTCAGCCTCTCAAGTATGTTATGAAGGTTATATGTTAGGAAGGGTCCCAGGAGGTAGACCCACGCAGATGGGATTTGGGCATAGGTTTGGTTTCCCAGGGGGCAGTGCTGAGCTCTTTGCCAGTGGGAAATGGGATGCTGGTGATTTCCAGTAGGTGACCTCACAGTGACTCAAGCTACCACTTACTGTTGATTGTGACGAAATGCCAGCTGAGGCACATGCCTTGGGAGCTAAGTGGTTGCTGCCCTTGACCACTGTGAAGACTGGCTTGGGAAGGGTCGCTTTGGATGCACTTGAGCAGGGGTCCCCAACCCCTGAGCCATGTAGCCGCAAGGAGCCACACAGCAGGAGGTGAGCTGTGTCGAGTGAGGGAGTGAGGGAAGCTTCGTCTGTATTTACAGCCACTCCCCTTTGCTCACATTCCCGCCTGAGCTCCACCTTCTCAGATGAGCAGCAGCGTTAGATTCTCATAGGAGAACGCACCCTGTTGTGAACCGTGCATGTGAGGGATCTAGGTTGCGCTGTCCTTATGAGAATCTAATACCTATTGATCTGTCACTTTCTCCCATCACGCTCAGGTGGGAACATCCAGTTGCAGGAAAACAAGCTTAACACGCCCCCTGATTCTACATTATGGTGAGTTCTATAATTATTTTATTATATATTACAGTGTAATAATGGAAATAAAGTGCCTAATAAATGCAAATGTGCTTACATCTTTTGGCCCAGCTCCTACCTCCCGGCAGCCTCTCCAGGCCCAGAACTTTCTCCAGTCAGCCTCTACAGACCAAGCTCATGACTCACAATGGCCTATTTAGGCCCATACCCTACGTCACGGCAGCCTCCGCAGATGAGCCTACTGCCTCACAGCAGCCTCCACAGGCACAGCTCCATCGTTACAATGGCCTCTTTAGACCCAGCTCCTGCCTCCCAGCCTTCTCTCCAGGCTCTGAACTTTCTCAGTAAGTTCAGGTAGCTGGGACTGTAGGTATACATGATGATACTTGGCTAATTTTTAAATTGTTTTGTAGACACGGGGTCTCACTTTGTTGGCCAGGCTGGTGTCAAACTAATGGCCTCAAGTGACCCTTCCACCCCTGCCTCCCATCCTCGAGGCATGTGCCACCACAAGGAGCACTTGTTCAATTTTCTAAAAAAGAAATTTCTAAAGTAAGGCTGTGGGATGATGGCAGGAAGATAAAAGAAAAACAGAAGAATAAGTTAAAATGACTTATTCACACATATTCTTTTGACAGCAAGAAGAACTTTTAGTATATACATTCCTTACAAACAAACAAAAGGCAGATAAACAATGTTGTATAGGAACTTCAACACACACTGTACAATATTCCCACTTTGCTGACATAAGTTATGGAAATTTCATGGTTTACTTGAGTGTCGCTACCAGTATTTTGCTTCTCTGATGATTTTTATCAACTTCCTCATCTGTTAACTTCTCTCCAAGGTATGTCATGTCACGACATACTGCCGCTGCACGAACATGGCCAGTGTCTTCCTATTCAACATGTAGAATGCTTTCCTAATTTCTCTTTTTACTCTCTGTCTTTGTGTTCTGCATTTTCCTTACTTTTATTGTCAGAAACTCCAGAAAGTCAATCGTACTAATTTATCACGATTTGCTTTATTAATTTATACTTTGCTTATATGGAATTTTGCCCAGCAGACCTCATTACAATTTCTAACCTGTTTTATTTTGTTTTTTTTTTCTGAGACAGGGTCTCCCTCTGTTGTCCAAGGCTGGAGTGTAGTAGTGCCATCGCAGCTGACTGCAGCCTCAACCTTCCAGGCTGAAGCGATCCTCCCACCTCAACCTCCCACGTGGCTGAGACTACAGGTGCTTGCCACTATGCCCAACTAACATTTGGAATTTTCGTATACGTGGATTCCAGAGGGGTGACAGCGAAACGTGAGTAAGCATGGATTTTGGTATATGCAGAGATGGGGGGCTGGAACTAATTCTGTATACTGAGGGACGACGACTATATGTTTTTACAATGACGCTGTGGGATACATACTGTTGCATAGCCTTGAAAATAATAATTTTTAATTGAGTGGAATAAGAATAATATTGATAAAAGTAGCAGCTGGCCAGGTGTGGTGGCTCACACTGGTAATCGCAACACTTTGGGAGGCTGAGGCAGGAGGATGGCTTGAGGCCAAGAGTTTGCGATAGGCCTTGGAAACAAAGGGGGAGTCACCATCCCTACAGAAAAATACATGAATTAGCCTAGTGTGGTGGCATGTTCCTGTAGTCCCAGCTACTTGGGAGGCTGAGGTGGGAGGATCACTTGAGCCCAGGGAGGCTGAGACTGCAGTGAGTCATGATCAGGCCTCTGCACTCCAGCCTGGGTGACAGAGTGAGACCCTGTCTCAAAACAACAAAAAAGCAGCAGCAACATCAACTGACCTTTTACCAGGTGCCTATTGATACCATAGTTTAATTTCTTATAACTGTTTCTTATTTCACTTACCAACTCTGTCTTCAGTTACTCCCAGATTTTTACTGTGTGTGTACAGATGACCTTTTGCTTAGATTGAATTGTCTCCCCAGAAGTAAGATTACTGTGAGTCATGGTGAATGGACATTCTCCTTACCCTTGATGTAAATTGACAGGGTTTTGGGTGCCTCCCAGCTATAATCTTAGCACTTTGGGAGGCTAAGAGAGGAGGATTGCTTGAGGCCAAGAGTTGGAGGAGGCAGTATGGCAGTATGGTGAGACCCTGTCTCCATTATTTTAAAAAATTGACAGGCTTTACCCGGGAAGGCTTATACACAATTTAAACACCCCTCATAGTATAAGAAGGTGCCCATTTCACTGCACCTTTGCCAGCACAGGGTATTATAATTTAGTAAGTCATTTTTTGTTTGATTATTTTACATAGACAAAAGAACTCATATTACTTTACTTGTCACATTTCAACATCTTTCCTCAGCTTATTAGCTCTATTTCTTTTCTGTCTGTAAATGGTTGTTGTGGTTTTGTTCTTTGAGACAGGGTCTTGCTCTGTCACCAGGCTGGACTGTAGTGGCATAATCATGCCTCACTGCAGCCTTGACCTCCCAGGCTCAAACTTCAGCATTCCGAGTAGCTGGGACTACAAGTGTGCACTACCACCACCAGCTAACTTTTTTCTTCCTTTGGATAGAGACAGGGTCTCACTCTGTTGTCCAGACCGGTCTCTAGCTCCTGGCCTTAAGCAATCCTCCTGCATTAGCTTCTCAAATTGCTGGAATTTCAGGCCTGAGCCACCATGCCTGGCCTGGGCTAGTCCTATATTCTCTAGAGTTCTCTTTACTTTGTGCTAGCCAATCTCTCATTATGCTGTTCACCTGTTATAATGAATAATTCTCTGTATTAAATTTTACCACTTTAAACTTTTGAGTGGTTTATGCTTCCTGATTGGACTCTGACTAATATGTTAGGAAGGGTCCCAGGAGATACACCCACACAGATGGGATTTGGGCATAGGTTTGGTTTACCAGGGGGCAGTGCTGAGCTCTTTGCCAGTGGGAAATGGGATGCTGGTGATTTCCAGTAGGTGACCTCACAGTGACTCAAGCTACCACTTACTGTTGATTGTGACGAAATGCCAGCTGAGGCACATGCCTTGGGAGCTAAGTGGTTGCTGCCCTTGACCACTGTGAAGACTGGTGTGGGAAGGGTCGCTTTGGATGCACTTGAGCAGGGGTCCCCAACCCCTGAGCCATGTAGCCGCAAGGAGCCACACAGCAGGAGGTGAGCGGTGTCGAGTGAGGGAGTGAGGGAAGCTTCGTCTGTATTTACAGCCACTCCCCTTTGCTCACATTCCCGCCTGAGCTCCACCTTCTCAGATGAGCAGCAGCGTTAGATTCTCATAGGAGAACGCACCCTGTTGTGAACCGTGCATGTGAGGGATCTAGGTTGCGCTGTCCTTATGAGAATCTAATACCTATTGATCTGTCACTTTCTCCCATCACGCTCAGGTGGGACCATCCAGTTGCAGGAAAACAAGCTTAACACGCCCACTGATTCTACATTATGGTGAGTTCTATAATTATTTTATTATATATTACAGTGTAATAATGGAAATAAAGTGCCTAATAAATGCAAATGTGCTTACATCTTTTGGCCCAGCTCCTACCTCCCGGCAGCCTCTCCAGGCCCAGAACTTTCTCCAGTCAGCCTCTACAGACCAAGCTCATGACTCTCAATGGCCTATTTAGGCCCATACCCTACGTCACGGCAGCCTCCGCAGATGAGGCTACTGCCTCACAACAGCCTCCACGGGCACAGCTCCATCGTTACAATGGCCTCTTTAGACCCAGCTCCTGCCTCCCAGCCTTCTCTCCAGGCTCTGAACTTTCTCAGTAAGTTCAGGTAGCTGGGACTGTAGGTATACATGACGATACTTGGCTAATTTTTAAATTGTTTTGTAGACACGGGGTCTCACTTTGTTGGCCAGGCTGGTGTCAAACTAATGGCCTCAAGTGACCCTTCCACCCCTGCCTCCCATCCTTGAGGTATGTGCCACCACAGGGAGCACTTGTTCAATTTTCTAAAAAAGAAATTTCTAAAGTAAGGCTGTGGGATGATGGCAGGAAGATAAAAGAAAAACAGAAGAATAAGTTAAAATGACTTATTCACACATATTCTTTTGACAGCAAGAAGAACTTTTAGTATATACATTCCTTACAAACAAACAAAAGGCAGATAAACAATGTTGTATAGGAACTTCAACACACACTGTACAATATTCCCACTTTGCTGACATAAGTTATGGAAATTTCATGGTTTACTTGAGTGTCGCTACCAGTATTTTGCTTCTCTGATGATTTTTATCAACTTCCTCATCTGTTAACTTCTCTCCAAGGTATGTCATGTCACGACATACTGCCGCTGCACGAACATGGCCAGTGTCTTCCTATTCAACATGTAGAATGCTTTCCTAATTTCTCTTTTTACTCTCTGTCTTTGTGTTCTGCATTTTCCTTACTTTTATTGTCAGAAACTCCAGAAAGTCAATCGTACTGATTTATCACGATTTGCTTTATTAATTTATACTTTGCTTATATGGAATTTTGCCCAACAGACCTCATCACAGTTTCTAACCTGTTTTATTTTTTATTTATTTATTTTTTTTGTTCTGAGACAGGGTCTCCCTCTGTTGTCCAAGGCTGGAGTGTAGTAGTGCTATTGCAGCTGACTGCAGCCTCAACCTTCCAGGCTGAAGCGATCCTCCCACCTCAACCTCCCACGTGGCTGAGACTACAGGTGCTTGCCACTATGCCCAACTAACATTTGGAATTTTCGTATACGTGGATTCTAGAGGGGTGACAGCGAAACGTGAGTAAGCATGGATTTTGGTATATGCAGAGATGGGGGGCTGGAACTAATTCTGTATACTGAGGGATGAGGACTGTGTATGTTTTTACAATTACGCTGTAGGATACATACTGTTGCATAGCCTTGAAAATAATAATTTTTAATTGAGTGGAATAAGAATAATATTGATAAAAGTAGCAGCTGGCCAGATGTGGTGGCTCACACTGGTAATTGCAACACTTTGGGAGGCTGAGGCAGGAGGATGGCTTGAGGCCAAGAGTTTGCGATAGGCCTTGGAAACAAAGGGGGAGTCACCATCCCTACAGAAAAATACATGAATTAGCCTAGTGTGGTGGCATGTTCCTGTAGTCCCAGCTACTTGGGAGGCTGAGGTGGGAGGATCACTTGAGCCCAGGGAGGCTGAGACTGCAGTGAGTCATGATCAGGCCTCTGCACTCCAGCCTGGGTGACAGAGTGAGACCCTGTCTCAAAACAACAAAAAAGCAGCAGCAACATCAACTGACCTTTTACCAGGTGCCTATTGATACCATAGTTTAATTTCTTATAACTGTTTCTTATTTCACTTACCAACTCTGTCTTCAGTTACTCCCAGATTTTTACTGTGTGTGTACAGATGACCTTTTGCTTAGATTGAATTGTCTCCCCAGAAGTAAGATTACTGTGAGTCATGGTGAATGGACATTCTCCTTACCCTTGATGTAAATTGACAGGGTTTTGGGTGCCTCCCAGCTATAATCTTAGCACTTTGGGAGGCTAAGAGAGGAGGATTGCTTGAGGCCAAGAGTTGGAGGAGGCAGTATGGCAGTATGGTGAGACCCTGTCTCCATTATTTTAAAAAATTGACAGGCTTTACCCGGGAAGGCTTATACACAATTTAACCACCCCTCATAGTATAAGAAAGTGCCCATTTCACTGCACCTTTGCCAGCACAGGGTATTATAATTTCGTAAGCCATTTTTTGTTTGATTATTTTAAATAGACAAAAGACCTCATATTACTTTACTTGTCACATTTCAACATCTTTCCTCAGCTTATTAGCTCTATTTCTTTTCTGTCTGTAAATGGTTGTTGTGGTTTTGTTCTTTGAGACAGGGTCTTGCTCTGTCATCCGGCTGGACTGTAGTGGCATAATCATGCCTCACTGCAGCCTTGACCTCCCAGGCTCAAACTTCAGCATTCCGAGTAGCTGGGACTACAAGTGTGCAGCACCACCCCCAGCTAACTTTTTTCTCCTTTTGGATAGAGACAGGGTCTCACTGTGTCGTCCAGAGCGGTCTCTAGCTCCTGGCCTTAAGCAGTCCTCCTGCATTAGCTTCTGTAATGGCTGGAATTTCAGGCATGAGCCACCATGCCTGGCCTGGGCTAGTCCCATATTCTCTAGAGTTCTCTTTACTCTGTGCTAGCCAATCTCTCATTATGCTGTTCACCTGTTATAATGAATAATTCTCTGTATTAAATTTTACCACTTTAAACTTTTGAGTGGTTTATGCTTCCTGATTGGACTCTGACTAATATGTTAGGAAGGGTCCCAGGAGGTAAACCCACACAGATGGGATTTGGGCATAGGTGTGGTTTCCCAGGGGGTAGTGCTGAGCTCTTTGCCAGTGGGAAATGGGGTGCTGGTGATTTCCAGTAGGTGACCTCACAGTGACTCAAGCTACCACTTACTGTTGATTGTGACGAAATGCCAGCTGAGGCACATGCCTTGGGAGCTAAGTGGTTGCTGCCCTTGACCACTGTGAAGACTGGTGTGGGAAGGGTCGCTTTGGATGCACTTGAGCAGGGGTCCCCAACCCCTGAGCCATGGAGCCGCAAGGAGCCACACAGCAGGAGGTGAGTGGTGTCGAGTGAGGGAGTGAGGGAAGCTTCGTCTGTATTTACAGCCACTCCCCTTTGCTCACATTCCCGCCTGAGCTCCACCTTCTCAGATGAGCAGCAGCATTAGATGCTCATAGGAGAACGCACCCTGTTGTGAACCGTGCATGTGAGGGATCGAGGTTGCGCTGTCCTTATGAGAATCTAATACCTATTGATCTGTCACTTTCTCCCATCACGCTCAGGTGGGACCATCCAGTTGCAGGAAAACAAGCTTAACACGCCCACTGATTCTACATTATGGTGAGTTCTATAATTATTTTATTATATATTACAGTGTAATAATGGAAATAAAGTGCCTAATAAATACAAATGTGCTTACATCTTTTGGCCCAGCTCCTACCTCCCGGCAGCCTCTCCAGGCCCAGAACTTTCTCCAGTCAGCCTCTACAGACCAAGCTCATGACTCTCAATGGCCTATTTAGGCCCATACCCTACGTCACGGCAGCCTCCGCAGATGAGGCTACTGCCTCACAACAGCCTCCACAGGCACAGCTCCATCGTTACAATGGCCTCTTTAGACCCAGCTCCTGCCTCCCAGCCTTCTCTCCAGGCCCTGAACTTTCTCAAGTCAACCTCACCAGGCCCAGCTCATGCTTCTTTGCAGCCTCTCCAGGCCCAGCTCCTGCATCTTGGTGGCCCCTCCAGGCCCAGCCTCTGCCTCCCGTCAGCCTCTACAGTCCGAACGTCTGCCTCACAGCAGATTCTTTACGCCCAGCATCTACCTCACTGTGGATCCCCCAAGCCAAGCTCCCAACCTTTCAGCAGCTTCTACACACCCAGCTCCTGCCACCCAGTGGCCTCTTTAGGCCAAGCTCATGCTTCACAAGGGCCTTTCCAGGCCCAACTTTTGTCTCATGGCAACCTTCCCTGGCCAGATTCCTGCCTGTCTCCCAGCAGCCTAGACAGGCCCAGGTCTTGTCTCACACTGGCCTCTCTACATCCAGCTTATGCCTCACGGTGGCCTCTCCACGCCCAACTCCTGTCCCAGGACGTCATCTCCGGGCCCAAAACTTACTCAAGTCAGACTCTCTAGTCCCAACTGCTGCCTCCTGGTGGCCTATGAAGGCCCAAAATCTCCTCAAGTTGACCTGTCCAGGCCCACCTCCTGCCTCCTGTCAGCGTCTACAGGCCCAACCTCTGCCTCATGGGGGCTTCTCCAGGCCCACCTCTTCCTCTTGGCTGGGTCTACAGGCACAACTGCTGCCTCACAACAGCCTTTTTTGGCCCAGTTCCTGTCCAGCTCATGGCGGCCAATGTAGGCCCAAAACTTCCTCAAGTCAAACTCTCCAGGCCCACCTTCTGCTTCCCGGTGGCATCAACAGGCCCAGCTTTGACTTGAGAACAGCCTCTGCAGGCCCTGCTCTTGCCTCCCAGGGGCTTTTTCCAGGCCCAGCTCTTGCCTCATGGCGGCTGCCCCAGGCCAAATTTCTGCCTGCCTGCCAGCAGCCTCAACAGGCACAGCTCCTCCCTCACAGTGGCCCATTTAGGCCCAACTCATGACTGTGAGGCCATTTCCAGGCCTAGTGCCTGCCTCGTGGCTGACTCTTGAAGCCCAAAACTTCCTCAAATCAGCCTTTTGCCCAACTTCTGTCTACTGTCGGACTCTACAGGTCAGCCTCTGCCTCACAGTGGACCCTCCAGACCCAGATGGTGTCTCACTGTGGCATCCTCAGGCGAAGCTCCTGCCTTTCGGCAGCCTCTCCAGGCCCAGCTCCTCCGGCCTCCCAGTGGCCTCTTTCAGCCCAGCCCAGCTCATGCCTCCCGGCGGCCTTCCCAAGCCCCGCTTTTGACTTTCGGTGGCCTCTGCAGGCCTCGACAAGGCCCAGCCTCCTGCCTCCCGAAGGCCTGCACAGGCCCAGCCTCTGCCTCACAGCGGACTCTCCACGCCCAGCTAGCTGTTGCTTCACTGCGGCCTCCCGAGTCCAAAGCTCCTGCCTCTCGGCCGCTTCGGCAGGCCCAGCTCCCGCCTGCCAGTGGCCTCTTCAGGCCCATGGGGCTCATTCCTGACAACGGCCTTTCCAGGCCCAGTTTTCCCTTCCGGCGGCCTCTCCGGGCCCAGAACCTCCTCAAGTCGGCCTCTCCAGACCCACTTGCACCCTCCGGGCATCCTCTCCGGGCCCAGCTCTTCTTCCTGGTTGGGTCTCCAGGCCCGATTCCTGCCTCTCAACAACCTCTTTGGACTCAGTGCCTACCCATCTCCTGGCGGCCTTGGTCGGCCCACAGCTTCCTCAAGCCAAGCTCCCCAGGCCCAGGTCAGGCCTCACGGTGGCCTCTCCAGGATGAGCTCCTGCCCTCCTATGGCATCTCCAGGCCCCAAATGGTCTCCGGTCGGTGGGCTCCTCCACGCCAAGGTTGGGCCTCCCGGCGACCGCCGCAGGCCCAAGTTGTCCTGAAGTCGGGCTCTCCCGGCCCTGCCTCCCAGCAAGTAAGCAAGCTCTTTTGGCTCAACTCCTGCCCAGCTCCCAACCGCCTTTGTAGGCCCTGAACTTTCTCCAGCCAAGCTCTGAGGGCCCACCTCCTGCCTCCTGGTGGCCTGTACAGTTCTAGCACTGGTTGGAGAACAGCCTCTGCAGGCCCCGCCCTTGCCTCCCAGGGGCCTCTCCAGGCCCAGCTCTTGCCCCCACGGCGGCCTCCCGGGGCCAAGTCCCTGCCTGCCTCCCAGCAGCCCGCGTGCGGCCCAGCTCCTCCCTCACGGTGGCCTGTTGATGCCCAACTCATGCCTCTGGTACCCTGCCCAGAGGCGTGAGCCCCTGCCTCACACTGGCTCCTCCCACGCTGAGAGAGGTCAGTGTGAGCCCTTGCCTCACACCAGCCCCTCCCACGCGGACAGAGGTCAGCGTGAGCCCCTTGCCTCACCCCGGCCCCTCCCACGTGGACAGAGGTCAGCGTGAGCCCCTTGCCTCACACCGGCCCCTCCCACGCTGAGAGAGGTCAGTGTGAGCCCTTGCCTCACACCGGCCCCTCCCACGCGGACAGAGGTCAGCGTGAGCCCCTTGCCTCACACCGGCCCCTCCCACGCTGAGAGAGGTCAGTGTGAGCCCTTGCCTCACACCGGCCCCTCCCACGCGGACAGAGGTCAGCGTGACCCCCTGCCTCAACAGGCCACCGTGAGGGAGGAACAGGATCGCACTCGGGCTGCTGGGAGGTAGGCAGGGACTTGGGCCTGGGAGGTCGCGGTGGGGCGAGAGCTGGGCCTGGAGACTCCCCTGGGAGGCAACAGCGGGGTCTGCAGACGCCCTTCTCCAGCCGGAGCTGGGACTGTTCAGTCACTGGGAGAAGGGATGTGGGTCTGAAGAGCTTGGTTGCAGAAACTTCGGGGTCTACAAAGGCAGGCGGGAGCTGAGCCAAAAGAGCTTGTTTGCTGGGAGGTGGGAGATGCAGCCAGGAGGAACAGCTGGGCAATGCGGGAGGCAGAGGCCAGGCCTCCTCAAGTTGGCCTCTCAGACCCACTTGCAGCCTCCCGGCGCCCCCTCCGGGCCCAGCTCTTCCTCCTGGCTGCATCTCCAGGCCGGACTCTGGCCCGACTCCAGGTCCCAACAACGTCTTTGGACTCAGCTCCTGCCCAGCTCCCAGCGGCCCTGGTAGGCCCACAACTTCCCTAAGCCAAGCTCCCCAGGCCCAGCTCAGGCCTCGCGGTGGCCTCTCCAGGCTCAGCTCCTGGCCCTCCGATGACATCTGCAGGCCCCAAATGGCCTCCGGTCGGTGGGCTCCTCTAGGCCCAGCTTGGGCCTCCCGGCGGCCTCTGCAGGCCCAAATCGTCCCGAAGTCAGTCTCTCCAGGCTTAGCTCCAGCCTCCCGGCGGCCTCTGCAGGCCCAAGTCGTCCTCAAGTCGGCCTGGAAGTGGGCCTGGAAGAGCAGCAAGTCGGCCTCCCTGGGCCCAGCTCCGTCCTCTCGACGGCCTCTCCAGGTGCAAAACTTCCTCGAGTCAGCCTCTCCAGGCCCAGCTCCTCCTGCCTCCCAGTGGCCTCTTTCGGCCCAGCCCAGCTCATGGCTCTCGGCGGCCTTCCCAGGCCCCGCTTTTGACTTTTGGCAGCCTCTTCAGGCGCAGAACTTGATCTCCAGGCGGCCTTTGCAGGCCCGGCCTCCTGCCTCTCGAAGGCCTGCACGGGCCCGGCCTCGGCCTCGGCCTCACAGCGGACTCTCCACGCCCAGCTAGCTCTCGTCTCACTGCGGCCTCCCCAGTCCAAAGCTCCTGCCTTTCGGCCACTTCGGCAGGTCCAGCTCCTGCCTGCCAGTGGCCTCTTTAGGCCCAGCTCATTCCTCACGTCGGCCATTCCAGGCCCCGTTTTTCCCTTCCGGCAGCCTCTTGGCCTCTAATTTGTTTATCTTTTGTGTATAAATCCCAAAATATTGAATTTTGGAATATTTCCACCATTATGTAAATATTTTGGTAGGTAATTTATTTGGAGTGAGTTTCTGCGCCAAGCCCGAATTTTTTATTTTATTTTCCTTATTATTTGGTGTTAAACAGGTTTAATGACGGTCATGGCAACTTTTTGGCACAATGAAAAATATCGCCCACGATCAACGTGTTCTGTTCTGGGGAAGGGGGCAAAGGCAGGGTGAATCACTTTCTTAAAAAGTATAGCTCAAGTTGGGAGTGCAGAGGGAATGGGGAGAAAACCCTCCCGCTGCCTGTGTCGAAGTGTAGGAGCCCCCACCCCCATACTCACCTGAGTCCAGCCCCTCTGGGGAAAGAAGGGGTGCATGAACTCCCCCTAGTCCACAGGCGCCTCCCTGTGGCCCAAGGCCCTCTTCACACTCCATCTTGTAGCCCCAGCAGGAGCTATTTTCTGAAAAGTGAAAAGCTCTGAAGGTCCCACAATTCATGGTATGTACAGGGGCTCGGAGGAGGGAAACTGCCCAGCTTTCCCCCGGCACAGCTGCAGGGGTAGGGGGTATAGATAAGAGGAGCAGGCCTTGGCCAGGCGTGGTGGCTCACGCCTGTAATCCCAGCACTTTGGGAGGGGGAGGCAGGCAGATCACGATGTCAGGAGATCGAAATCAGCCTGGCCAAGATGATGAAGCCCCGTCTGTACTAAAAATACAAAAATTAGCCGGACGTGGTAGCGTCCACCTGTAATCCTAGCTACCCGGAAGGCTGAGGCAGGAGAATGGCGTGAACCCGGCGGGAAGAGGTTGCAGTGAGCCAAGATCGCACCACTGCACTCCAGCCTGGGTGACAGAGCAAGACTCGGTCTCAAAAAAAAAAAAAAAAAAAAAAAGAGGAAGGCCTTACTCCGTCCCAAACTGAAAGGATTAAATGGCTTCACCTGGGAGAAGATAACCATCCTGCCCTCCATTTCTACCCCCACATACTGTCCATGTTCTCAGGGGGTACTGTGAGTCCTGGGATCTTTGGGGTTGCCCACCTGCCTGTGGTAGTTATGGAGACCCCCAGGTGTTGAGGCAGGGCTGGGGTGTCCCCTTCCAACCAGGTTGTCAAGGCCCCAACTCTGGGGCAGAGGCAGTGGCAGGGCAGCCAGGGTTGCGCCAGAGCCTGAGCAGGTTGAGGTGGGGTCAGGCAGGGCTGGGAGTCAGGGCAGGGGCAGCAGCAGTGGACCTGCTATGCACACATCTTCTTCTCCAAGGTTTGTGTGCAGAACATCCTGCCCATGCTGCCCCAGCAGCTTCAGTTGGCACCTGCCCCAGTCCAGCCTCTGGGAACCATGCAGCAGCTCCCAGCGGCCCTGCACCCACCACCAGCATCCGTTTCACCTGCAGTTGAAGATCCGTGAGGTGCCCAGAAGATCATGCAGTCATCAGTCCCACGGAGCAGCCCGCGAGGCTGAGGCTCCTCCCACTGGACCGCCCCCCAACTGGCACCACTGCTGCCCCTGCCCCTACTCTCAGCCTCACGTGACTCTCGGGCAGAAGCAGTGGTGGGGCAGCCAGGGCAGCGTCAAGAGTCTGAGCCAGGTGAGGTGCGGTCAGGACCCCCACAGGGCTGGGAGTCAGGGCAGGGGCAGAACAAACCTTGGAGGGGAAGATGTGTGCATAGTGGGCCTGGAGGGCGGCTGTGGCCTAGTGGACAGGAAGAAGCAGTGGGCCTGGAAGAGCTGCATGATC